>NC_000011.10:47938787-48241818 GCF_000001405.40 Homo sapiens | reverse complement strand
CACAGGACAGTCCCCCCAAGCAAAGAATTATCTCATTCAATGTGTAAATAGTGCTGCTATTGATATACTCTGGTTTAGGTGAAACAAAAGTTGTCCTGAATTAATAATCATTGAAATTGGGTGTTGAGTACATGGGAGTTCATTACACTGCTTTGATCACACCTGTTTATATTTTAAATTTTCTGTAATAAAAGGTTTAAAAGTGTCATAAGAGCACTTCATAAAATGAAATGTGCCCTGTACTAGGGCTACTCACAAATATCAGTAACTCAGCCTTGATTGAAAGAGTTGAAACAAGATTCCACAAGTTCCAACTAATGATTGATAAGAAAACTATAATGAGATATTTTTAGATTTCAGAAAAGATCTGGCACATTGCTTTTGAGCATGCAAACACTGAATTCAGCATTATCCTTTATAAAGAAACACAAGGAAAATTAGCAAATAATTACAAAAAAGCCCCAAGTACTTAAGTAGAAACTATATTTATTTTGTACCGTGTCATCATGAAGTTGAGTTTCCGTGAAAGTCTGTCAGTCAAAATCTTTTCTACATTGAATAATTTGGTTTCATAAATCTAAGGAAGATCATTGTTAAGCATGAATCTATGAATGTTTGTTATAGGAAACTAAATTTGTTTAAACATTTTTGGTATGAAATTGTATTTGTTCACAGAAGATTATAAATTGTGCCATAAGAGGTTGATTTTGTTTCCTAACCTAGCAAAGATTAACCCGTTGACTATGCTCTCATTTCTCAAGTTATAATTAAATCCTGTTATTAGAAAGAATGCACAGATCTGGCCGGGCGCGGTGGCTCAACCCTGTAATCCCAGCACTTTGGGAGGCCGAGGCGGGTGGATTACCTGAGGTCAGGAGTTCAAGACTGGCCCGGCCAACATGGTGAAACCCCGTCTCTACTAAAAATACAAAAATTAGCCAGGCATGGTGGCACACACCTGGAATCCCAGCTACTTGGGAGGCTGAGGCAGGAGAATTGCTTGAGCCTGGCAGGGTGAAGGTTGCAGTGAGCCAAGATCATGCCACTGCACTCCAGCCTGGCTGACAGAGCAAGACTCTGTCTCAAAAAAAAAAAAAAAATACACAGATCCTTCTTTTAAAATTATATCTATACGCATTCCTCCACGTGAAAATTTATTTTGCAGTGAAAAATGAAATATCAGTATGTGCTTTTTTAAAAAAGTGGAAATGTGTTTAAAAACAGGCAAAGGACATGAACAGACACTTCTTGAAAGAAGACATAGATGTCTCCAACAAATACATGAAAAAATGCTCACCATCACTAATCATTACAGAAATGCAAATCAAAACCACAATGAGATACTATCTCATACTAGTCAAATGGCTATTACTAAAAAGTCAAATAAAAAGATGCTGGCAAGGTTACAGAAAAAAAGAGAACAATTATATACTGTTGGTGGGGATGTAAATTAGTTCAGCCACTGTGGAAAGCAGTTTGGAGATTTCTCAAAGAACTTAAAACTATCAGTCAACCCAGCAATCCCACTATTGGGTATATACCCAAAGGAAAATAAAGCTTTTTACCAAAAAGACACATGTACTTGTATGTTCATCACAGAGCTATTCACAATAGCAAAGACATGGAATCAATCAAAATGCCAATCAGTGGTAGACTGGATAAAGAAACTGTGGCACATATACACCATGGAATACTATACAGCCATAAAAAAGTAGTGAAACCCTGTCCTTTGCAGCCACATGGATGCAGCTGGAGGCTGTTATCAGAAGTGAAATAACACAGGAACAGAAAACCAAATACCACATGTTCTCAATTGTAAGTGGGAGCTAAACATTGAAAACGGTTGGACACAAAGATGAGCACAATAGATACTAGGGACTACTTGAGGGGGGAGGGTGGGTGGGGGTGTTGGTTGGAAGGCTACCTATTGGGCACTGTGCTCACCACCTTGGTGATGGGATCATTCGTATACCAAGCCTCAGTGACACGCAATTTACCTATGTAACAAGCCCCAACACGTACCCCCAGAACCTAAAATAAAAGTAGAAAAAAATGGGAATGTAAAAGTTTCTAGCAGCTTCTATTCATAACAGCAAAAAAAAGAAAAAAGAAATCAACCCAATATCCACCACCACAAGAAAAAAAAATGTGTATACACACACACACACACACACGTATATGTATATTTACATATACACATGATTTTGGAATGCTACTCACTAAATAAAAATAATCATAACCCACAATATGGATGAATCCCAAAAATATTATGTTAAGTGAAAGAAGCCAGATACAAAAAGAGTACATGCTTTCATTTAAACAAGCTTAGGACAGGTTAAACTAATTCATGATGATAGAAATTAGATCAGTAGCTGCCTGAGGAGGGGAGGAGATTGCCTGGAAGAAGTCACAAGAGAAGTTTCCAGAGTGATAGAAATATTCTGCATCTTGTTGGGAAGTTGGTTCACAGAAGTATAAATTTGTCAAAACTCATTAGATTGTACACTTAAGGTCTGTACATTTTGCTGAATGTAAATTTTACTTCAATTACTGAGAATATATTTTAAATGTTATCACGACAAAAACAATAACTTTGTGAAGTAATGCAAGTGAATTGGCTAGATTTTGTTATTCCACAATGAGTGTGTGTGTGTGTGTGTGTGTGTGTGTATCAAAATGTGTCATACATGATAAATACAATTTTATCTGTCGACTTTTTTTAAAGTAAAAACTAAACAAAATTATTTTCATAAAGTAAAACCTAACTGAGATGGGAAACCACAATGAAGGAAACTTCTGGTCTGGGAATCAGAATATCTGAGTTTGTGCCCACGCTTTGTGCTTGATTTACCCTGGAGCAGAAATCACTAGTGTTCCTAATTATTATTTTCTCCTTCTTCCTTCTATAGTATTAGAATCCCTGAATTTTTATGAGGGCACATGCCTACCTGGAATGAAAATTACATTACCCAGCCTCCCTTGAAACTTCAAGGAAGGGGACATGTCTTATTTCATCTCTTCCTGCTTTTGGATAACAGGATGCTGCCATTATGACTGGAGCTCCATCAGCCATTTGGGGCCATGCAGTGACCTTGGGAATTAATACTATAAAGGATGGAGAAACAAGATAGAGAACATTTCTATCCCAGACTGTGAACTTCTTGACTTCTATCTTGGTTTAGATTCTGATCCTTGCAGCTAAAACCTAATCTAAATGATGTTTCATCTAAAACTGTACATTGAGAATGATTAATTCATATTTCATTGACATCACAGGATTACAATGAGACGCCAATGAAGTAATGAATGTGAAAGGGCTTTGAAATATGCATAGGGTATTATGCAAATATAGGGTATATCAATTAATAAGTTCAAATATGGATTTCATGTATTAGTTTGGACAGTTGGTATTTTTTGTTGCAAGACAATATATGAACACTATTTCGAGCTCTCAAATAAGTTCTTTTCTGGCTGCTTCAAGCAATCTCACTTCTGGCTCAAGCCCTTCCCAAATGATAAAAACTAATAATGCCGACATCATTTTGATATATTTTATTCCTTCCACAGCTCTTGAGCATCCACCACCTGTCACTCATCACACGAAGTGCAAAAGCAGCAATTCACCTAAAATCAATTCACCAACTATAGTTTGCCAGATGGTCAAATTACCAACAGTCAATTCACAAGATTAACCAATTCAGCAATTTTGCTATCAGGCAAATGGCCAGTCCACTGAATTATCAATTCACGAAAGATGTGCTTCTACTTCCAATCTCAGCTAATCCTTTTCCTCTTAATTAAGAAGCTCTAAGGAATCTGGATTGTAAAACATTCACAAAGTCAGCATTCAACACGTCTGGATCAACAAATCCATTGAACTTAAAGAAAAGCAATTGAGTTATGCCAACTTGGCAGAAATTTGCAAACACAATTTCCAGACAGTTAAATCAAGGGCAAAGCCCTCAAGGTAGCAGAAAGGACATGTTCAATGCCCATGCTCAGCAAAATCATTGTAAAGAACTATGAGGTAAGTGTACCAGGTCTAATAAATATTAACCACTTTTAGTCCAGTACGTTGACTTTTCTATTCTCCTTTGATATGCATATTTGTCAGGTCAAGTCTAAAGAGTTTGTGTAACATTAACAACCACAGAACCTCAGCAGCATGCAACTGGAAGCATTTATTCTCATGTTCATGGGTCTGCAGGTGAGCTGGGGAAGCTCTTCCTCAGGCTGCAGTTTGGTGGGTCGGCTAGAGAAGTTCTGTTCCGTATGTGTTCATTTGGCAGTTCAGGCTGTAGTGCAGCTGCTGCCTATCATCTCATGATCGTGGCAGAGACACAGGGGGGCAAACAAAAATACACAAGGCCTAGTAAGGCCTAGGCTCTCACTGAGGCATTGTCATTTCCACCCACCCATGCCATTAGCCAAAGCTAGTCACATGGCTAAGCCTAAAGTCAGGGGATGGAAACATACACTCCTTCTGATGGGAAGAACTGCAAAATTACAAGGAGCAGGGCACAGGCAAAAGAAGAAGTAAAGAACTGGGGCGGATCATTCAATCTGATTCAGGTAAGTTTGGTTAGCACACGTGAAAACATATCCAGGTAAAATTCCTCATCTGTTACGTATACATGGGTCCCTTTCTTGAGAAAAGTCAATTCAAGAATGAAGAAAAATAAGAAAGACAGTTGACTAGATTGAAAATTCACTGGAAGAGTGAAACAAACTTATATAAAATCCTTGATATTCATTAATTACCAGAAAACTGAAATTGAGAATACACAAAAATCCTCCTCCCCCAAATACATCGCTTATTGCAGGCATCTGCAAAACATAAGTGCTATAGATTTTACAAAGGATTAACAGAAATAGGTTTTGAGGAATCAAAAGTTCAGTAAATTAGTTATGTGGTAATTCAGTTAAATTAACAAATTGTTATTTGGCAAATTTATCTGTAATGAATTGGCCAGAACCAGAACCCAAGGATACATATGCAAACAAGACCCAAGCTCTGGGAGCAAAGATGGCCGAATAGGAACAGCTCCAGGCTGCAGTTCCCAGCATGAGCGATGCAGAAGATGGGAGATTTCTGCATTTCCAACTGAGATACTGGGTTCATCTCACTGGGGAGTGTCAGACAGAGGGTGCAGGACAGTGGATGAAGTGCACTGAGCATGAGCCGAAGCAGGGAGAGACATTGCTCACCCAGGAGGTGCAAGAGGTCAGGGAATTCCCTTTCCTAGTCAAAGAAAGGGATGACAGATGGCACCTGGAAAATCGGGTCACTTTCACCCTAATACTGCACTTTTCCAATGGTCTTAGCAAATGGCACACCAGGAGATCATATCCAATGCCTGGATTGGAGGGTCCCGTGCCCACAGAGCCTCACTCATTGCTAGTACAGCAGTCTCAGATCGAACTGCAAGGTGACAGGAAGGCTGGGGGAGGGGCACCCACCATTGCCGAGGCTTGAGTAGGTAAACAAGCTGGGAAGCTCAAACTGGGTGGAGCCCACCACAGCTCAAGGAGGCCGGCCTGCTTCTGTAGACTCCACCTCTCAGGGCAGGGCATAGCCAAACAAAAGGCAGCAGAAACCTATGCAGACTTAAATGTCCCTGTCTGACAGCTTTGAAGAGAGTAGTGGTTCTCCCAGCACACAGTTTGAGACCTCAGAACAGACTGCCTCCTCAAGTCGGTGCCTGACCCCCAAGTAGCCTAACTGGGAGGCACCACCCAGTAGGGGCAGACTGCCATCTCACCTGTCCAGGTGCTCCTCTGAGACAAAACTTCCGGAGGAATGATCAGGCAGCAACATTTGCTGATCACTAATATCTGCTGTTCTGCAGCCTCCGCTACTGATACCCAGGGAAACAGGGTCTGGAGTGGACCTCCAGCAAACTTCAACAGACCTGCAGCTGAGGGTCCTGACTGTTAGAAGGAAAACTAAAAAACAGAAAGGACATCCACACCAAAACCCCATCTGTACATCACCATCATCAAAGACAAAAGGTAGATAAAACCACAAGGATGGGGAAAAACAGAGCAGAAAAACTGGAAACTCTAAAAATCACAGCACCTCTCCTCCTCCAAAGGAATGCAGCTCCTCACCAGCAACAGAATAAAACTGGATGGAGAATGACTTTGATGAGTTGAGAGACAAAGGCTTTAGATGATCAAACTACTCCAAGCTAAAGGAGGAAGTTCGAACCCATGGCAAAGAAGTTAAAAACCTTGAAAAAAAATTAGATGAATGGCTAACTAGAATAACCAATGCAGGGAAGCCCTTAAAGGACCTGACAGAGCTGAAAACCATGGCACAAGAACTATGTGACAAATGTACAAGCCTCAGTAGCCGATTTGATCAACTGGAAGAAAGGGTATCAGTGATGGAAGATCAAATGAATGAAATGAAGTGAGAAGTTTAGAGAAAAAAGAATAAAAAGAAACAAACAAAGCCACAAAAAAAATATGGGACTATGTGAAAAGACCAAATCTACGTCTGACTGGTGTACCTGAAAGTGATGGGGAAAATGGAACCAAGTTGGAAAACACTCTGCAGGGTACTATCCAGGAGAACTTCCCCAGTTTAGCAAGGCAGGCCAACATTCAAATTCAGGAAATACAGAGAACCCCACAAAGATACTCCTCGAGAACAGCAACTCCAAGACACATAATTGTCAGATTCAACAAACTTGAAATGAAGGAAAAAATGTTAAGGGCAGCCAGAGAGAAAGGTCGAGTTACCCTCAAAGGGAAGCCCATCAGACTAACAGCTGATCTCTCAGCAGAAACTCTACAAGCCAGAAGAGAGTGGGGGACAATATCGAACATTCTTAAAGCAAAGAATTTTCAACCCAGAATTTCATATCCAGCCAAACTAAGCTTCATAAGTGAAGGAGAAATAAAATACTTTAAAGACAAGCAAATGCTGAGAGATTTTGTCACCACCAGGCCGGCCCTAAAAGAGCTCCTGAAGGAAGCACTAAACATGGAAAGGAACAACTGGTACCAGCCACTGAAAACACATGCCAAATTGTAAAGACCGTCGAGGCTAGAAAGAAACTGCATCAACTAACGAGCAAAATAAACAGCTAACATCATATTGACAGGATCAAATTCACACATAACAATATTAACCTTAAATGTAAATGGGCTAAATGCTCCAATTAAAAGACACAGACTGGCAAATTGGATAAAGAGTCAAGACCCATCACTGTGTTGTATTCAGGAAACCCATCTCATGTGCAGAGACACACATAGGCTCAAAAAAAAGGGATGGAAGAAGATCTACCAAGCAAATGGAAAACAAAAAAAGGCAGGGGTGGCAATCCTAGTCTCTGATAAAACAGACTTTAAACCAACAAAGATCAAAAGAGACAAAGAAGGCCATTACATGATGGTAAAGGGATCAATTCAACAAGAAGTGCTAACTATCCTAAATATATATACACCCAATACTGGAGCACCCTGATTCATAAAGCAAGTCCTTACAGATCTACAAAGAGATTAAGATTCCCACACAGTAATAATGGGAGATTTTAACACCCCACTGTCAACATTAGACAGATCAATGAGACAGAAAGTTAACAAGGATACCCAGGAATTGAACTCAGCTCTGCACCAAGCAGACCTAATAAAAATCTACAGAACTCTCCACCCCAAATCCACAGAATATACATTCTTTTCAGCACCACACCACACCTATTACAAAACTGACCACATAGGTGGAGGTAAAGCACTCCTCAGCAAATGTAAAAGAACAGAAATTATAACAAACTGTCTCTCAGACCACAGTGCAATCAAACTAGAACTCAGGATTAAGAAACTCACTCAAAACCGCTCAACTACATGGAAACTGAACAACCTGCTCCTGAATGACTACTGGGTACATAACAAAATGAAGGCAGAAATAAACACATTCTTTGAAACCAATGAGAACAAAAACACAACATACCAGAATCTCTGGGACACATTCAAAGCAGTGTGTAGAGGGAAATGTATAGCATTAAATGCCCACAAGAGAAAGCAGGAAAGATCTAAAATTGACACCCTAACATCACAATTAAAAGAACTAGAAAAGCAAGAGCAAACACATTCAAAAGCTAGTAGAAGGCAAGAAATAACTAAGATCAGAGCAGAACTGAACGAAATAGAGACACAAAAAACCCTTCAAAAAATCAACGAATCCAGGAGCTGGTTTTTTGAAAAGATCAACAAAATTGATAGACCACTAGCAAGACTAACAAAGAAGAAAATAGAGAAGAATCAAATAGATGTAACAAAAAATGACAAAGGGGATATCACCACCGATCCCACAGAAATACGAGCTACCATCAGAGAATACTATAAACACCTTTACACAAACAAACTAGAAAATCTAGAAGAAATGGATAAATTCCTCAACACATACACCCTCCCAAGACTAAACCAGGAAGAAGTTGAATCTTTGAATAGATCAATAACAGGATCTGAAATTCAGGTAATAATTAATAGCTTACCAACAAAAGAAAGTCCAGGACCAGATGGATTCACAGCCGAATTCTACCAGAGGTACAAGGAGGAACTGGTACCATTCCTTCTGAAACTATTTCAATCAATAGAAAAAGAGGGAATCCTCCCTAACTCATTTTATGAGGCCAGCATCATCCTGATACCAAAGGGCAGAGACACAACCAAAAAAGTGAATTTTAGACCAATATCCCTGATGAACATCGATGCGAAAATCCTCAATAAAATACTGGCAAACCGAATCCAGCAGCACATCAAAAAGCTTATCCATCATGATCAAGTGGGCTTCATCCCTGGGATGCAAGGCCAGTTCAACATATGAAAATCAATAAACATAATCCAGCATATAAACAGAACCAAAGACAAAAACCACATGATTATCTCAATAGATGCAGAAAAGGCCTTTGACAAAATTCAACAACCCTTCATGCTAAAAACTCTCAATAAATTAGGTATTGATGGGACGTATCTCAAAATAATAAGAACTATCTACGACAAACCCACAGCCAATATCATATTGAATGGGCAAAAACTGGAAGCATTCCCTTTGAAAACTGGCACAAGACAGGGATGCCCTCTCTCACCACTCCTATTCAACATAGGGTTGGAAATTCTGGCCAGGGCAATCAGGCAGGAGAAGGAAATAAAGGGTATTCAATTAGGAAAAGAGGAAGTCAAATTGTCCCTGTTTGCAGATGACGTGATTGTATATCTAGAAAACCCCACCGTCTCAGCCCAAAATCTCCTTAAGCTGATAGGCAACTTCAGCAAAGTCTCAGGATATAAAATCAATGTGCAAAAATCACAAGCATTCTTATAGACTAAAAACAGACAAACAGAGAGCCAAATCATGAGTGAACTACCATTCACAATTGCTTCAAAGAGAATAAAATACCTAGGAATACAACTTACAAGGGATGAGAAGGACTTCTTCAAGGAGAACTACAAACCACTGCTCAATGACCTAAAAGAGGACACAAACAAATGGAAGAACATTCCATGCTCATGGATAGAAAGAATCAATATCATGAAAATGGCCATACTGCCCAAGGTAATTTATAGATTCAATGCCATCCCCATCAAGCTACCAGTGACTTTCTTCACAGAATTGGAAAAAACAACTTTAAAGTTCATATGGAACCAAAAAACAGCCCTCATTGCAAAGACAATCCTAAGCAAAAAGAACAAAGCTGTAGGCATCACGCTATCTGACTTCAATCTATATTATAAGGTTACAGTAACCAAAACAGCATGGTACTGGTACCAAAACAGAGATACAGACCAATGGAACAGCACAGAGCCCTCAGAAATAATACCACACATCTACAACCATCTGATCATTGACAAACCTGAGAAAAACAAGCAATGGGGAAAGGATTCCCTATTTCATCAATGGTGCTGGGAAAATTGGCTAGCCAAGTGGAGAAAGCTGAAACTGTACTCCTTCCTCACATCTTATACAAAAATTAATTCAAGATGGATTAAAGACTTACATGTTAGACTTAAAACCATAAAAACCCTAGAAGAAATCCTAGGCAATACCATTCAGGACATAGGCATGGGCAAGGACTTCATGTCGAAAACACCAAAAGCAATGGCAACAAAAGTCAACATTGACAAATGGGATCTAATTAAACTAAAGAGCTTCTGCACAGCAAAAGAAACTAGCATCAGAGTGAACAGGCAACCTACAGAATGGGAGAGAAATTTTTGCAACCTACTCATCTGACAAAGGACTAATATCAAGAATCTACAAAGAACTCAAACAAATTTACAAGAAAAAAACAAACAACCCCATCAAAAAGTGGGCGAAGGATATGAACAGACACTTCTCAAAAGAAGACATTTTTGCAGCCAAAAGACACATGAAAAAATGCTCATCATCACTGGCCATCAGAGAAATGCAAATCAAAACCACAATGAGATACCATCTCACACCATTTAGAATGGCGATCATTAAAAAGTCAGGAAACAACAGGTGCTGGAGAGGATGTGGAAAAAGAGGAACACTTTTACACTGTTGGTGGGACTGTAAACTAGTTCAACCATTGTGGAAGACAGTGTGGCCATCCCTCAAGGATCTAGAACTAGAAATACCATTTGACCCAGCCATCCCATTACTGGGTATGTACCCAAAGGATTATAAATCATGCTGCTATAAAGACACATGCACACGTATATTTATTGCAGCACTATTCACAATAGCAAAGACTTGGAACCAACCCAAATGTCCATCGATGATAGACTGGATTAAGATAATGTGGCACATATACACCAAGGAATACTATGCAGCCATAAAAAGAGATGAGTTCATGTCCTTTGTAGGGACATGGATGAAGCTGGAAACCATCATTCTCAGCAAACCATCACAAGGACAAAAAACCAAACACCGCATGTTCTCACTCATAGGTGGGAATTGAACAATGAGAACACATGGACACAGGAAGGGGAACATCACACACAGGGGCCTGTAGTGGGGTAGGGGTAGGGAGGAGGGACAGTATTAGGAGATATACGTAATGTAAATGACGAGTTAATGGGTGCAGCACACCAACATGGCACATGTGTACATATGTAACAAACCTGCACGTTGTGCACATGTACCCTAGAACTTAAAGTATAATAATAAATAAATAATAAAAAGAGAAGTGTCTTATAAAGTCATTCAGATTAAGATATTAAGGGTTAATCAATTAGCTTATATTTCAACTCCCAGAGACATGTGCACTCTAAAAGTGCCACTCTTTCTCATGAACTAAAACTCCTACCATGGCATTTCAGGCATTAGAATCAGGTTAACGGGGTGAGGGAAACCAAATAAAGTACAGAAGCTTTCCTGGAGCTCCCCCAAGATCACACTGGTAATATGTCCAGAATTAGTGGGTTCTTGGTCTCACTGACTTCAAGAATGACGCCGCAGACCCTCGCAGTGAGTGTTACAGTTCTTAAAAGCGGCATGTCTGGAGTTTGTTCCTTCTGATGTTCAGATGTGTTCAGAGTTTCTTCCTTCTGGTGGGTTTGTGGTCTCGCTGGCTTCAGGAGTGAAGCTGCCGACCTTCGTGGTGAGAGTTACAGCTCTTAAGACAGCGCATCTGGAGTTGTTCGTTCCTCCCGTCTGGAGTTGTTCATTCCTCCTGGTGGGTTCATGGTCTCGCTGGCCTCAGGAGTGAAGCTGCAGACCTTTGCAGTGAGTGTTACACCTCATAAAGGCAGTGCAGACCCATAGAGTGAGCAGCAGCAAGATTTATTGCAAAAAGCAAAAGAACAAAGCTTCCACAGTGTGGAAGGGGACCCAGTGGGTTGCCCCTGCTGGCTCCCGCAGCCTGCTTTTATTCCCTTATCTGACCCCACCCACATCCTGCTGATTGGCCCATTTTACAGAGAGCTGATTGGTCCAGCTTACAGAGAGCTGATTGGTCCGTTTTGACAGGGTGCTGATTGGTGTATTTACAATCCCTGAGCTAGACACAGAGTACTGATTGGTGTATTTACAATCCTCTAGCTAGACATAAAAGTTTTCAGGTCCCCACTAGATTAACTAGACACAAAGCACTGATTGGTGCATTTACAAACCTTGAGCTATACACAGAGTGCTGACTGGTGTGTTTACAAACCTTGAGCTAGACACAGAGTGCTGATTGGTGTATCCACAATCCTTTAGCTAGACATAAAATTCTCCAAGTCCCCACTAGATTAACTAGACACAGAGCACTGATTGGTGCATTTACAAACCTTGAGCTAGACACAGGGAGCTGATTGGTGTGTTTACAAACCTTGAGCTAGACACAGAGTTCTGATTGGTGCATTTACAATCCTTTAGATAGAGTTAAAAGTTCTCGAAGTCCCCACCAGATTAGCTAGACACAGAGTGCTGATTGGTGCATATACAATCCTCTGGCTAGACATAAAATTTCTCCAAGTCCCCACCAGACTCAGGAGCATAGCTGGCTTCCCCTAGTGGATCCCGCACCAGGTCCACAGGCAGAGCTTCCTGCCAGCCCGGTGCGGTGCGCATGCACTCCTCAGCCCTTGGGCGGTTGATGGGACCATGGTGCAAAGGAGCAGGGAGTAGTGCTCGTAGGGGAGGCTCTGGCCATGCAGGAGCCCACAGCCAGTGGGAGGAGGCTCCGGCATGACTGGCTGCAGTCCTGAGCCCTGCCCCGCTGGGAGGCGGCTGAGGCCCCGCAAGAATTCAAGTGAGTGTGGGCCAGCAGGCAGTGCTGGGGGACCTGGCTGCCCCTCTGCAGCTGCTGGCCTGGGTGCTAAGCCCCTCACTGCCCTGGGCCTGCAGCACCAGCAGCCTGCTCCGAGTGCGGGGCCGCCGAGCCCACTCCCACCCAGAACTCGTGCTGGCCCATGAGCACCACGCGCAGTCCCCGGTTCCCACCCACTCCTCTCCCTCCACACCTCTGCGCAAGCAGAGGGAGCCGGCTCCGGCCTCGGCCAGCACAGAGAGGGGCTCCCACAGTGCAGCGGTGGGCTGAAGTGCTCCTCAAGCGTGGCCAGAGTGGGAACCAAGGCCCAGGAGGTGCTGAGAGCAATCGAAGGCTGCCAGCATGCTGTCACCTCTCAGTAAGAAGGGATGAAGCAAAACATGAACTTTTGTCTCCAAGGGCCATAATCTTTCCACATCCCACAGTGGGCTATCACCAAGAGGTGAACTGAAATAAATCTAAGGTCACACAGCTAACAGATGACAGGGTAGGGGTTTCCAATCTAGATAATTCCTCCTTAAAAGTCTATGCACTTTGCACTATGGACTACTGAAGAAGAGAAGAAAGTTTTCAACATTCTCCAAAATACTAACAACTATTAGCTGTCTCTGATTGATACCATGGAGTATAAGCAGCTCATCCGAAATACAACAAAAAATATAAATAAGCTAACTTTTGCTCTATTCCCTCATAGTTAACTAAAATCAGATTGCATATATGGTCTCTCTCTTTGTGCTATTTTTTTTTCATGTTGTCATTTTATTCCATTCCTGAGTTCACTGTCCTGCCCAACAATCTCCTCATGGTGATTTTCATCTCTGCATTCCCAAGCGTGTAGATGAAGGGGTTCAGCATGGGGGTGATGACCACGTAAAATACAGCCACGAGTTTATCTTTAGTAAAGGTGGAGGAGAGTCACACGTAGAGGAAAATGGCAAGTTCAAAATACAAGATAAGAGGCACAGGTGGAGAGGGCTTTGCACCTCCCCTCTGCAGAATGGTTCCTCAAGTTGACTAGGATGATGATATTAAGAGGACACCAAGATAAGGAAGAAGACAGATACTAATTCACTGTTGGCCAACACAATAACCCCCTCCACAAAGGTGTCAGTGCAGGCAAGCTTGAATAAGACCTGGAGGTCACAGAATGAGTGGTCAATCATGTTGGGACCACAGAAGAACAATTGGACAGAGACAAGGATCTGAACCATTGAGTGAATTATGCCCCTCAGCCAGAAACCAGCCACCAGAAGGTGACAGACAGGCAGCTCATGATGGTTGTGTAGTAATAAAGTTTGCAGTTGGCCATATATTGGTCATTGGTCATCAGTGGGAGCAGAAAGATCCAGGGGATGCCAAAGAAGTGCAAGAATATCTGAGCCAGATAGCCCTCCAGAGAGATGGCTTTAATCTTGGCAAGTAAGTCTGTGATGAATTTAGGGACAACAGTGAAGTAACTGATCTCCATCAATGACAGGTAGCTCAGGAAGAAGTACACAGGGGAATGCAGACTCTTGCTGATACTGACCGTCAGAACGATGAGGCCATTGCCCACCTCCATGGCCAGTACACGGGGAGAAACACCACAAAGCACACTCTCTGCACTGCTGGATCCTGGAAAAGGCTGGTGATCATTGACTCAGTCACATTATTTGTACTGGCCATGGATTCAATGCAGGTGTGCTGGATGCCAGGCAGTGAGTGCCCTGCAATAAAACAATGATCACAACACTAATTCACCTCATTTCTAGCACTTTAGAGAGTGTAAGCCACTCTATAATACACTTATTACTCACTCATTTTTAAGCCACTGTGTATTCATTCAGCATTAAATATTAGCAATCTAACACGTGTGTGTGTGTGAGTGTGTGTGTGTGTGTGTGTGTGTGTCTACAGAGAGACACAGTGTCACCCAGGCTGGAGTGTAGTGGTGTGATCACAGCTCACTGCAGCCTCAACCTCCGTGGCTCAGATGATCCACTTCAGCCTCCCAGATAGCTGAGACTATAGGTGTGCACCACCATGCCTGGATAATTTTTTATACTGTTTGTAGAAATGTGGTTTCACCCCATTGTCCAGGCTGGTCTCAAACTCCTGGGCGATCCTCCCGCCTCAGCTCCCCAAAGTGCTGGGATTACAGGCATGAACCACTGCACCCAGCCAATTTTAACGTATTTAATTTTATTATTAGAAAATGAAGTTGAAGAGAAATGGTTATTTGCCCAAGGTCACACAGAAAGTAGTGAATTCTGGGACCCAGGACCAATCTTTCTGACTCTCAATCCAGGGTCCTGGATTGGCAGTCAGCAGCAAAGCATATGGCAGCAAGAGTAAGGGTTTCTCTCACACATGGACACAGAGAGGGGAATAACACACACCAGGGCCTGTTGCAGGCTGGGGGTGAGGGGAGGGAACTTAGAGGACAGGTCAATAGGTGCAGCAAACCTCCATGTCACACATATACCTATGTGACAAACCTGCACATTCTGCACATGTATCCCAGGTTTTTTTAGAAGAAATAAAAACAAATTAAATTTAACATTTTTTTAAAAAAAAAGGGGAGGTTTCTCTCTAAGCTACTTCGCTGGAACAAACACCTACTGAGAGAACCTCTTATACATCTAAACACTCATCAGATTACACAGAAGAATACAGATCACAATACATACCTTAAGCTAACAATATCATGTGATTCAAAACAATATTCTCTAGATGAAGGTGCCCACTGGGAATTTTTCACCACATCTGATCCCTCAGAAGTAAGATTAATATATATACATGGGCCAGGTTCAGTGGCTCATGTCTCTAATAGCAGCTCTTTGGGAGGCCAAGGCGGGCAGATCACCTGAGGTCAGGAGTTTGAGACCAGCCTGGCCAATAGGGTGAAACCCCGTCTCTACTAAAAATACAAAAATTAGCCAAGCATGGTGGTGCATGCCTGTAGTCCCAGCTAGGCAAGAGGATGAGGCACAAAAATCGCTTGAACCCAGGAGGCGGAGGTTGCAGTGAGCTGAGATTCACTGCACTCCAGCCTGGGCAACAGAGCGAGACTCCATCTCAAAAAAAAAAAAAAAAATATATATATATATATGTGTGTGTGTGTGTGTGTGTGTGTGTGTGTGTGTGTGTATGTGTGTGTGTATATGTGTGTGTAAGTTCATATATAGTTCATATATATATGATTTGATACACTTTGATTCTCTGCTATAAAATGTATCCCCATTTTTTCCCATTATCTCCAATTTCATATGTGAAATGTTTTTAAAATATAATTTTAAAGAACTAAAAATATACCTTGAATAGTAAAGAACAGAATCAACAAAACAAAAGTCGGCCGGACACGGTGGCTCACGCCTGTAATCCCAGCACTTTGGGAGGCCAAGGTGGGCGGATCACGGGAGATCGAGACCATCCTGGCTAACACCGTGAAACTCCGTCTCTACTAAAAATACAAAATAGTAGCCGGGCGTGATGGCGGGAGCCTGTAGTCCCAGCTACTCGGGAGGCTGAGGCAGGAGAATGGCCTGAACCCGGGGGCTGGAGCCTGCAGTAAGCCGAGATAGCGCCACTGCACTCCAGCCTGGGCGACAGAGCGAGATTCCATCTCAAAAAAAAAAAAAAAGTCAGTGATGTGGACAGAAGGAAACAAATCAGTGTGTGTCAGAATTCCTCATGTAAGGGCACATGCTGAAGTTTAACTAAAGTCCTTGAACCTTTAAACATTGAGAAATGAGTATTCTAGAGCAAGAAAAGTAGTACAGAAAGAGACCATGGCATCTCAGAGATGCAGAGAGTATCCCCGATCCTTGACTTTTTAAACCCTAATTCAGCCCATGTGTACTTGGATACCAGGAACAGCCCCTTATTCCTCAAATAAATTCTTCTTTTTGTCTAAGCTACTTTGAACAGGCCTCTGTTTCTTGCAAGCAAAATTTCTATATGTAAACCTAGGGGAGAAAGACATAAGTCAAACGAAAGCCACTATTACAATAAGAAAATTCAAATGGAATTACCAGTTAGAAAGCACAATTGAAAAATATTACAATCTACAATAGGTAGAGAGATTTTACTCCAACTTCCTCTGTTTATAAATGAGGCAACAGAGGCAGGGCAGAATTAACCTGCTTCTCAAAGCCACACACTAGTTATTTGCCAGATTACTAACTCAGAACCTGTGCTCTTTCAACATTAGGCTGTCTTCTAATGGTACTGGATGGTGGTTGCTACTGCAATTCAATGATCAGAACTTGTCCCCAAGGAAAAATCACCAACGGTCCTGGGAGCTTTTAGAAAACAAAGTAGATGCTGTTTAAGATAAGTCACACAAATAAGGAAAATTCAGGGGATCTGCATCATGGTTAATATTTGAATTTAGAACATCTAAGAAATAAGCAAACACCATAGGAAGCAGCTAACCCAGAGATTCTCCAATCCTGTTTTGATGTAGAAAACCTATCCCCCCACTCAAAGTCCAAGGGCTATGATTAGATGTCAAGATCCTTGAACTATTTAAAACAAAGTAAGCCACATACTATCATCAAGAGACTGACTTCCCCATGGAATTTCTCTTCTCTAGAGTAAAACTTTGTCAAATAACTTGAGGAAAAGTATGAAATCGGTTTCAATTAGTTTAATGAGATTTCCATAAAGTTTCTGCAACCAATAACAAGGTAGTAGGAGAAGAAAGTTGTAAGTAAGACATGAAGAGGACTTTTTGCCCAGATTTGACTACTGAGAATAAATACAAGAGTAAATAGAGAAGAAAAAGAGGACTGGACAGGAAGTCAGGCTACCTGGGTGCTAGCTTGGGCCCAGTGGTTAACTATGACCATGCCATTTCTCCTTTTCATCCTCCCCTATTTCCACTTCTATATAAGATGACAGCATTCGTCTAGATTATCTTCATTGTGCCTTCCAATTCTAACATTCATGTATTCACATATAAAGTCACTTAGTCTGGGGCCAGGTGCAGTGGCTCACAACTGTAATCTCAATACTTTGGGAGGCTGAGGCAGGAGGATCACTTGAGCCCAGGAGTTCAAGACCAGACTGGGAAACATAGTGAGACCCCATCTCTACAAAAAAAATTTTAAAAAAGTTTAAAAAATTAGCTGGGCATGATGGCATGTGCCTGCAATCCTAGCTACTCAGGAGGTTGAGGTGGGAGGATCCCTTGAGCCCCAGAGTTCAAGGATGCGGTGAGCTATGAATACACCACTGCACTCCAGCCTGGGCCACAGAATGAAACCTTGTCTTTAAAAAAATAAAAACAGAAATCGCTTAGTCTCCCTGTGCCTCAGTCTCCCCATCAATGATGAAAGTGGGTCATAATCATGTAATATGATGAGAATTTCTTCTGAAAGAGATGTCATTTGCCCACTCATTCATTCTTCAACAAATAATATTGAGTCCTATTATGTGCCAAGCACTGTTCTAGGTGTTGGAGATTTGGCAGTGAAGAAAAAAAATGCCTAGACTTGTGGAGGTTGCACCCTTCATATCCCCACCAGCACATAATGGAAATGGAGATAGAAAATAAATAAAACTTGATAGACAAATCAGATAATAATAAGTCCTATAGAGAAAAATAAAACAGATTGAGGATGATGGGGAATGCTGGTGGATATTATTTACATAAGGTCGTAAGGAAAGGTCATCTCTTACTAGGATCTCTGGCTGCTGTCTTGAGAATAATGAAGTCAAGTGGGAAATACAATGAAACCAGTCATGAGACCATTACAGTAAGCCAGTCAAGAGATGACTATGACTTGAGCCATCATGCTAGCAATGAAGATTTTAGGAGGTAGTCAGATTCTGGACATATTTTGAAGGTAGAACTAACAAGATTTGCTGGTCTTTTATTGCAAGGAGTGAGAAAAAGAGAGAAATCAAGGACACCTCCAAGGTTTCAGCAATTGGACCAGACTTGCATTTACTGAGCTGGGAATGACTGTGGGAAAAGCCGGGAAGTGGGGAAGATGGTTCCGTTTTTAGACACATTAAGTGAAGTTACCTTTCAAAATCCCCAGCAGAGGTGTTGAGTAGACAGTTAAGTATATACATCACAGTTCAGGGAGGACGTTCAGGCTGAAGCTATAAATTTGAGAGTCATAAACTCATGAATGTTATTTAAAGCTGGGAGACTCAGTGGGAACTCCTCGAGTAGGTAGGGCAGGGGTTTGAAAATGAAGCCCTGGGTCAGGCAGATGCTTAGAAATTGGAAAAATAAGAAGGCATCAGCAAAGGAAACTGAGAAGAGTAGCCAGTGTGCTGGGAAAGGAACCAAGAGGGAATGGGATCATGGAAACAAAGATGTATAGTTTCCAGGAGAGACTAGTTAGCTGTGTCAAATGCTGCAAAAGGTCCTTGTAAGAAGTTACTAATCATGAGGCACGAAGTCACACAGGCCTGAAGTTCATTCCTGAAGTGCAGGTGGAGAGACAACGGGGCAAGGTGGACTGGGAATGGCACAGGCTGGCGCTGTGCCCCTTCTCTCCAGCCACCTTGGCACCTCAATGGGGTGAAGAGTAGTGAGCCGATGACCATGTGAGGATGAGTTAGAAGAGCTGGCTAGTGAAAGCCTGAAATTAAAGCCACAGAGCCTTCACTGTGCCAGGGACGAGGGCAGTCTTGCTGCTGACCCTGATTAAGAGGTACAAGTTTGAAGCAGAAGTAAACACTGAAGGCTCTAGACTTTTGCTGCCCAGTTTGGTAGCCACTGGTCATGTGTGACTATTTAAATCTACATTTTAGTTAATTAAAATTAAATTAACTAAAATTTAAAATTTCATTTTTTAGTCGTATTAGAAATATTTCAAGGGCTCAGTAGCCACATGGCTAGGGACTAGCGTGTATTCACACGATAAGAACACTTCCATTATCATGGAAAGTTCTATTGGCAATGCTGATCCAGACCACAGCAGCTTCAGAAAACAGAATGTCTATCTAGAATGCAATCTCCATGAAGGCAGGAAAGGTCTCTGGCCTACGTACCACCACATCTCTAGAACAACACCTGGCATGTAATATATGCTCAGTGAGTCTTGTTGAGTAAATTATTAAATGACCTTAAAAGCCCTGAAATGAGTGAATAATTAAGTGAATTAGGCAACAATGAGACTCTGTGATATTGCAAACCACATTTATGAAAAAATTTTAATTACACGGAAATTGTGTAAAGTGCCTGAGACTATACGCCAATCCTTACACCTATTCTCTTCCTCTTTAGGAACAGAACAGAACCCTGAGTTTTCACTGCACACAACTCCACACACTATAAGAGATTATAGTTGGCAGGGTGTGGTGGCTCAAGCCTGTAATTCTAACATTTTGGGAGGCTGACAGGGATGGATCACCTGAGGCCAGGAGTTCGAGACCAGCCTGGCCAACATAGTGAAACCCTGTCTCTACTAAAAATACAAAAATTAGCCAGACGTGGTGGCACACATTTGTCGTCCCATCTACTCAGGAGGCTAAGGCACGAGAATCGCTTGAACCCAGGAGGGAGAGTTTGCAGTGAGCCAAGATGGCACCACTGTACTCCACCTGGGTGACAGAGTGAAACTTTGTCTCAAAAAAAAACAAACAAAACAAAAATTATAGTTCCCTGCCCCCTTTGAAATTAGGTTTCACCATGCTACTAATCGTTATCAAGATGAAAGCAAAAGTGCTATATGGCACTTTTGGAAAATCTAAAGGGAAAGTGATCAGTTTTTCCGCCTCCTTTCTCTGCTTCTGTCCCCTGGAATAGAAATGCAAAGCTAGAGTTGTGTTGTCCAATATGTCATCCACATGTGGCTATTGAGGCTTAACTTATTTAAAGTAAATACATTTAAAATTCACTTCCTGGGTCTCACTAGCCATATTTCAAGTGCTCAACAGACACTACGATATTTTTTCCCTATACCATAATGCTCAGAAGCATTGCCATATTGAACTGCACAGATATAGAATATCTCCATCAGAGCTGGACTTTCAACCTCTGAACTTTTTTAACTCTATCTCATTAAAAGTTGCTTTTTTCCCTGTTATATGCAGTCAAACCTATACCTAAATGAATACAAATAATTAATGGACAAAGGATACAAAATTATGTATCTGAGTAGTTTACAGCACTCTACTAGTTTTTCTTTAAAGAAAGCATGTTATATTGATTCTCTTAAAAATACATTTTTAATGTTGTGATAAAATCAACAACCAAGAGCTAACTACATGCTCTCTAGTGCTAAGTGGTATAATTAGATTATTACTACTTCTGTTCATTGAGAAGACATTTTTAAAATTTTATGACATTCTCTGTCTCTTAAAACAATGAAAAAATGTTTTCCTTTAACTTATGTGCTTCTTGCAGCAAGGCCAGAACAAAGTGAGTAATCAGCTCTCAACAGACCTAAGTCTCAACTCTCTTGAGGGTTGAGAGTAGGTGACATGATCCTTAAGAATTTTGACCATTCAATTAGAATAGATATTATCTGCCTGTGCAGTATCCAACCACTCAGAGTTCACTGATGGTGTTCTATCCATAGTTCTCAGAGAGGAAACCAAACCTGCCCATGAGTAAGGGACTCCTACCACAACCTGCAACCTAAAGTCCTAGCCTGCTTTAATACAAGCAAGATATCAAGAGAAAGGAAGGGTGCCTTCACTGTGTTTCATTCTGGAGCAAATGCTTTAAAATATACATTAACAAGATATAAAAGCATTAGCATAAAAGATTATAGGGAAGCTATTTTACAGTCAACATCTATTTAACAAATACTAAGTGAGTACCTATGATGCACCAGGTAGATGGCCTAACAGAGAATGTTTACGTTCAGAGAAGCAACGTGGCATGCGACAGAGAAGGTCTATTGAACTGCCTTAGAATGCTTGAACACTTTTGGGGTGGAATCAAGGCCTATTCTGAGTAGCTCTACAGGACAGAATGATCATTGTGAGATGCAGTCATCACACAAAATAAAATTAATAATCAGTTCTAATGATGAAGATGATGATGGCTAATATTTATTGATGACCATGTTCTGTTCTAAAAGCTTTGCAGGTATATTATCTGATTTAATATTCAGAATAATCCCTTTTTTTTCTTTCTTTCTTTTTTTTTTTTTTTTTTGAGGCTAAGTCTCACTCTGTTACCCAAGCTGGAGTGCAGTGGTGCTATGTTGGCTCACTGCAACCTCCGCTTCCCAGGTTCAAGTGATTCTCTTGCCGTAGCCTCCCGAGTAGCTGGGATTACACGTACGTGCCACCATACCTGGCTAATTTTTAGTACAGACAGCGTTTCTCCATGTTGTCCAGGCTGGTCTCAAACTCCTGACCTCAAGTGATCCACCTGCCTCAGCCTCCCAAAGCACTGTGATTACAGGCGTGAGCCACCACACCCAGCCAGAATAATCTTATAAACTTCATAGTATTGTTAGTCATTATACTCATGCATAAACAGTTGTTCAGGGAAGTTAAGTACTTTGGATCCTGGGTTGTGGCTCACAGGCAATTGGAACAGCCTAACAAATGTCAGAGCCTGAGCTCTTAAAATTTCAACAGGAAGATGTGCTCCTCACCATGAAAGTGTTCAAAAGGAACCTATAAGAATTAATATAGCAAGGATTGTGCATGAGCCTAAAGGGTTGGTTATTCCACATGCACTTAAGAAGTATCAACTATGTGCATGATATTTAGAGCTGCAAAGAAGAAGGGACAGTGGACAGTCCTGCCCTTGAGAGCTTACAGTCTATTGAGAGACAAACACATCAAATAATCAGAATTGAAGTGATAGGGCAATAATATGTAAAAATGACTGCAGAAAGGAGACATAAATTCAACCCAAAGAGGAGGGAAGTCAGAGAAGGTCTTATAAGGAAGATGACTTGAACCTAGGTCTTGAAGAATGTATAGGATTTTGCCATACAGAAAAGGGAAGTAAAGTCATTCCAAGCAGAAGCAGCAACATTTTCTCAGGGATTAATGATGGTCGTCTATGGACAGGGTTAATGGGAACACTAAGGGAAGTGAGAAGTTTGCTGGTGCCTTTAAAACCACTATTTACCTACGTGTTCAACCAGCACCTATAATAGAAAGGAAAAAGCCCTAAGATATATAGCACACCCATGATACTCCATCCCTCTGCTAGGGAAGCTGCATGAATTATTTCACCTGATTCTCAAGAAAAAGCAGAGGATGTTGTGCAAATTCAATGCCAATATGTGCAATTTTAAAGCCAACAGGGAACAACTTTATGATATTCTATAAATTATGTACAATTATATGAAACAATGGGGTAAGGCAGAGATGCTGAGAAGTTAACCAAAAGTGCAGACACAGACGATCTCATCTCCCTTCACCAAGAAATACTAATAGGCATTAAAAGAAATGGCCTTGCATGGTCACTTAGAACAAGGGACAGGGTCTGGAGTAGAAGTATGCTTGGACAGTATCACTCTCCCCTTCATTCTTTAAGTTAGGCCTAATAAGCATTTTCTAACATTTTGTATTTTTCACATCTGGATAAGACTAACAATGTTTTTGTGAAACACTGTATTTGTGAAAATATTTGACTTGATCTTTCCATAGTGATAAGTAGAATCTATGTCATTTTGATATTATTTTTTTACAAATGTTGGACATTGTGAGAAAGACCAGACAGATTTAAGGACCATCTCTTGTGAAAACATATCACAAGAACTAAAAATGCTCCAGGGACTTTTCTGGGGCTTATGGTCAGATGGTCCATGGTACAAGATACCAGGAGCCAACCAGAAGAAAAGAAAAGTCCCTGGATGTAATTTTCAAAGACATACTTGTCAACATTGTAGATCAGATTGGTGCCCTCCTTCCTAAATATTCCCTGATAATTCCTCTGGTTGGTTTCCTTTTTTAATGAAATAGAGTTTGTTATCATGAGGGAGTTTGAACAAAGAGGGGAGAAAGAATGAAGGAAGAAAAGAAGGAAGGGAGGGAGGAAGGAGGAAGAGCAAAAGGGAGAAAGAAAAGAAGTGAGGAAGGGAGGAGGTAACAGGAAGAAGTGACTTAATCTAAAAAACATTTATCAACATGTTCTCCTTTGCATTTGCACTTGGTTTGAGGCTTCATATTACCCAAGCCCATGATATTGTTGGATATCATGAAGCCAATCAAGTTCTCTAAGACTCTGCGAGACTATCTGACCTCTGTCCTTCAAACATTACACCAGCATACCAAGTGTCTTTGGCTACTAAGCAGAATCACAGCAGCAGTATCATTAAGCCTTTATATTTGTTTCTGTCATTCTTGAATATCCCACTAAAATCAAAATCCATTTCAAGAACAGAGAGTAATCAGACATACATTTTGTATCACTTTTTCATCCCTAAGCTCTTTTTTCACTCCCTCCCTGGATTCTCCTTTTTGCTCCACAATCTTCTTATGGCGATTTTCACCTCTGCATTCCTGAGTGTGTAAATGATGGGGTTCAGCATGGGGGTGATGACCGTGTAGAATACAGCCACAAGTTTATCTTCAGTGAAAGTGGAAGAAGGTCGCATGTAGAGGAAGATAGCAGGTCCAAAAAACAAGATGACCACTGTGATGTGAGAAGCACAGGTGGAGAGGGCTTTGTGCCTCCCCTCTGCAGAATGGTTCCTCAAGTTGACCAGAATGACAATATAAGAGGACACCAAGATGAGGAAGGAGAAGACAGAGAATAATCCACTGTTGGCCAACACAATAACCCCCTCCATGAAGGTGTCAGTGCAGGCAAGCTTGAATAAAGGCTGGAGGTCACAGAAATAGTGGTCAATCACATTGGGACCACAGAAGGGCAATTGGATGATAACGAGAATCTGAATTATGGAGTGACAAAAGCCCCCCAGCCAGGAACCAGCCACCAGAAGGTGACACAGTTGACGACTGATAATGTTCATATAATGAAGAGGCTTGCAAATGGCCACGTAGCAATCATAGGCCATCACCACAATCAAAAGGATCTCAGCAACCCCAAAGAAGTGGAAGAAGAATATCTGAGTCAGACAGCCTTCCAGAGAGATGGTTTTAATCTTGGCAAGTAAGTCTATGATGAATTTAGGGGCGATAGTGGAGGAATAACTGATCTCCACCAAGGACAGGCAGCTAAGGAAGAAGTACATGGGAGAATCCAGACTCTTGCTGATACTGACCGTCAGAACGATGAGGCCATTGCCCACCACCGTGGCAAGGTACACGGGGAGAAACACCACAAAGCATACACTCTGCACAGCTGGATCCTGGAAAAGGCCAGTGAAAATCAACTCAGTCACATTACTTGTACTGGCCATGGATTCCACTCAGAGAAGACAGATCTCAGAGAAGAGCCCTGTGACAAAGCACATGCAATCATAACGCTAATCCTTCATGTTTATTTAGCACTTGCTTGTTAATAAAACCCTTTTATGCATATTTTCTGACTCATTTGTTTATTTATTTATATAGTCAATGTTTATTCATTTGGTGCTCAATAGCCTACCCTATGCAAGACACTGGTCAAGCAGCCCCACAAAAACTCTATGATCCCCATATAACAAGTAAGAAAACTGAGGCTCAGAGAATTTGTGAATTAGCCAAGCCTCCCAGGTCATATTATTCCAACTCATACATTACTTTAAGTAAAAAAAATTACCGCTTTCAGCATGAAAACCATTTATATTAATTACTAACATTTCTCCTATTCTCCATTTTCTCTGGTCATGTCTTTGTGTTAGAGATTGTATAGTGACCTTCTGCTCCTGACTCTTTTGTTTCCTCCATTTATTTACTCCCCAGAAATGCCAATCTAAGTGAAACATCTCCATTTTAGGGAATATCTTTGATGTTTTCATTACATGAACTATGTAAGTTTCTGAATTCTTTCAGACCCTATGGTTTTTGCCCAGTCCTATAGCTTCATGAATTTTACAACCATTTTGAGAAAATGTTGGCAGCTGAGAGCTAAGTGAACATCCAGAAGTTGTTTGGAGAATAGCTCCCTATCAAACAATAGTTTGAATATAACATATGGACAACACCACTTTGCTTGTTTCTGTCTTCCAGTTTGCTTGCCATTAGCAAACATTTTTGTCAGCAGAAGGTGCAGGATTTCTTTTAAAATAACTCTTTAAACCAAAGATTTTATTAAGTACCTACCACAGGCCTAGGCAACTCAGGACATAGGAAAGGAGAATGGAACATGGTTCTAGCCTGAAGAGGCTTGTAACTTCAAATGATTAAACAACACATTTATGAAAAGAAGGAGAGAAAAACTTCAAGATTTTCTCTGCTTTCAAAACTATGTTGAAGTATCTCGGGCCGGGAGCAGTGGCTCAGGCCTGTAATCCCAGCACTTTAGGAGGCCGAGGTGGGTGGATCAACTGAGGTCAGGAGTTCAAGATCGGCCTGGCCAACATGGTGAAACCCCATCTCTACTAAAAATACAAAAATTAACCGGGCATGCTGGTGGGCACCTGTAATCCCACCTACTCAGGAGGCTGAGACAGGATAATCACTTGAACCCGGGAGGTGGAGGTTGCAGTGAGCCAAGATCTCACCATTGCACTCCAGCCTGGGTGACAAGAGCAAAACTCCGTCTCAAAAAATATTAAATAAAATAAAATTATTTTGAAGTATCTCTTATTCACCTTACTTTTCCTTCTTCCACTTGTGCTTCCATTTGAAAATATTCAATACTTTTTCCTCCCCAATTTCTCTCATAGTGAAAATTTGAAGAGAAACACAAGGTAAAAATCTGCTGAAAGATGCTCAGTAAGGAGCTTGGCTAAAACTGGAGATGAAGTGGAGTATTAATTGGTGAAGAAAAAAAAAAGAGGTACCCAAGAAAACAACTGAAAGGGAAAGAGAAAGCAAGATGGGACTCTCTTACCGGTGTAGAGGAATAGAAATAAGGGAAGCTTCAAAAACAACACAAGAAGGCTGCCAAGGGGTCTGGTGGCCTGGAGGAACTAGAGCATCTTGTTAGCTCATGTTTGCCATCATGTGGTTGTTAGGATGATGATGAAGATGGTGAACATGGTGGTTACCAGATGTTTACCATCTTCATTGTCATTGTCTTCCTAACAACCACAACAACTGCAGATGCTGCTGCTGTGTATTCCGGGTCTACTGTGTGCTAGACTGTGATAAGCATCTTACAGTCATCCCCTCATTTAATTCTTCCTGTACCTCTTTGAGGTAGCTAATTATTAGATGAGAGAAATGAGGCTTACAGAAGTTTAGTAACTTGTCCAAAGAAACATAGCTTGCGAGTGTTTGAGCCATAGCTGAAACCGAGCCTATGTAAATAAGGGTAGTGGAGAGCCACCACACCTCAGCTGGAGGAGAAAGGGGTTAGCCACCCCAGGGCCTTGGAGAAATAGCATCAAGACCTATGGTCAATACAAAACTTGGCCAAATTCATTTACTAATCCCACCCTGTGAATAGCAGGAGCATCATTAGAAACTCTACATTATTGGGAATGTTCCATTTCCACCATTTCTGGATCATGCAAGACCAAGAAACCATGTAGGATCCTGCGCAGAGTGTGAGACTCAGGGATTCCCCTCTCCTACTTTACCCAAAGGCAAGGATTTTGGTGGGAGGCAGAACTGCAGCTGGTGAGACCAAGCTATGGAATCTGTCATTCTCTTCCAGCGCAGGTGAGCTGAAGAAACCCCTCTCACACTGGGCCTTATAGCAGCACCATCATTTTCCCTGTCCCTCAGGATTGAAACCATGGAGTCACATCTAATTCATGCCTCCTCCACCTGTCATATTTACACAATCTTTATGTCCTGTTGATTTCACCAGTTTCCTCCTCTGTCTTCCTGCAGCTGCCATCTTCAAGTAGGACATAAACTCACATGAGGATGACTGCAGACACCTACATACTTCATCTGTCCCCAGACATCCCCAGTCTTCATCCCCAGTCTATTCTACATACTCACGTTAGAAATTCTTCCTCTTCCCTCAGTTCCAAGTCATTCAGAAATTGCCATTGTCTCCCTGTTGGCTGGTAATCCATCCTAAATTCTTCCATCTGACTTTTAGAAACCTCTACAGGACCTCCACAGGCCCCTTCGAACCCACTTTACGGGGCACTAAACCGCACACAATCTCAGTTCTATTCAGAGGTCTCCTCACCTTCTCATAAATACAAGTTGATCCCCAACACAGGTGAATCTTTCCTACTTTTCACATTACCTGATGTATCACCCCTTTTTGCTTCCCTCTCCAAGTGCCAGCTAGTCTACAAGGTCCGCTGTCTAGGAAGCTTTCTCTGGTTACTATTTATCTCTGCTCTCAACTCTGGAAATCAGTTTAAGTCATCCTTCTGCTAAATGCAAGAAGGCACACAGTATTCATTTCATAGCAAGCCCTCAAAGAATGTAAGTTATTATGATTGTTATACTTCTAAAATGCAAATCTGATCAAGTCATGCATTGACTTGAAATCTAGCAACGGTTTTCCACTGACTACGAGATTAAATCCAATACCATCAGCATGACATTAAGACTCTCCAGAACTGGAGCTTGTTCATCTTTCTATATTCAGTTGCCATCACTCTCAACTGGAGCTTGTACTCCAGCCATTCTGAATGATATATCATTCTAAAAAACTGTCTCTTTGCATAAACTAATCCCTCTGCTTGGTTGGTGCACATGCCTTGACTCTCTAACTTTTCTTCTTGTTTTAATACTCAGGTCAAACACCACCCATCGCTGCACTGCCAGGAAACACCTCTTGCCTGCTTTTGTTGTTGTTTTACTTTTTTGAGACAAGGTATCACTGTTTCAACCAGGCTGGAGTGCAGTGGCATGATCATAGCTCACTGTAATCTTGAACTCCTAGGCTTAAGGGATCCTTCTGCCTTGGCCTCCTCAGTAGCTAGGACTATAAGTGCATGCTACCAGGCCCAGGTAATTTTTTAATTTTTTTGTAGAGATGGCATCTCACAATGTTGCCCAGGCTGGCCTCAGACTCCTGGTTTCAAGTGATCCTCCCAATGCTCTAGGATTACAGGTGGGAGCCACCATGCCCAGCCTTCTTCCATGTTTTTTACATATTTCTACTGAAGTAGTTAGCATATTTTATTGTCATTTTTGTTTCTGTATCTGTCTTCTTTGCTGACTTTATTCATCTCTGAATCCTCCAAATAACTTCTCGGCAAATGTTCATTTAATTGAATTTTTAAATACATAAATGAAGTTATTCTACCACCTACAGTTGAAAGCACAAAATGCATCACACTTTATCTTTATACAGTCTCTTTTTTTCTCTCTCTCATTGTGGCATTACAGTCATCTGTTTGTCGTTAGAAAAAGAGTTGAAGTTTGTTACGCCTTGAACCCACACAGCACCTAAATGTCAGCCTCACAGATGGTACACAGTATATATGTAGACCCTTGGTTGATGATAAACTGATTAACCAGTAGATTGATAAGAAAAAAACTAGATTCTTTAATGCTATCTCTCTACATTTTCTTTTAAGTCTGTTGACCTCTTATAACCTACCTGAGACTCTTTCTCACCAAGTATATAAAATTATGAACAATGTAGATCATTTTTATTTCAGAAATAAGCATTTAACTGCACTGGGTCAAAGTCACACATGCTGCAATTTTGCAATTGAGATACTTTATCTACTTCTAGATTATCTTCTATGAGCTGAGTGGGGAGGACCCTAACATCATTATGTTTTCCAGAAGACATTTTTTGTCCTTTCTTTTGTCCAGTGTTACTTGGACATGAATTGCCCAGTTCTCACTTAAAGTGCTAAATCTCTTACACACACACACGCACACATCATAAGTCCTTATGCTGAGAAGGTTACCATAATGGGCCACATGATATATATTTTAAAAACAAACAAAAAAGCCTATTAGGGGAATTTAATACAATTATGTCAGATGGCTTAATGAAGTCATCGTGAGAGCACAGAGGTGATGAATCCAGAAGGGCAAGTGACCTGCCTTTTAGTGGAGGAAATAGTTCATGGTTCAGCGTCCTCTAAAGGACAGATGAAAACAAAGCAAGGACCCCTGGCTAAGCTGCCTTTCACTCTTCTCAGGAATTGGTCTAAAGCAGTGGTAAAGAGGGTGGGTGTTGAAATTGGGAGCCAACTCTTAGCTCTACCGCTCACCTATCATGTGCCCTTATTAACAGTTTTTTTTTCAATAGAGTAGCAATTTATATCTGGCATAGTTGTTGCAAGAATTAGATGTGAGATAAAATATATAAAGTACTTCACAGGGTTGCCCAGCAAATACAAAACTTTCCATAAATAGTAGCTTTTCTTAGCTCAGATTTTCTGGTATTTATTTACATTTCTTTCTGCTTTCTCTTTCCACCTTCCCCAAGATAAAAGCAGCTATTTGATAATAAATTACCACCTCTTTTTTCCAGCACTTTCCCAAATAAATCCCTCACCATTGGGTCATGGATTACATGTAAAAGCTTAGGTTGGAAAATTATCATCTAAACACTAACTAGGTAGAATTGTATCCTCTAACGTGAAGCCCCAGTGAGAGAAGTACAACAGGAACGAAGCAGTAAGTGAGAGAGAGCCTGGAAGACCCATTGCTATGAGCTCAAAGCCACATCACAAGGTCTCCTTCCCACCACCCCTTTGGACCCCCAAGTGGTACTGCATGGAATCCCAGAAAGTGAAAGCCGGGCAGAACTTTAAGACACATCCTATCCAGGCCTCTCCTTTCTACAGAGTCAGAAACTGAGCCTAGGAAAGCGACTCACCCTAGGTCACACAGAGATTTGGCGCCTCTAACTCATGCTCAGTGAACCTGAGAACTCTTTCTGGATAGGGCATTACCTACCTTCCTTGGGTAATATTCAGCCTTAGAACAGGGAATGGAATGGGAGGCTCCTTCTCCCTAGGCTGAGGAAAATTTTCTTCCTCGGTGGCAAGTGCTCATCATTCAGAGGGGTGTCCAGGGCTGACGGGACTGAAGGAGTGTGACTTGCAACACAGGAGGCCCCTCTTCAGAACAAGAATCTTCCACTCAGCTTCTGCATCTGCATTGAAAGCACCCCAGCAGATTAAACCACTTCATCTTAGCTAAGGCATCAGGTGAAATCAAAGAAATTTTAGAGCTGAATAAATTTGTAGACCATCAATTCAATATCCTTAGTTTTCAGATGATGCAATAAAGGGCCAGAGAATTTAATTGACCTTTCAAAGTTACACAGCTCATTATTTATTAATCAAGTTGCTGAGGTACAAATAAGTGCTCTTTCCATGACCCTGGGATTCCTTTCTAGTGATCTTGATTTTATGATTTTTGTTGCCAATGAACAAGTAAATCTTGTTTCCACACAACAAAATTCCCCGGGGTCCTGTGATCTTTCATAAAATGAACAGCCTATGTTGATGTGGATAAATTACAAAAGGAAGGATTCAGGAAACCAATCCCCTGGCCAATCTTTGGATCAACTATTGAGAAACAGAAAAAACTAAACTACAGGAAGCAACTAAATAATGATTTTTTAATTCTGGTTTTTAGTTTAGAAAACCCACCCACTCACTAGAAGACCAATGATTGTTTTTCAACATTGAGATGCTTTGAACTATTTGAAATAAATTGACCCACAAGCTGTAATCAGGGAACTAAATTTCCCAATGGAATTTCTTGTCTCTAGTGTGAAATTTTGCCAATAAACTGCAAGTTAGGAAAAGTTCCAAAATGTGTTTCAACTAATTCATTGACAGACGTTTATGAAGTCCCAACCATCTGGTAGTTACGCTCTGAGAGAAGGCAGCTAGAGACATTAGGAGAGTTTTCTGAGTTAACCACGGAAATATGCAACTGAAGGGAGAAGAAAAGAGAGGATAGGTCAGGGTGACCGGCCGCCAGCAGGGGGACTTTAGGCAAGTTCCATCGCCTCCATGGTTTGTAGTTTCACAGCCATGAAATGACAGAATTGGTCTCAATTATCTTTCACATCCCTTCTTGTTCTAACATTCTACACTTCAAGATCACTTAGACTCTGTTCTCCTAAGCGCCCCATAAGTGATGAAGATATTGATGATGGCCCCAATAATAATAATAGCTGCTATTTATTGGGTACCTACTATGTGCCAGGCACTATCCCAAACATTTTGCAGTCATTGTCTTTAATGTTGACAGCAACTCTGCAATTTGCTTCTTGAGCATTTTTATTCTTCTGTCGATACTATTTTCTTCTATTGCTGTCAAAACTACCCAGATTTTCTTTGGTGAAAGCACACCACCCCAGCCCCAGCCATGTATTTTGCATAATGTTGGTCACCTAGAAATGGACTTTAATTGGCTTAAGCAGATCTACAAAAACCACCCCTTTGGTTCAGGGATGGAAAGTAACCTAGTCAGGGAGACAGCAAGGCATTTGAGGTATTTACAGGAAAAAAAAAAAAAAACAAAAAGCTTATTCTATCTTTATTCTATCTTAAACAGAAGATACCAGAAGAGACAGAAATATTTGCTCTGAATAGTGTTGAGCGAAGGTCTAGAACTGCTGCAGCCACTTTGTTACAAAGAGGAATCATGAGCTTCCAGAGGGCCGCCAAGTGAGACCTAGAAGAGCAGCAAGCACCATAAAGAGAAGAGTGTCAAGAAAACTGCAGCCTGGTGTGGTGGCTCATGCCTGTAATCCCAACATTTTGGGGGGCCGAGGGAGGTGGATCACCTGAGGTCAGGAGTTTGAGACCAGCCTGGCCAACATGGTGAAACACCATCTCTACTAAAAATACAAAAATTAGTCCGGCATGGTGGTGTGCTTGAAATTCCAGCTACCTGGGAGGCTGAGGCAGGAGAATCGCTTGAACCTGGGAGGCAGAGGTTGTACTGAGCCAAGATCGTGCCATTGCACTCCAGGCTGGGCAACAGTGAGGCTCTGTCTCAAAAAAAATAAATAAATAACAATAACAAAAAATAATCTCCTGAATTCTCTGAGCTGCATCATTCTCTACCTTTAATTACACATTGAGGAGTAGATGCCAATTCTTAGGGAAATATTGCAAACGTCATGTGGGATGTCTTTTGTACCTATGAGGAAAGGGAACTTTTGGAACAAATTACTAGCATTTATATACTAGTGAAGATATACCACCTGACTAAAAGTGATCTTTAAAAAATGTTCAGTTTTGAAAAAAACTGCATTGTGGAAAGGCTGCATCAGGAAAAACGCATGTCAGATTGTTTTCACCACTTACTAGCTTGGTAACCCTAGAAAATTAAGTCAGCAACACAAGAACAGGAAACCAAACACTGCATGTTCTCACTCATAAGTGGGAGTTGAACAATGAGAATACATGGACACAGGGAGAGGAACATCACACACTGGAGCCTGTCACGGGGTGGGGGACTAGGGGAGGGGTAGCATTAGGAGAAATGCCTAATGTAGATGATGGGTTCATGGGTGCAGCAAACAACCATGGCATGTGTATACCTATGTAACAAAACTGCACATTCTGCACATGTACCCCAGAACTTAAAGTATAATTTAAAAAAAATTTTTAAAAGAAAGCAAATTTAGTTAGCAGCTTTTAGTCTCACCTTTCTCATCTGTTAAATGGCCACGATAATGCATACCTTCAGGATTGTTAGATGGGAGATGAAATAACCTATGTTAAATGGTTATCTAACACAATGCTTCATACATAGTAGAGGTTCCATAAGTGTTTATTTGGATTTTAAATTTATGCAGTTGGACTATTATCCAGTTTAATGTGTAGGTCTTTGCATCACATTTCATAGCAAAAAGGCAATAAATTAAAAATCAAATTAGGAGCACCAAAAATAATTACTAATATTTCTTCCATGAACAAGGAAGTGTCTAATAAAAACATTTTTCCTCCTCTTCTATGGCAAATACTGCTAATGCCTTTACTGGCTTTATTCTTTTCTAATCCTGCCCAGAGGAAAATAGTCACATTTCCAGACTCCCTTGAAGCTAGATGTGGCAATGTGATCCAAGTCCGGCCAATAAAACGCAAGCAAAGGTCACTTGATAAGCATCTGGAAACTTTCTAAAGAGTTCAGACTTAATTGGTTTGTTTAGTCAGCACTTTGCTCTTCATCCTTGACTTTTCTGCCTTCCTTCTTCTTCCTGCTGACAGTAAGGATGGGACACTAGAGGAGCAGGAGCTATATCACTCTTGCAAAGTAAATAAATAAATAAATAAATATATAAATACATAAATAAATAAATAAATTTAAAAAATCAAAACCATGCCCATAGGAAAAAAAGGAGGAAAACTATATCCAAACAAAAGTCTTGTGAAAAGACATGAAAATGTGAATAAAAGCACTCAGCTAATAAAGCGATGTAAATTCTTTTTTAAAATGCAACTGCAAAGCTGAAGAAATCTGCAACACAGTACTCAAAACTGAATTAAATATCCTCAAACAAAAATTTATATATAAAAATAACACTTTGAGGAACATAAAAATTAAGAACAGAAATGGAATTTTAAGATCACAAAGAGATGAAATGAGACTTGATTGAATTCAGGAAAATATAGGACAAAAAGAAAAATTATATCAATAATAAAGGTTAAGGTACCAAATGGAGAATATTCAAATTAAAATATAATAAAGAGTAAAAAAGTAAAACAGAAAATCAACCAAAGGAAATAAAGTGTTTTTTTATTTTAACTTTTATTTTAGATTCAGTGGATACATGTGCAGGTTTCTTACATAGATATATTGCATGACGCTGCAGTTTAGGGAATAAATGATCCTGTTACCCAGATAGTAATCATAGTACCCAATAGGTAGCTTTTTGGCCTTGTTCCCCTTTCTCTCTCTACCACCTAGTAGCCCCAGTGTCTATTGTTCCCATCTTTATGTCCATGTGTATCCAATGTTTAGCTCCCACTTGTAAATGAGAATCTGCAGTATTTGATTTTCTGGTCCTGCATTAATTCACTTAGGATAATGGACTCCACCTGCATCTATGTTGCTGCAAAGGGCATGATTTCATTGCTGCAAAGAGCATGAGTATTATGGCTGCACGGTATTCCATGGTATATATGCATCACATTGTCTTTATCCATTCCACCATTGATGGACACCTAGGTTGATTCCATGTTTTTGCTATTGTGAATACTGCTGCAATGAACATATGAGTGCATATGTCTTTCTGGTAGAACAACTTATTTTCCTTTGGATATGTACCTGGTAATGGAATTGCTGAGTCAAATGGTAGTTCAAGTCTTAGTTCTTTGAGAAATTTCCAAACTGCTTTTCACAGTGGTTGAGCTAATGTACATTCCCACCAAGACTGTACAAGTGTTCCCTTTTCACTGCAGCTTTGCCAACATCTGCTATTTTTTGACTTTTTAATAATAGCCATTCTCACTGGCATGAGATAATATCTCATTGTGCTTTTGATGTGCATTTCTTTGATGATTCATGATGTTCAGCATCTTTTCATATGTTTGTTGGCTGCTTGCATGTCTTCTTTTGAGAAGTGTCTGTTCATGTCCTTTGCCTACTTTTTAATCAGGTTATTTGTTTTTTGTTTGTTGAATTGTTTAATTTTCTTATAGATTCTGGATATTACAACTTCATCAGATGCATAGTTTGCAAATATTTCCTCCTATCCCATAGGTTTTCCATTTACTCTGTTGATAGTTTCTTGGTTGTGCAGAATACTCTTTAATTTAATTAGGTCTCATTTGTCAATTTTTGTTTTGTTACCATTGCTTTTGGCATCTTCAATGTGAAATCTTTGCCAGGGCCTATGTCCAGAATGGTATTTTCTAGGCTTTTTTCTATTATAGTTATAGTTTTAGGTCTTGTATTTAAGTCTTTAACTCATCTTGAGTTAATTTTTATATATTGTGAAACATAGGAATCCTGTTTCATTCTTCTGCGTATGGTTAGCCAGTTATCCCAGCACCATTTATTGAATAGGGAGTCCTTTCCCCATTGCTTATTTTTGTTGACTTTGTCAAACAGCAAATGGTTATAGGTGTGCAGCTTTATTTCTGTGTTCTCTATTGTGTTCCATTGGTCTGTACATCTGTTTTCATACCAGCATAATGCTGTTTTGGTTACTATAGCATTATAATATAGTTTGAAGTTAGGTAATGTGATGCTTCCAGCCCACAACTGCAAAATATACATTCTTTTCATCAGTGCACAGCACATTGTCCAAGACAGACTACACAATAGGCCACAACACAAGTCTAAATAAATTTAAGGAAATTGAAATTATATCAAGTACTCTCTCAGACCACAGTGGAATAAAATTGGAAATCAACTCCAAAAGGAAACCTCAAAATTATACAAATACATGGAAATTAAATAATCTGCTCCTGAATGACTGTTGGGTCAGCCATGAGCTCAAGAAGAAAATTTTAAAATTCTTTGAACTGAATGATAATAGTGGCACACCTATCAAAATCTCTAGGATACAGCAAAACCAGTGCTAAAAGGAAAGTTCATAGCCTTAAATGCCTACATCAAAAAGTCTGAAAGAGCACAAATAGACAATCTAAGATCACATCTCAAGGAACTAGAGGAACAAGAACAAACCAAACCCACATCTAGTAGGAAAAAAAAAAGAAATAACAAAGATCAGAGCAAAAATAAATGAAATTTAAACAAAAAAAGATAAATAAAATTCATAGACCGTTAGTGAGATTAACCAAGAAAAGAAAAGAGAAGATCCAGGTAAGTTCAATTAGAAATGAAACAAGAGCCATAACATCCAGTACCACAGCAACACAAAAGATTATTCAAGGCCACTATGAACACCCTTACATGGACAAACTAGAAAACTTAAAAGAGATGGAGAAATTCCTGGAAACATACAATCCTCCTAGACTAAACCAGAAGGAAATAGAAACTCTAAACAGATCAATAACAAGTAGTGAGATTGAAACAGTAATTTAAAAATTGCCAATAAAAGAAAAGTCAAGGAGGAGATGGATTCACAGCTGAATTCTATCAGATATTTAAAGAAGAACTTGTACCAATATTATTGACACTATTCCACAAGATAGAGAAAGAGGGAACCCTCCCTAAATCATCCTATGAAGCCCTAATACCAAAACCAGGAAAGGACATAACAAAAAAAGAAAACTACAGACCAACATTTTTGATTAACATAAATGCAAAAATCCTCAACAAAATACTAGCTAACCAAATCCAACATCATATCAAAAAGATAACTCACCATGATCAAGTGGGTTTCACACCAAGAATGCAGGGTTAGTTTACATACACAAGTCAATAAATGTGATGCATCACATAAACAGAATTAAAAGCAAAAATCATATGATCATCTCAATTGATGAAGAAAAAGCATTTGACAACATCCAGCATTGCTTTATGATTAAAACCCTCAGTGAAATTGGCATAGAAAGGACAGACCTCAAAGTAATAAAAGCCATCTATGACAAACCCACAACCAGCATTATATTGAATGAGGAAAAGTTGAAAGCATTCCCCCTGAGAACTGGAACAAGACAAGGATGCCAACTTTCACTACTATTCAACATAGTACTGGAAGCCCTAGCCAGAGCAATCAAACAAGAGGAAGAAATAAAGGGTATTCAAACCAGTAAAGAGAAAGCCAAACTGTTGCTGTTCACCAGTGAAATAATTGTATACCTAGAAAACCCTAAAAATAGTCAGTCAGGCTCATGCCTGTAATCCCAGCACTTTGGGAGGCTGAGACAAGCAGATGACTTGCATTCAGGAGGTCAAGACGAGCCTGGCCAACACGGTGAAACCCCGTCTCTACTAAAAATACAAAAATTAGCCAGGCATGGTAGCAGGTGCCTGTAGTCCTAGCTACTCAGGAGGCTGATACAAGAGAATTGCTCAAACCCAGGAGGTGGAAATTGTAGTGAGCCTAGATTTCACCACTGCACTCCAGCCTGGGTGACAGAGCAAGACTCTGAGAAAGAAAAGAAAAGAGTCCTAAAGATTTCACCAAAAAGCTCCTGAATCCAATAAATGAATTCAGCAAAGTTTCAGGATACAAAATGAGTTTGTACACAAATCAGTAGGCTGCTATAAAACAATGGCCAAGCTGAGACCCAAGTGAAGAATTCAACCCCTTTACAATAGCTGCAAAAAAATTTTATAAGTATTTTAACTTATAAATATACCTAACCAAGGAAGTGAAAGACCGCTGCAAGGAAAACTACAAAACACTGCTGAAATCATTGACAACACAAACAAATGGAAACACATCCCATGCTCATGGATGGATAGAATCAATATTGTGAAAATTATTATATTTCCAAAAGCAATCTAAAAATTCAATAAAATTCCTATCAAAACACCACCATCATTCTTCACAGAACTAGAAAAAACAATCCTAAAATTCATATGAAATCCAAAAAGAGCCCACATATCCAAAGCAAGACTAAGCAAAAAAACAAATCTAGAGGCATCACATTACCCAGCTTCAAACTGTACCACAGGCTATAGTTACCAAAACAGCATGGTACTGGTATAAAAATAGGCACATAACCTAATGGAACAGAATAGAAAACCCAGAAATGAAGCCAAACACTTACTTGGCTTGCATATGTTAAACCATCCCTGAATCCCTGGTATGAAACTCACTTGATCATGGCAAATTATCTTTTTGATATTCTGTTGGATTCAGTTAGCTAGTATTTTGTTGAGGATTTTTGCATCTATATTCATCAGATATATTGGTCTGCACATTTCTTTTTTTGTTATATCATTTCCTGGTTTTGGTATTAGGGTGATACTGGCTTTATAGAATGACTTAGAGATGATTCCCTCTTTCTCTATCTTGTAGAATAGTGTCAATAAGATTGGTACCAATTCTTCTTTGAATGCCTGATAGAATTCAGCTATGAATCCATTTGATCGTGGACTTCTTTTTTGTTGACAATTTTTTAATTACCATTTCAGTCTTTCTGCTTGTTATTGGTCTGTACTGGTTTCTATTTCTTTCTGGTTTAATGTAGGAGGGTTGTATATTTCCAGGAATTTATCCATCTCCTCTAGGTTTTCTAGTTTATGTGCATTAAGGTGTTCATGTGATATTGGTTGTAATATCTCCTGCTTTGTTTCTAATTGAGATTATTTGGATCTTCTCTCTTCTTCTCTTTGTTAATCTAACTAATGGTCTATGAATTTTATTTATATTTTCACAGAACCAGCTTTATGTTTCATTTATCTTTTGTATTATTTTTGTTTCAATTTCATTTAGTTCTGCTCTGATCTTTGTTATTTCTTTTCTTCTGCTGGGTTTAAGTTTGGCTTGTTCTTGTTTCTCTAGTTCCTTGAGGTGTAGCCTTAGATTGTCTATATAGGCTTTCTCAGACTTTTTGATGCAGGCATTTAAGGCTATGATCTTTCCTCTTAGCACTGCTTTTGCTGTATCCCAGAGGTTTTGATAGGTTGTGTCACTATTATCATTGAGTTCAAAGAATTTTTCATTTTCATCTTGATTTCATGGCTGACCCAACAGTCATTCAGGAGCAAATTATTTAATTTCCATGAATTTGCATTGTTTTGAACACTCCTTTTGGAGTTGATTTCCAATTTTATTCTACTGTGGTCTCAGAGAATACTTGATATAATTTCAATTTTCTTAAATTTATTGAGACTTGTTTTGTGGCCTATTATATGTTATTTCTTGGAGAATGTGCCATGTGTTACTGAATAGACTGTATATTTGGCAGTTGTTGGGTAGAATGTTCTGTAGATATCTGTTAAGACAATTTGTTCTAAGGTATAGTTTAAATCCATTGTTTCTCTGTTGGCTTTCTGTCTTGATGACCTGTCTACTGCTGTCAGTAGAGTAAGGAAGCCCCCACTATTATTGTGTTGCTGTCTATCTCATTTCCTAGGTCTAGTAATAATTGTTCTATAAATTTGGGAGCTCCAGTGTTAGGTGCATATATATTTAGGATTATGATATTTTCCTTTTGGACAAGGCCTTTTATTATCATATAATGTTCCTCTTTGTCTTTTTAAATTGTTATTGCTTTAAAGTTCATTTTGTCTGGTATAAGAATAGCTACTTGTGATTGCTTTCAGTGTCCAGTTGCATGGAATATCTTTTTCCACCCCTTTACCTTAAGTTTATGTGAGTCTGTATTAGTCTGTTCTCAAGCTGCTAATAAAGACATATCCAAGACTGGGTAATTTATAAAGAAAAGAGGTTTAATTGACACAGTTCCACATGGCTGGGAAGGCCTCACAATCATGGCAGAAGGCAAAGGAGGAATGAAGTCATGTCTCACCTGACAATAGGCAAAAACCTTGTGCAGGGGAACTCCCATTTATAAAACCATCAGACCTCATGAGACTTATTCACTACCATGAGAACAGTGTGGGGGAAACCACCCCCATGATTCAATTATCTCCACTGGGTCCCTCCCACAACACGTGGGAATTATGGGAGCTACAATTCAAGATGAGATTTTGGTAGAGGCACAGCCAAACCATATCAGAGTCCTTATGTGTTAGGTTAGTCTCTTGAAGACAGCAGATACTTGGTTAGTGAATTCTTATCCATTCCACCATTCTGTGTCTTTTAAGTGGAGTATTTAGGCCATTTACTTTCAACATCATTATTGAGATGTGAGGTACTATTATATTCCTTGGGCTATTTGTTGCCTGAATACATTGTGGGTTTTTTTCACTGTGTTTTTGTTTTATAGGTCTTGTGAAGTTTATGCATTAAGGAGTTTCTATTTTGGTGTATTTCAAGGATTTTTTTCTAAGATTTAGTGTTCCTTTTAGCAGTTCTTGTAGTGCTGGATTGGTAGTGGCAAATTCTCTCAGCATTTGGTTGTCTGAAAAAGACTGTATCTTTCCTTCATTTATGAAGCTGAGTTCTACTGGATACAAAATTCTTGGTTGATAATTATTTTGTTTAAGGAGGCTGAATATAGGATCCCAATCTTTTCTCACTTGTAGGATTTCTGCAGAAATCAGTTAATCTGATAGGTTTTTCTTTACAGGTTACCTGATGCTTTTGCCTCACGGCTCTTAAGATTCTTTCCTTCATCTTGACTTTAGATAACCTGATGACTATGTCCCTAGGCAATGATTTTTTGTGATGAATTTCCCAGTTGATGTTTGAGCTTCTTGTATTTGGAAGTCTAGATCTCTAGCAAGACTGGGAAGGTTTTCTTTGATTATTTCCTCAAATATGTTTTCCAAACTTTTAAATTTCTCTTCTTCCTTGGGAACACCCGTTATTGTTAGGTTTGGTCATTTAACATAATCCCAAACTTCTTGGAGACTTTGTCCATTTTTTAAATTCTTTATTGTTGTTGTTATTGTTTTTCTTGGGTTAACTTGAAAGCCTTATCTTTGAGTTCTGAAGTTCTTTCTTCTACTTTGTTCAATTCTATTGCTGAGATTTTCCAGTGTATTTTGCATTTTTCTAAGTGTGTCCTTCACTTCCAGGAGCTGTGATTGTTTCTTATTTATTATATCCATTTCACTGAAGATTTTTCCCTTCATATCTTGTATAATTTTTTTTATTTCTTTAAGTTGGACTTCACCTTTCTCTGGTGCCTCCTTGATTAGCTTCATAATCACCTTTCTGAATTCTTTTTCTGGCAATTCAAAGATTTCTTCTTGGTTTGGATTCATTGCTGGTGAGCTAGTGTAATCTTCTGGGTGTGTTAAAGAACCTTTTTTGTCATATTACCAAAATTGTTTTTCTGGCTACTTTTCATTTTGGTAGATTATTTCAGAGGGAAGATCTAGGGCTCAAGGACTGGTGTTCAGATTATTTTGTCTCATGGGGTGCTCCCTTGATATGGTGCTCTCTCCATTCCCCTAGGGATGTGGCTTCCTGAGAGCCAAATTGTAGTGATTTTTATTTCTCTTCTGGATCTAGCCACTCATTAGAGCTACTGGGCTCCAGATTGGTACTAGGGAGTGTCTGCACATACTTCTGTGATATGAACTGTCTTCAGGTCTCTCTGCCATGAATACCAGCACCTGCTCCAGTGGAGGTAACAGGGGAATGAAGAGGACTCTGTGAGGGTCCTTTATTGTAGTCCTTGTTGTATTGCACTAGTTTTGTGTTGGGTGGAGAATGGCCAAAGTTTAAAAATTAAAAAACAATAGATGTTAGCACAGATGTGGTGAAAAGGGAACAATTTTACACTGTTGATGGGAATGTAACCTAGTACAACCACTATGGAAAACAGTAAGAAAATGTTTTAAAGAACTAAAAGTAGAACTACCATTTGATTTAGCAATCCCACCACTGGGTATCTACCTGGAGGAAAAAGCCATTATATGAAAAAGACAAAGACACTTGCACACACATGTTTATAACAGCATAATTCACAATTGCAAAAATATGGAACCAGCCTAAATGCCCATCAACCAACGAATGGATAAAGAATGGGAGATATATACATATATAACATACAAAGACACACACACACACACACACACACATATATATATATGGAGCCAGTCTACATGCCCATCAACCAACAAATGGATAAAGAATGGGAGGTATATACATATAACACATACACACATATATGTGTATATATATGTGTATATACGTATGTGTATATATGTGTGTATATACCTATGTGTATATACATGTGTATATACATACGTGTATATATGTGTATATATGTACATATATGTGTATATACGTACGTGTATATATGTGTATATACATATGTGTATATATGTACGTATATATATGTGTATATATGTGTGTATATATGTACGTGTATATATGCGTGTATATATGTACGTGTATATATGTACGTGTGTATATATGTACGTGTATATATGCGTGTATATATGTACGTGTATATATGTACGTGTGTATATATGTACGTGTATATATGTGTGTATATATGTACGTGTATATATGTGTGTATATATGTACGTATATATACACTTATGTGTGTATATATATGTATACACACACACACATATATATATGTATATATATATATGTGGAACCAGCCTATATGCCCATCAACCAATGACTGGATAAAGAATGGGATATATATAATAAGTGGGATATATATATACACACACACACACATATGGAACCGACCTAAATGCCCATCAACCAACGACTGGATAAAGAACTGGCTATATATAATAAATGGGATATACATCACCGAATACTACTCAGCCATAAAAAGGAATAAAATAATGGCATTTGCAGCAACCTGGATAGAGTTAGAGAGCATTATTCTAAATGAAATAACTCAGGAATGGAAAATCAAACATTGTATGCTTTCATTTATAAGTGGGAGCTCAGTTGTGAGGATGTAAAGGCATAAGAATGATCTAATGGCATCTGATGACCCAAGGGGAAGGATGGAAGGGGGTAAGGGATAAAAGACTATACGTTGGATAGAGAGTACACTGCTGAAGTGATGGGTGCACCAAAATCTCAGAAATCACCACTAAAGAACTTATTCATGTAAACAAAAACCACCTGTTCCCCCAAAACTATTGAAATAAAAAAAGTTGTGAATATTTTTTTAAAAGAATGTACATAATGAACATAAAGCAAAGGATCTAAAAAAAAATTAAGTAGGTCCTGTTTCTCTCTGGAAGGGGTTTATGCCATACATCAAGTTCCCCAACTTTTATAGCTACCTCCTAAAGGACTCTAACCTAAACCTCTCAGCTCTGGGAACAGAGCATACACAAGTCTCCCTAAATCACAGACCGAATAGGCAGTTTTATTTATTTGAGATGAGGTTCTACTTCGAGACCCAGGCTGGTCTCAAACTCCTGGGCTCAAGCGATCCCCCTGCCTCAGCCTCCCAAAGTGCTGAGATTACAGGTGTGAGCCACTGTGCCTAGCCAGGAGAGGCAGTTTTAAAGGGGCATGCAAACACTTCCAACCTCTACATCCCCAAGAAGTTGTGCAGAAAAGAGACAGGAACATTCAGTTTCTATTTTCTCTCTGGAAAGTGCTTACAGCATACACTTCCAATGGCAACTTGACAGCCTGGCTTCTAAGGTAGGTATTTGCAGCAGGGTGCTAAAGGGGCAAACAAACAATAGCCGTAGAGCAGCTGGAGCCAGAGCTCACTTTACGAGCCTTCCCTCCAACTCACTCCAGTGATGTATCTAGTCCTATCCATTCTTCCTGGAAGGAGTTTGGCCATCTACTGAGTGCCACAATTTCTTTTTTTTTTTTTTTTTTTTTTGAGACTGAGTCTCACTCTGTCACCCAGGCTGGAGTGCAGTGGCACGATCTCGGCTCACTTCAACCTCCGCCTCCTGGGTTCACACCATTCTCCTGCCTCAGCTTCCCGAGTATCTGGGACTACAGGTGCCTGCCACCATGCCCAGCTAATTTTCTGTATTTTTAGTAGAGACAGCATTTCAGCGTGTTAGCCAGGATGGTCTCGATGTCCTGACCTGGTGATCCACCCACCTCAGCCTCCTAAAGTGTTGGGATTACAAGCATGAGCCACTGCGCCCGGCCAAGCACCACAATTTCTATAGCTCCCACCCAAGGGACTGTCTCCTTAATGACCATGGATCTCAGACTTGATGAGGCTTTGCATTTCTGAATGGACCTAGATGACAGAAAACAAACAGGTAGACATGCAATTAGCTCACTTGTAGCAGCTATCTCCCCAGGATTAGAGAGTGCAGCCTGGACATGAGCACAGGCTTTTGGTACAAATCCCCTCCTCAGCTTAGTGCAGAGAGAATAGGAGATAAATGCCCATGTTCAGCTTCACCATGAAGATAAAATAAACTTGAACATGCATCCAACACCCTAATCTTTGTGGCTATATCTAGAAAGTCTAGCTCCTACCTTACCAGTGTTGGGGTACTGACACAACATGGCACATTCTACCAGACAAACACAAAGATTTGAGTGTCATCTCAAGATTTCTAGTCCAACAGATTGATGAGATTCTTCTCCCACATAAGGCTAGTCTGACAAGACTGGGAGAGGTAGTTGTCTTCTCTAATGCACAGGAACCAATACAAAGAGTCAAGGAAAATGAAGAAACAGGGGAATATATTTCAAGCAAAAAAAAAACAGAACTCCAGAAACCAACCATGTGAAGTGGAGATATGTGATTTACCTGACAGCAAATTCAAAATAATCATAAAGATGCTGACCGAGGTCAGAAAAGCAATTCAAGAACAAAATTAAGATTTTAACAAAAAGATTGGAAGTATTTTTAAAGTAACACACAGAATCATAAAGCTGAAGAATATTATCATTGAACGTAGAGATTCAATAGAGAGGTTCAACAGCAAACCACATCAGGCAAAAAAAAAGATCGGTAAACTCAAAAATAGGTCAATGGAAATCATACCATCTGAGCAGAAAAAAAATGAAAAAGAGTGAGGATAGTTTAAGGGATTTATGGGACACCATCAAACATAACAACATACGTGTTGTATTAGTTCATTCTCACAGTGCTATAAAGAATTACCTGAGACTGCATAATTTATAAAGAAAAGACGTTTAATTGACTCACAGTTCCACAAGCTGTACAGGCCTCAGGAAACTTACAATCATGGTGGAAAAGTGAAGGGGAAGCAAGCACATCTTCACATGTCAGCAGGAGAAAGAGAGAGAATGAAGGGGAAAGTGCTACACACTTTTGAACCACCAGATCTCATGAGAACTCACTCATGATCATAAGAACAGCAAAGGAAAAATCCACCCCCATGATCCAATCACCTCCCACCAGGTTCCTTCCTCAACATTGGGGATTACAATTCAACATGAGATTTGGATGAGAACACACAGCCAAACCATATCACATATTATTGATGTACCAGAAGGAAAGAGAGAGAAAGGGACAGAAAACTTTCAAAAACATAATGGCAAAAAGTAGCCTTGGAAGGAAATAGAAATCCAGATCCAGGAAACCCAAAGGACACCAAACAAGAGGAATATAAAAAGATCCACATGAAGACACAACATAATCAAATTGTCAAATTTAAAGAGTTTTGAAAGCAGCAAGGGAAAAGTAAATTGTTACATACAAGGGTATCTCCATCAGATTATCAGCAAATTTTTTTAGCAGAAATCTTACAAGCTGGAAGGGAATGGGTTGATATATTCAAAATCCAGGGGAAAAAGTTTGTAATTGATGTTTATAATTGTTACATCTCCCTGATTAGCTGCCTTTTTGTTATTATAAAATATTCTCTGTCTCTAGTAGTATAATTTTTTCTTAAAGGTTTTTTTTTGTCTGATATAGGTGCTCCTCTCTTAGATCTTTTCTCAACCTTTTACTTTCAATCTGTTTGTGTTCTTGAATCTAAAGTGTGTCTCTTGTAGAAAGCATGTAATTGGATCTTGTTTTTCCATCTAGTCTGACAATCTGTGCCTCTGATTGCTGTGTTTACTCCATTTACATTTAATGGTAGTATTGATACAGTTGGGTTTATGTCTGACATTTTGCTATGTTTTCCATATGTCGTATGTCCTTTTTTCTTGTTTCCCCTTTATCACCTTCTTTTTTATTAAATAGATATTTTCTAGTGTACTATTTAATCCCTTTGTTTTTTTTTTAATGTTTTGGTGGAGGATGGGATTAGACATTACTCTAGGAATTATAACATGTATCTTAACTTTTCACAATCTACTTCAACTTAAGTGTTTAAAGGGGCATGCAAACACTTCCAACCTCTACTTCCCCAAGAAGTTGTGCAGAAAAGGGACAGGAACATTTAGTGTCTATTTTCTAGGAATTATAATACATATTCTAGTACATATGTATGTTAGTACATATGTTATAAATTCAACAACACAGTATTACAATTATTGTCTTATGCAATTTTGTATCTTTCAAAGAAGCTAAGAGAAAAAAGGCAAAAATAAGTCCCCTATATTAAGCTATATATTTATCAATTCCTGTATCATTCATCTCTTCTTATGGATTTATGTTATCATCTGGTGTAATTTTCCTGTGCTAATATACACCCATTTTCTCTCCCTTTCTTTGTATATTTTAAAATATATTACATCTTTAAAAGTTATAAGCCCAACAATATAATTTTATAATTATTAATTATCTAATGTCTTTTAAGTGAGTTAAGAGAAAAAAAGATATATAAACATTCATACTATCTTTTATAATGTCCTACATAATTACTTTTACTGATGTTCTTAAATTTTTTCATATGCGTTTATGTTACCACCTGATGTCAGATCCTAAAAAGCTTCCTTTAATATTTCTTGTAAAGCAGATCTATTAGCAATAAAATTATCTCTCACTCTTGTCCCTTAGGCTGGAGTGCAATGGCGCAATCTCAGCTCACTGCAACCTCTGCCTCCTGGGTTCAAGTGATTCTCCTGCCTCAGCCTCCCAAGTAGCTGGGATTACAGCAACTGCCACCATGCCAGGCTAATTATTTTTTGTATTTTTCATAGAGACAGGGTTTCACCATGTTGACCAGGCTGGTCTCAAACTCCTGACCTCAGGTGATCCACCCATCTAGGCCTCCCAAAGTGCTGGGATTACAGGTGTGAGTCACCACACCCAGCCTTGTCTTCTTTTTTAAGAATAGTTTTTCTGGATATAGGAGTTTTCATTGATAATTATTTTTCAGCAGTTTGAATAGGCAATCCCATTGCCTTCTGGCCTACATAGTTTCTGATGAGAAGCCAGCTGTTAATCTCATTGTGGTTCCCTTGTAAATAATGAGTTAAGGTTTTTTCGTACTGCTTTTGAGATTTTTGTCTTTGACTTTCAAGGGTTTGACTACATTGTGTATAGATGTAAATCTCTGCATTTCTTACTGGGAGTGTGTTGAACATTTTGGATATGTAGGGACAAGGTTGTTACTATCTTTCATTTATTTTTTTGTTTAGTGACGCCTGAACTAATTTTGTGGAGTCTGCTCCTCCAAAAGTGTACAACTACTGATGTTTCTTCCAGTTTTCTTTTTATTCTTGCTTTACATTTTAAGCCTGACTTACCATAGGTCATTTCTAGGTCAGTGTAGCTTTGTGGTGAGTCAATGATTGGTCAGAGGAAGAATTTAAACATCTCGAGGCAGTAAGGCTTCTGCCCCTTGCCAGTGGATCTGTGTATGACTCAGATGGCTTCAGACCATTTATAAGTCTGCCCTAGCTTTTACTTTCTGCATTCATGAGGTCTCACATTCAGCTAGAGACAAGTAGTTATTAGGGTTCTCTCTGGTCTCTCATGACCATACGTGCAGCCTTCACATAAACACAGTATTCCAGACCACAAGAGATAAAAAGGATCTTATCAAGGCCCTCTTTGGCTTTCTCATCCCCTGGATCCTCCTGTTACATTCCTGGCTTGTCTACCAGATTGTTGTTTGCCCCACAAGACTCAAGGTTTCAGGCTACTGAAATGTTGCACTTGTCTGATTGCTTGCCACTGAGATCACTATTGTTTTTGACAATGTCCCAGGCATGAAATTTTCCTTAATCTGCTCCAAATAAAGTCAGCTCCCTCCAGCAGTGGAGCTTACTCTCCTTACAGCCTGCTGCTCTGCCCTAATAGAACTTCTGCACCAAGGAGCTGGGGAGTGAGGGGCTGGGGGCAGCCTCACTATAAAATGCCAGAGGCTCCCACTCTTCTTTCTAAGGTTGGGTAAATTTTCTTGAATAAGCACTTCCAAATTTGTTGTATGCTTTTACTCAATATCCAGTCTTTTAATCATTATTTTCAATAATTTTATCCAGGTTTCTTTGTTATTTCCTAGAGATAAACATTATGAGTTCCTCACACAGCTTTTCTGGTAGTTCTGCCTTCACAAACTTTCTTTTTAATGGAAAAAGATAAGAAGTAAATATCAAAACATATTAAAAATTATAATAATGAAATAAGGGAAGTATTGGTACAGTGATAGATACAAAATATAGTAAAATAGTAAGTAAAATGTATAGCACATCCATGTGACATGCAAGTATCCATTAATTCTTGTTATCCCTTATCAGGAAAGTGAAGGGTGGCTAAGTTGAGAGTCAGGGAATCTTCCAGGAGGGCAACAATGGTGAGAATACCCTACCACAGGCACTGAGAGACCAACACTGTAAACCAAGGGCCATATGGAGAACATGACTGAGACTCCGAGTGTTGTATAGCCAATATGGGCCCAAATCAACAAAGGAGAATGAGGAATCATAACCCATACTGTATATTATCTTCTATAAATCAACAAGGAAAAGGTCAACAACCAAAGCTTATGAAAAGATAATTCAAAGAAGAAAATATATGGCCAATAAAATATGAAAAAATTCTCAACTCATAGTCAGGTAAAATAAATTGCTTTAAAATACATCTTTATTTTTACTATCTTTATTAGTTTGACAAAAATATAAAAGTTGATAATATCCATTGTTGGTACAGCAGGGAATGATGGTACCCTCAGATATTACTGGGGGAACCTGTACTATGATTTGGATATGATTTGCTAGACCCCATCAAGTCCCATGTTGAAATTTGATTCCCAGTGTTGGAGCTGGGGTTTGGTAAGAGGCGTCTGGGTCATGGGGCAGATTTCTAATGAATGGCTTGGTGCCATTCCCATGAGAGTGAGTGAGTTCTGTCTTAGTTTCTGTGAGAACTGGTTGTTGAAAAGAGCTTGGCACCTCCTCCCCTGTATCTCTTGCTTCCATTCTCTTGCCATGTGACCTCCATACATGCTGGCTCCCCTTTCCCTTTAGCCATGGTGGAAGCAGCCAGGAGCCCTCAACAGAAGCAGATGCTGGTGCCATGCTTCCTGTACACCCTACAGAACCATAACCCAAATAAACCTGTTTTCATGTATATATATATATAAATTACTGTCAACAAAAAGAATCAAACTCTGTAAAATATTTGAAGATATTTATTCTGAGTCAAATATGAGTGACCATGGCCCATGACACAGCCCTCAGGAGGTCCTGAGAACACGTGTCCTAGCTGGTCAGGGTTCAGTTTGGTTTTATACATTTTAGGGAGGCATAAAACATCAATCAAATACATTTAAGAAATACATTGGTTTGGTTCAGAAAGGTATGCAACTCAAAGTGGGGGTGGGGGGACAGGGGGATTCCAGGCTATACGTAAATTTAAACATTTTCTGATTGACAATTGGTTGAATTTGTCTAAAGACATGGGATCAACAGAAAGGAAATGTTGCCATTAAGATAAAAGATTGCAGAGACCAAGATTCTTTTGAAATCTCATAGTGGCTGTCCTTAGAGACAATAAATGACAAATGTTTCCTATTCAGACATTTAAAAGGTGATAGACTCGATTTCCGGGATAGGAGCCAAGATGATCGAATAGGAAAAGCTCTGGTCTACAGCTCCCAGCGTGAGTGACACAGAATACGGGTGATTTCTGCATTTCCAACTGAGGTACCGGGTTCATCTCACTGGGGTGTGCCAGACAGCGGGTGCAGGACAATGGGTGCAGTGCACTGTGCATGAGCTGAAGCAGGGTGAGGCATCACCTCACCCAGGAAGTGCAAGGGGTAAGGGAATTCCCTTTCCTAGTCAAAGAAAGGGGTGACAGACGGCACTTGGAAAATCGGGTCACTCCCACCCTAATACTGTGCTTTCCCAACAGACTTAAAAAAATGGCACACCAAGAGATAATATCCCGCACCTGGCTCAGAGGGTCCTATACCAACAGAGTCTCACTCATTGCTAGTACAGCAGTCTGAGATCAAACTGCAAGTCAGCAGCGAGGCTGGGGGAGGGGCACCCGCCATTGCCGAGACTTAATTAGGTAAACAAAGTGGCCTGGAAGCTCGAACTGGGTGGAGCCCACCACAGCTCAAGGAGGCCTGCCTGCCTCTGTAGGCTCCACCTCTGGGGGCAGGGCACAGACAAACAAAAAGACAGCAGTAACCTCTGCAGACTTAAATGTCCCTGTCTGACAGCTTTGAAGAGAGTAGTTGTTCTCTCAGCATGCAGCTTGAGATCTGAGAACGGGCAGACTGCCTCCTCAAGTGGGTCCCTGACCCCCAAGTAGCCTAACTGGAAGGCACCCCCCAGTAGGGGTGGACTGACACTTCACACAGCTGGGTACTCCTCTTAGACAAAACATCCAGAGGAACAATCAGGCAGCAGCATTTGTGGTTCACCAATATCCGCTGTTCTGCAGCCACCGCTCCTGATACCCAGGCAAACAGGGTGTGGAGAGGACCTCTAGCAAACTCCAACAGACCTGCAGCTGAGGGTCCTGTCTGTTAGAAGGAAAACTAACAAACAGGAAGGACACCCACACCAAAAACCCATCTGTACGTCACCAACATCAAAGACAAAAAGTAGATAAAACCACAAAGACGGGGAAAAAACAGAGCAGAAAAACTGGAACTCTAAAAATCAGAGTGCCTCTCCTCCTCCAAAGAAACGCAGCTCCTCACCAGCAATGGAACAAAGCTGGATGGAGAATGACTTTGATGAGTTGAGAGAAGAAGGCTTCAGACGATCAAACTAGTCCGAGCTACAGGAGGAAATTCGAACCAATGGCAAAGAAGTTAAAAACTTTGAGAAAAAATTGGATGAATGGATAACTAGAATAACCAATGCAGAGAAGTCCTTAAAGGACCTGATGGAACTGAAAACCAAGGCATGAGAACTATGTGATGAATGCAGAAGCCTCAGTAGCCGATGCAATCAACTGGAAGAAAGGGTATCATTGATGGAAGATGAAATGAATGAAATGAAGCAAGAAGAGAAGTTTAGAGAAAAAAGAATAAAAAGAAATGAACAAAGCCTCCAAGAAATATGGGACTATGTGAAAAGACCAAATCTACGTCTGATTGGTGTACCTGAAAGTGACGGGGAGAATGGAACCAAATTGGAAAACACTCTGCAGGATATTATCCGGGAGAACTTCCCCAATCTAGTAATGCAGGCCAACATTCAGATTCAGGAAATACAGAGAATGCCACAAAGGTACTCCTCGAGAAGAGCAACTCCAAGACACATAATTGTCAGACTCAACAAACTTGAAATGAAGGAAAAAATGTTAAGAGCAGCCAGAGAGAAAGGTCGGGTTACCCACAAAGGGAAGCCCATCAGACTAACAGTGGATCTCTTGGCAGAAACTCTACAAGCCAGAAGAGAGTGGGGGTCAATATTCAACATTCTTAAAGAAAAGAATTTTCAACCCAGAATTTCATATCCAGCCAAACTAAGCTTCATAAATGAAGGAGAAATAAAATACTTTAAAGACAAGCAAATGTTGAGAGACTTTGTCACCACCAGGCCTGCCCTAAAAGAGCTCCTGAAGGAAGCACGAAACATGGAAAGGAACAACCTGTACCAGCCACTGCAAAAACATGCCAAATTGTAAAGATCATCACAGCTAGGAAGAAACTGCATCAACTAATGAGCAAAACAGCCAGCTAACATCATAATGACAGGATCCAATTAACACATAATGATATTAACTTTGAATGTTAATTGGCTAAATGCTCCATTAAAAGACACACACTGGCAAATTGGATAAAGAATCAAGACCCATCAGTGTGCTGCATTCAGGAAACCCATCTCATGTGCAGAGACACACATAGGCTCAAAATAAAGGGATGGAGGAAGATCTACCAAGCAAATGGAAAACAGAAAAAGGCAGGGGTTGCAATCCTAGCCTTTGATAAAACAGACTTTAAACAAACAAAGATCAAAAGAGACAAAGAAGGCCATTACATAATGGTAAAGGGATCAATTCAACAAGAAGAGCTAACTATCCTAAATATATATGCACCCAATACAGGAGCACCCAGATTCATAAAGCAAGTTCTTAGTGACATACAAAGAGACTTAGACTGCTACACATTAATAATGGGAGACTTTAACACCCCAGTCAACATTAGACAGATCAACGAGACAGAAAGTTAACAAGGATATCCAGGAATTGAACTCAGCTCTGCACCAAGCAGACCTAATAGACATCTACAGAACTCTCCACCCCAAATCAACAGAATATACATTCGTTTCAGCACCACATCACACTTATTCCAAAATTGACCACATAGGTGGAAGTAAAGCACTCCTCAGCAAATGTAAAAGAACGGAAATTATAATAAACTATCTCTCAGACCACAGTGCAATCAAACTAGAACTCAGGATTAAGAAGCTCACTCAGAACTGCTCAACTACATGGAAACTGAACAACCTGCTCCTGAATGACTACTGGGTACATAACAAAATGAAGGCAGAAATAAAGATGTTCTTTGAAACCAACGAGACAAAAGACACAACATACCAGAATCTCTGGGACATATTCAAAGCAGTGTGTAGAGGGAAATTTATAGCACTAAATGCCCACAAGAGGAAGCAGGAAAGATCTAAAATTGGCACCCTAACATCACAATTAAAAGAACTAGAAAAGCAAGAGCAAACACATTCAAAAGCTAGCAGAAGGCAAGACATAACTAAGATCAGAGCAGAACTGAAGGAAATAGAGACACAAAAAACCCTTCAAAAAATTAATGAATCCAGGAGCTGGTTTTTTGAAAAGATCAACAAAATTGATAGACCACTAGCAAGACTAATAAAGAAGAAAAGAGAGAAGAATCAAATAGATGCAATAAAAACTGATAAAGGGGATATCACCATTGATCCCACAGAAATAAAAACTACCATCAGAGAATACTATAAACACCTCTATGCAAATAAACTAGAAAATCTAGAAGAAATGGATAAATTCCTCAACACATACACCCTCCCAAGACTAAACCAGGAAGAAGTTGAATCTCTGAATAGACCAATAACAGACTCTGAAATTGAGGCAATAATAGCTTACCAACCAAAAAAAGGCCAGGACCAGATGGATTCACAGCCGAATTCTACCAGAGGTACAAGGAGGAGCTGGTACCTTTCCTTCCGAAACTCTTCCAATCAATAGAAAAAGAGGGAATCTTCCCTAACTCATTTTATGAGGCCAGCATCATCCTGATACCATAGCCGGGCAGAGACACAACCAAAAAAGAGAATTTTAGACCAATATCCTTGATGAACATTGATGCAAAAATCCTCAATAAAATACTGGCAAACCGAATCCAGCAGCACATCAAAAAGCCTATCCACCACAATCAAGTGGGCTTCATCCCTGGGATGCAAGGCTGGTTCAACATGTGAAAATCAATAAATATAATCCAGCATATAAACAGAACCAAAGACAAAAACCACATGATTATCTCAATAGATGCAGAAAAAGCCTTTGACAAAATTCAACAACCTTCATGCTAAAAACTCTCAATAAATTAGGCATTGATGGGGCGTATCTCAAAATAATAAGAGCTATCTATGACAAACCCACAGCCAATATCATCCTGAATGGGCAAAAACTGGAAGCATTCCCTTTGAAAACTGGCACAAGACAGGGATGCTGTCTCTCACCACTCCTATTCAACATAGTGTTGGAAGTTCTGGCCAAGGCAATCAGGCAGGAGAAGGAAATAAAGGGTATTCAATTAGGAAAAGAGGAAGTCAAATTGTCCCTGTTTGCAGATGACATGATTATATATCTAGAAAACCCCATAGTCTCAGCCCAAAATCTCCTTAAGCTGATAAGCAACTTCAGCAAAGTCTCAGGATACAAAATCAATGTACAAAAATCACAAGCATTTTTATACACCAATAACAGACAGAGAGCCAAATCATGAGTGAAATCCCATTCACAATTGCTTCAAAGAGAATAAAATACCTAGGAATCCAACTTACAAGGGATGCGAAGGACCTCTTCAAGGAGAACTACAAACCACTGCTCAAGGAAATAAAAGAGGATACAAACAAATGGAAGAACATTCCATGCTCATGGGTAGGAAGAATCAATATCGTGAAAATGGCCATACTGACTAAGGTAATTTACAGATTCAATGCCATCCCCATCAAGTTACCAATGACTTTCTTCACAGAATTGGAAAAAACTACTTTAAAGTTCATATGGAACCAAAAAACAGCCAAGTCAATCCTAAACCAAAAGAACAAAGCTGGAGGCATCACGCTACCTGACTTCAAACTATACTACAAGGCTACAGTAACCAAAACAGCATGGTACTGCTACCAAAACAGAGATATAGACCAATGGAACAGAACAGAACCCTCAGAAATAATGCCGCATATCTACAACTATCTGATCTTTGACAAACCTGAGAAAAGCAAGCAATGGGGAAAGGATTCCCTATTTAATAAATGGTGTTGGGAAAACTGGCTAGCCATATGTAGAAAGCTGAAACTGGATCCCTTCCTTACACCTTGTACAATAATTAATTCAAGATGGATTAAAGACTTACAGGTTAGACCTAAAACCATAAAAACCCTAGAAGAAAACCTAGGCATTACCATTCAAGACATAGGCATGGGCAAGGACTTCACGTCTAAAACACCAAAAGCAATGGCAACAAAAGACAAAATTGACAAATGGGATCTAATTAAACTAAAGAGCTTCTGCACAGCAAAAGAAACTACTGTCAGGGTGAACAGGCAACCTACAGAATGGGAGAAAATTTTTGCAACCTACTCATCTGACAAAGGGCTAATATCCAGAATCTACAATGAACTCAAACAAATTTACAAGAAAAAAACAAACAACCGCATCAAAATTGGGTGAAGGATATGAACAGACACTTCTCAAAAGAAGACATTTATGCAGCCAAAAGACACATGAAAAAATGCTCATCATCACTGGCCATCAGAGAAATGCTAATCAAAACCACAATGAGATACCATCTCACACCAGTTAGAATGGCGATCGTTAAAAAGTCAGGAAACAACAGGTGCTCGAGAGGATGTGGAGAAACAGGAACACTTTTACATTGTTGGTGGGACTGTAAACTAGTTCAACCATTGTGGAAGTCAGTGTGGTGATTCCTCAGGGATCTAGAACTAGAAATACCATTTGACCCAGCCATCCCATTACTGGGTATATACCCAAAGGATTATAAATCATGCTGCTATAAAGACACATGCACACGTATGTTTATTGTGGCATTATTCACAATAGCAAAGACTTGGAACCAACCCAAATGTCCAACAATGATAGACTGGATTAAGAAAATGTGGCACATATACACCATGGAATACTATGCAGCCATAAAAATTGATGAGTTCATGTCCTTTGTAGGGACATGGATGAAATTGGAAATCATCATTCTCAGTAAACTATCGCAAGAACAAAAAACCAAACACCGCATATTCTCACTCATAGGTGGGAATTGAACAATGAGAACACATGGACATGGGAAGCGGAACTTCACACTCTGGGGACTGTGGTGGGGTGGGGGGAGGGGGGAGGGATAGCATTGGGAGATATACCTAATGCCAGATGACGAGTTAGTGGGTGCAGCGCACCAGCATGGCACATGTATACATATGTAACTAACCTGCACATTGTGCACATGTACCCTAAAACTTAAAGTACAATAATAATAAATAAATAAATAAATAAAAAGAAATGGAAACACTGAAAAAAAAAGAAAGAAAATATATCACAAAGCAAAAAAAAAAATGATGATGTGTTCATGTCCTTTGTAGTGACGTGGATGAAGCTGGAAACCATCATTCTCAGCAAACTATTGCAAGGACAGAAAACCAAACACCACATGTTCTCAGTCATAGATGGGAATTGAACAATGAGAACACATGGACACAGGAAGGGGAACATCACACACCGGGGACTGTTGTGGGGTGGGGAGAGGGGGAAGGGATAGCATTAGGAGATATACCTAATGCTAAATGACGAGTTGATGGGTGCAGCACACCAGTATGGCACATGTATACATAAGTAACAAACCTGCACATTGTGCACATGTACCATAAAACTTAGAGTATAATAATAATAAAATTTAAAAAAAGAAAAAAAGATGATAAACTCTTACTTAATCTATTCAGAATTGGGAGGGCATGGAAGAAAAAGATCTAGCTATGTTATTAGAGATTCTTTATAGATGCACATTTTCCCCCACAAAGGACAGCTTCGCAGGACCATTTCAAAACAAGCCAAAGAAACATGTTTTGGAAAATATTTTGGCTTTGTTCTTTGTCACGTAATGTTATGCCAGAGTCAAATTGGAAAGTAAGTCATAATCTATAGGGTTAAATAAAATCCGTCTGATGAGAATTTGTGGTTTGTAGGGCATCACTCCCCAGACCCCTTAGAAAGGAATTTGGGCGAGATAAAAAAAAAAAAAAAAAATCAGAGTTTAGTCCACATTATTCAGCCACAGGTATTTCTTTATAGTAACAAAAATGGTCAAAGACAGCCTGTAAGTTAATAACTGGGGCAGAGACCACTAATTGTCCACCAAAGGTCACTATCCCCCTCATTTAGGCACGCAGCTAGACAACATTGCTGGCCACTAATGCAGTCAGGAGTGCAGGTAAATAAGTTCTCTCCAATAGAACATAAGAAGTGATGTGAGCCACATGCAGGCCTGACCATAAAAGCTTTATGTGCACACACTCCAAGCCCTTCCTCTTCCACTGCCTGGGTGCAGATAATGCAGAGGCCTTAGTTGATATTCCTGAATGACAAGAGCCACCCACCAACCTGACACTACTCAGCACTGCCACCTGATGTTGATTAAGCCCTTGGAGTTTTCTGGACCATCTGCTGCCATGACCTATCCTAATGTAAAAAACTGAGTTGTTTAGCTTTCTAGCAGGACAACTTGGCCTCCTTCTTGAAAATGTAATGTGCATTCCAGTGAGCCAGCAATTGTCCTGGTTACCTCTCCTAAAGTAATATTGCAAATGGCCCAAGAGTGATGTATACAAAGACACTGTAGCATTGCTTATCATATAAAACATTATTTGCAATGTACCCAAAAAAGGTCTACCTAAACACAGTAGAATATTGCTTATTTGGAAGATATAGGAGATGAGAGAATAATGAAGACAGGCCAGGCGCGGTAGCTCACACCGGTAATCCCAGCATTTTGAGAGGCCGAGGTTGGCGGATCTCTTGATCCGCCAGGTTTAAGACCAGCCTGGCCAATATGGTGAAACCCTGTCTCTACTAAAACTACAAAAATTAGCTGGGCTTGGTGGCACATTCTTGTAATCGCAGCTACCCAGGAGGCTGAGGCAGGAGGATCGCTTGAACCCAGGAGGCAGAGGTTGCAGTGAGCCAAGATTGTGCCACTCAACTCCAGCCTGGGCAACAGAGTGAGACTCCATCTCAAAAAAAAAAAAAAGAAGAAAGACAAAATAAATAAATAAATGAGACTGTACATGGATCAGTGATGAAACAAAGAGTATAATTAGCTCAATCTTGAGATTGATACATACACACACACACACATTTTGGTGCATGTGTAAAATAAAATACTATGAAAAAGTTAAAAGAATGGATACATCTACATATACTGACACTGAAAAAGCTCCAAAATATATTGTTAGTTAATCAAAAAAGCAAGTTGCAAAACATAATACTGTAAGTGAAAAAAAAACTTGTAGATTGAATCCACATATTCAGTTGTTTCCACTAACCCTCCACAACTCAGATATTGACCTTTTTGAATTTAGTGGAAAATGTTCTCTGCTGCTACAGGGATCATCAAGGGGAGAAAAAGGGCCAATTAGTTCTTCTTTCTGTAAGTTTTGATGATCATTCAGCCCTCTGCCCTCTGGGCCCACACCCAGGTTTTATGGCATGGTGACAGCCTTTGGCAACTAACTACACCCTAAGGAGTTGAGGCAGAGAGTTAGGAAAAGTTGTCAAAGAAGTAAATTAATGTCATCCCCTGAGGGTTCTTCAGAGCTACCTGAGAACTTCTTTTACCTCCCTGAGATTCTCAGCAGCTCCAGCTACATAATTAAAGGCATGATTGGAGGTTGGGAAAAAACATCCTCATTAAATGTTCAGGTCACTGATAAGCCAGGACTTAAGGTTCCAGATTCCTCCTGTAAACATATTGTGGGCCAAAATTAAGACATAATCTTTAACCAGTACCCCTTTAAGGTCCGTAACAACACATTTGGAAGCAGCTGGGCCACTGTGCCAATGCAGAAAAACAGAGGTCATTCATTTCTCCTCTACCCCTTCCCCACACAGGTTGCTCTGGAAGGGGAGAGGACACTGCCATTTATGGAATCCCTGCTGTGCACCGGACACTGGGCCAAGCACTATATTCAACCTCCTGACAAATGTGGCAGAGAATGCCAATACTCACGAACATCCAGTTATCTTCTTCCCGGGCATGCAGCTAAATGCCATTTCCCTATCAATGGAATGTGGATGACAGTCATACACAGATGTCCCTTGGTATTCACAGGGGATTGGTTCTAGGACCCTGGTGGACACCAAAATCTATGAGTGGTCAAATCCTTTATATAAAGTGGTGTCGCATTGTCATATAAACTATGCACATCCTCCTCTGCACTTTAAATCATCTAGATTACTTATAATACCTAATACAGTGCAAATGCTATCTAAATGGCTGTTATATTGTATCTTTTATTTTATGTTTTATTATTATATTGCTATACTTTTATTTTTATTTTAAATGTTTGTGGGTTTTATTGATGGGTTTTTTCTCCAAATATTTTCAATCTGCAACTGGTTGAATCTGTGAATGCAGAACCCATGAATACAGAGAATCGACTGTATGTCACTTCCCAACTTGGCCATAAAAACCTCCCACACATTGTCTTTGGCCTTCTCTTCTTTGTCTACCAGCTGAATGACACTTTGGGTGACCTTGAGAGGTTTGGGTTAAAGGTCGTACAACCCCTACCAGCCTAGGTTCTTGAGTGGCTGCCAACCACATGAAACTGGGGTATGAGAATAGGCCATTGAGATCAAGGGGTTGTTTGTTATGGCAGCCATTAATTTACTCCATTTCCTACAATCTGTCTCACCTCCTGGAAAATAAAAATTAAATCACATCTTTTTTTTAATCCAACTAATGGCTCAAGGCCTCACCTGTCTTATTAGTAGGAAGTTCATTCTCTCTCACACAATGCCAGACCCCATCTCCATCCCAAATTTTCCAAGAACTTCCCAGGAAAACTCAGTCAAAAGGACTCCTGCTTCCAAAAAGCCATGTGTGAAGAGAGAAAATTAAAAATCTGACTAATCCTTGTTTTCGGTCATTACCATGCAGTTGGTCCCATATAATCTGGTGGGCCTGTGTCTTCCGCCCACTGCTGCAGTGATGCTGCTGCAGGTCTGACTTCTGCCATGCCAAGGTTAGCTTCCCTACTTGTGCTCCAAGGTCATTGTTCTCTTTGTTCATTCTCACATGCTCAGCTCTTGATCCCCAAAACACAGTGGTCTAGGATGGTTGGATCCAGAGAAGCTTCCAGCCCCAGCATGTTGCATCAAATCAAAACTCCCACGCAAACCCCAGTGCTGAGCCTACAGCATCAACACAGGTACCCCTTTCCCTCATGGTAGGATTCCTTAGGGGCTTCTAATATTCTTCTATGCAGATGAATCATGGTCAATATGATCATCCTGAACCACAAAAATAGGTTTCTTTAATTGCAAATCTCAGAGAGCAAAAGACAGGATCTCATTGGGCATGGTGGCTAACACCTGTAATCCCAGCACTTTAGGAGGCCAAGGTGGGCAGATCACCCAAGGTCAGGAGTCCGAGACCAGCCTGGCCAACATGGTGAAACCCTATCTCACTAAAACTACAAAAATTAGCCAGGCATGGTGGTGGGCACCTGTAATCCCAGCTACTCAGAAGGCTGAGGCAGGAGAATTGCTTGAACCTGGGAGGCAGAGGTTGCAGTGAGCCAAGATCACACCACTGCACTCCAGCCTGGGTGACAGAATGAGACTCCGTCTCAAAAACAAAACAAAAGACAGGGTCTCATTCCTTCCTTTCCTGAAAGCCCCTTGCTCTGGATGAAAATCTGTCTCTACCCAGGGGAGAGTAGTCTGCCTCAGGAAACACGTAATAGGTTCCTACACTCACGATCTCTGCATTGTTAAGCAGAGCATTCAGTTAACTTCTTAGAACAGAGACTCTACTCCAAGGAAACCTTCTGCCTCTGTCTATATAAAGGCTAGCAGTTCATCTTGAAAATGCACACACTATCTCATTTAAAACTGTAAGTAAATGCTACCATCGTTCTCAGTTTGCAGATGAAGAACCAGAGATTCAAAGAGACGGGGTGGCTTGCCTGCAGCATCACACCTAGCAGATGGTCAGCCAGGACCATCTAATGCCAAAGCCTAAAGCTTGTACCTAAACCCACCTCCCCGTCAGCCCCGTGAATCCACCAGGTACGTTTCACATTTCTCTTCCCCACCCTACCCCTTTCCTAGGGTTTTCCTTTTCCCCTTCCCAGCTTCTCTGCTCCCAAGTGATCTTATGTCTCCTGACCGTGCTACTTACGCTAAGTCAGCAGGAATGTCAGCATCTGAAAGCTGCATCTTAGGAGTAACTCCCTCTTGCAAAGCTGGGGTAGAGTCATGGACAGAGCCCAGATTTTTAAGCCCAATAGATGGGAGCTCAATTCCCAGGCTTGCCATTTACTAGCTGTGTGGCTTTGGCAAGACACTAATTGTTTCCACTTTTTAAATAAGGACTTCACAGGCGCTGACAGAAATTGATGATTGTTGCATTTTCCTGCTAAATCAATCTATGCTTTGTTCCTTCTGCTTCCCTCACATCAAACCAACAGATATGGCCGGGCGCAGTGGCTCACACTCTAATCCCAGCACTTTGGGAGGCCAAGGTGGGAGGATCACTTGAGGTCAGGAGTTCAAGACCAGCCTGGCCAACATGGTGAAACCCCATCTCTACTGAAAATACAAAAAATTAGCCAGGCATGGTGGCGTGCACCTGTAATCCCAGCTACTTGGGAGGCTGAGACATGAGAATCACTTGAACTTGAGAGGCGAAGGCTGCAGTAAGCCGAGATTGTGCCATTGCACTCCAGCCTGGGTGACAGAGTGAGACCATGTCTCAAAATGTGTTTATGTATCTATGTATATCTGTGTGTGTGTGTAAAACTCAGAGGTCTATAAGAATTTTAATATTTTATGTGGAGGGTAGGCCCTGGCTATAAAAAGTTCTAGTTTGGTTATAGCTGTTAAAATAGACTTTTTGAACCTCTCATGTGAAAATAATCTGGAAAGCCAAGTTTAGTGGAAGGATAAAGGGATTCCTAAATTCCAAAAACTGTCTTTACTTATCCAGAGAATGGGCAGGCGCAGTGGCTCAAAGTGTAGTCCCAGCACTTTGGGAGGCCAAGGCAGGAGGATCGTTTGAGCCCAGGAATTTGAGACCGGCATGGGCAACATGGCGAGAACCCGTCTCTACAAAAAAAAAAAAAAAAAAAAAAAGCCAGGCATGGTGGTGCACACCTGTGGTCCCAGGTACCCAGGAGAGGCTGAGGTGGGAGGATTGCTTGAGCCCTGAGCCCAGGAGGTCAAGGCTGCAGTGAGCCATGTTTGCACCACTGCACTCCAGCCTGGGAACACAGTGAGAACTTGTCTTATAAAAAAAATTTTTTTAAGAGGAAAGCTCAGAATCTGAGCAAACAATTTTATTCTAACCATGGGGAGAGAAAACTGAGGATAAAACAGGGAGGGCCTGAAGAGGCTCTGGCTGAAGGTGCAGTGGAAAGAGGCATTCAGAAGGGATGAGACTAGAGTCCCTGAGGACACCACCTGGGCCCCCAACAAAGACGCCAGCATCCCGCCCTCTTGCAGGGGAATTGGGACTCAAGGCAACAAAAAGTCAGGAAGAAATTCCAGATAAGGCTGAAAAAGATTTTGAGAACATCCGCATATGAGCTTCATCCCCACTTCCAGCACAGCAAAGGAGCAGCAGAGCTGCATGGGTGAAAGCAGAGCTGCAGTGTGCATGTGCAAGAGAACGAGAACTTCCCATGCACCCTATCCCAGGGATGCTTTGAAGCCGCACAGACCATGAGATCTGAGGTCCGGACAAGGAGGCAGCCTTGTCCTCAATAATGGATTAAGGAGAATCATTAATTAATGATTAATTAATCCTCTGTAATGACAGAGTCCATGGCCAGGAGCAACAAACATGGCCAAGGGCAGAAGGAGACCAATTTCATCTCCATCAGATTCAACAATAACAGGCAATGCCTGGAGATACACAGGGTAAGACATATCAGCAAGAGCCAGTGAAGGCCACAGGATGGCCTGAAGACCAGAAGGGTTTCCGCCCCACCGCCGTGAGAAGACACAGGCTTCCCCCTCCTCTAGCCTCCATCTTAAAAAAAAAAAAACAAAGGAAGCCGGCTTGATGGCCAACGCTTGTCATCCTAGCTACTCAGGAGGCCGAGTTGGGAGGATCGCTTGAGCCCAGGAGTTCAAGACCAGCGTGGGCAATATTGCAAGACCCCATCTCAAAAAAATTTAAAAAGTTGGAAAAAATCAAAGGAGGAGAGTGGATGGAGAAAACTTTCAAGACTGAGCATTTATCAAAGAGAACCTGAGTTTACCTAAAAAACAATTTGGTTGTTTTTCTTTTTTAACTTTTAAGTTCAGAGATCCATGTGCAGTTTTGTTGTACAGGTAAACGTGTCACGGGGGTGTGTTGTACAGATTATTTCATTACCCAGGTGAGTATTAAGCCTCGTATCCACTAGTTATTTTTCCTGATCCTCTCCCTCCTCCTACCCTTCACCCTCAAGCAGGCCCCCGCGTGTGTTGTTCCCCTTTACGTATCCATGTGTTCTCAACATTTAGCTCCTACTTATAAGTGAGAACGTGCAGTCTTTGGTTTTCTGTTCCTGTGTAAAAAAGCTTTTAACCAGAAGACACTGAACCACCTTTAACTGACAAGTCCATGCTTTCCGCAGCCCTTCGCCATCAGCAGGACGGGGCTTGACAGCAAGGTGAGATCAGCTCTAAACGATCCAGGGTGCTGTTCTGCAGGTACTCACCTGAGCTGCAGGGCACATTTTGGAACCCTCAGCAAACTCGTCTCCTAGGATTAATAGAACATATGTCAAGTGCTCGGCAGTGTCAAGCCCCACCCAGAGCAGGCACTCCGTGAACATCAGCTTGTTCTCCTCCTCCAAGGTTGGGATTTCATGCAATACACGTGTTTGGGTGGAAGGCTCTTCCTGACACCCTGTAACTGTACTATGGTGGAGAAGGCCTGCTCCATCCATGCAGTCATGTACTCAGGCGTGCATGCATTCAGCAAACACACTGTGTATCCAGATGCCAGGCCATGTGCTGGCCTCCGGGTATCCAGGGATAAATGAGAAATAGCTCCTGCCCCACAGAATTGTGAAGCCACAATTACAATCCTGTGTTCCAAATGCTATGATAAAAATAGTAGCAGACATTTACTTATTACTTACTATGTTCCAGGCACTATCTTTTCGCTTAACGTTGACAACAGCTCTATGCGGGAGAGCCAGCTGGGCCCCAAGGTCATGTGTGAGATTCTATGGTAGCACAGTCTAAATAGAAAGGAGTAAGAGAAGGCTTTCTAGAGTGAGGAATGACTAAAGCTGAGTTTGGCCAAGGAAAGGGGGAAGCATACAAGAATTTGAGCAAAAAGAAGATACCTTGTAAGATACAATAAATCTTTCTGAGTTTCTCTTCAAAGGATTTAGCCTGTTAACTTCCTTATCCCTCGTTCGCAAACTCAACTTTCTTGTTCTTCCTTGCCCCTAGTTAGCATAAACAGCCTACCCCATGTCCGTTAGCTCTAATCAATAAATCTGTTCCCTTGGTGACCTCTACCCATTGTTCCCCCGAAACTGCACATCTCACACGTTCCACCTCTGTACCTCACGTCCCCCTCCCCTTCTATATTTAGGAAAATATGTACAAGTAGCCAACTGGGTCAGCTCAGATTTTGCAGTCTGACCCCAGCCCATGGGGGAGTGACACAGAGATAGGGACTGCATTAAGGATAAAAACTCCCTGGTCTCCTTTGTTCTCTGTGCTCTTGTGATTTTTACTGATGCAAGTGACACCCTTCTACAGAAGTAAATTGCCTTGCTGAGAGAATTAAACTTTTGCCTGAGTGCTGGTTTTACTTCGCTGCACCGAGCATTTATTCCTGGAGCATTTTATATCCAACAATCTCATGTGTAGAAATCATGTGTAAGTGGTTTATTATGGCTGGAGGGTGGATTCTGAGCAGAATGTAGTGGAGGCAGGCTGGTGGTTGGGACACAGCCATGTCCCATCCACAACCCCAGATACCCTCCTGCTTCAGCTGGTTACCATGAAGTGACTGAGATGACCCCCTCCCCATCAGAAGCAAATGCAAAGGGCAGATCCATCTTGTTCCCTGATGCCTTCTTTCCATCTCACTGCCCCCAGGACCAACAACATTACACCAGGAGGTAGAGCAGAGGGAGGCACAAAGTCATCAGTCACGCTCCAGGAAAGAGGCCTTCCCAGCAGCCAAGGCTGAGCCTTCTCCCCTGAGCTGCTCCCATGAGAGGGCTGACCCCTCAGGGGAGTTTGCTCCTCAAAAGGCCCTTCCTTGTGTTAAGCCAAACCTGTCTCCCTGTCACTGTCACAGGTCCTAGGCTGACCTGTGAGGCCACATGAGGCATGTGTCTGTCCCCTCTAGCCCATGGTGTCCTTCCAGACTTTCCAAGAAAGAGCCATGCCATCTCCCTCCCTCTAAAGGTTCTGGAAGTAATTAAGCCTCCAGGCTAGGTGGAGTGGATAGGACCAGTGGATTTGTTGAAAGGGCCTTCACGGATTCTTCCCATCTAGGGAGTCTATGGCCCATGTCAGGGAACATGAAATGCCTCAGAAGGACCCTCACACTGCCAAGGCTGCAGCATCAGGGCCTATGAGTCTGGATCAGGTTGTCCAAGACACAACCATGACCCCTGAGCATGCAATTTTGACATAACAAAATTGGTCTCCTGATATGACACCTGGTCTCACACCCAAGACTGCAGCTGTGGAAACACAGGACAGAATTCCTTAGATCCTGGATGTGTGGCCCTCACTAAGTGGGAGACTCGAACCGGTGCTCCCAACTCCATATAAAGGCTCCCAGAAGTTTTGAGTTTGTGATATTGTTTGGATGTTTGTCCCCTCCAAACCTCACGTTGAAATGTAATTCCTCCTGGGCATGGTGGCTCACACCTGTAATCACAAACTTTGAGAGGCCAAGATGGGCAGATGACTTGAGGTCGGGAGTTTGAGGCCAGCCTGGCCAACACGGTGAAACCCCATCTCTACTAAAAATACAAAAATTAGCTGGGCATGGTAGTGGGAGCCTGTAATCCCAGCTACTCAGGAGGCTGAGGCAAGAGAATCACTTGAACCCAGGAGGCGGAGGTTGTGATGAGCCGAGATCGCGCCACAGCACTCCAGGCTGGGCAAAAGAGGGAGACTCCGCCTCAAAGAAAAAAAAAAAGGAAGAAATATAATTCCCAGTGTTGGAGATGGGGCCTGGTGGGAAGTGCTCCAATCATAGGGACGAATCCCTTGTGAATGGCTCACAGCCATCCCCTTGGTGAAGTGCGAGTTTTCCCTCCGAGTTCACGCAAGATCTGGTTGTTTAATAGCATGTGACACGTCCCCCCATCTGTCACCCTCTCTTTCTTGCTCCTGCCCTTGCCATGTGACATGCTGGCTCCCGGTCACCCTCCTCCGTGATTGTAGCTTCCTGAGGCCCTCACTAGAAGCAGATGCCAGCACCACACTTCCTGTATAGCCTGCAGAGCCATGAGCCAAACTAAAACCTCTTTTCTTTATCAATTAAACAGTCTCAGGTGGTGTTTCTTTACAGCAATCCAAGAAAGGCCTAGCACAGTTTGCTTCTTTTTCATTTGCCTATTCAAGTTACAAAAGGAGGGGGGCGGGGTGTTCATTATTATAATGTTCATTGTGGATGAAGCTGTAAAGAAACAGGCATTCTCACACACTATAATGAGAGTGTAAATTGCTATCTAGAGAAAAATTTAGCAGAATTTCATCTAAGCGTTACCTTTTTTTCTTTTTTGAGATAGGATCTCACTCTGTCACCCAAGTTAGAGTGCAGTGACACAATCTTGGCACAACCTGCCTCCCAGGCTCAAGTGATCCCCCCCACTTCAGCCTCCCAAGCAACTGGGACAACATGCATGTGCCACCACACTCGGCTAATTTTTTGTATTTTTTGGTAGAGATGACGTTTTGCCTTGTTGCCCAGGCTGGTCTCAAACTCCTGAGCTCAGGCAATCCACCTGCCTTGGCCTCCCAAAGTGCTGGAATTACAGGCATCAGCCACCACGACCAGCCTAAAGCCCTACCTTTTTATATATTTCGATTCATTAATTTTATAGAAAAGTTTACTAAGAAATTAATTGTGATGTCTGCAAAGATCTGGCTACTGTGATAGATGCCACATCCTTATTCACAGGAGAGTAAAATCAGAAATAATCTAATGGCAATCAATAAAAGAGTAGTTAACTCGAGAGTGGTATGTGTCCATACTATGGAGTATTATGCAGCTCTTAAAATGGTGAACAGGATGAATACCTAATAACACAGAAAGAGTTCACAATATGTCAAGTATAAAAAGCAAGTTTCAGCCAGGCACGGTGGCTCAGGCCTGTAATCCCAACACTTTGGGAGGCTGAGGTGGGCGGATCACCTGAGGTCAAGAGTTCAAGACCAGCATGGCCAACACAGTGAAACGCTGTCTTTGCTAAAAATACAAAAAAATTAGCCAGGCATGGTGGCACATGCCTATAGTCCCAGGTACTTGGGAGGCTGAGACAGAAGAATTGCTTGAACCCGGAAGGCAGAGGTTGCAGTGAGCCAAGATCATACCATCGCACTCCAGCCTGGGTGACAAGAGCGAAACTCTGTCTCAAAAAAAAAAAAAGCAAGTTTCATTAGCCAGGTGTGGTGGCACGCACCTGTAGTCCCAGCTACTCAGGAGGCTGAGGTGAGAGGATCACTTGAGTCCAGGAGTCTGAGGCTACGGTGAGCCATTACAGTGCCACTGCACTGCAGCCTGCATGACAGAGTGAGACCTCGTCTCTAAAAATAAAAATTTTTAATTTTAAAAAAGAAGCAAGTTTCAAAAAATTGAGCACAGAACCAACTTAAAAGGTTAGCAGCCAGGATAGTGGTTAGCTTTGCCAGGGTGTGGCTGAAAGGGGGCACCAAGGTGGCTTATGGCATGCTGGTCGTATATACTTTTTAATTTGGGTGCTGGTTATATGGGTGTGTTCATTTTTGGACAATTATTCAAACAGCCAACCTATGATTAGTGCATTTTTCTGTCTGTATTACGCTTCAGTAGAAATATTACTCAAAGAAATATGTTAATCTTAAAAAGAAATATGAACATGTTTGATTCCAGTTTTGCAAAAAGATGAAAGCAAATACATGAAGATGAAGATGTATGCATGTGTGCACATATGGGGGGTGTGTGTGTGTGGTGTTTGTGAGAATTCTAAAGGTTACAGAATTATTTACAGTAAAATGTTAACAGTGGTATTTCCTATGTGGTGGGATATATTAGCCCATATTAGTTATCTCTTGCTGTGTAACAAATTATCCCAAAACAGAGCAGTTTGAAACAGTAAACATTTATCATCTCAGATGCTTTCTGCAAGTCAGGGAGTCTGGGTAGGTTCTGGCTTGGGGTCTCCCAGGAGGCTGCAGTCAAGCTGTCGGCCAGGGCTACTGTCATCCAAAGGCTGACCTGAGAATCTGCTTCCAGGCCCACTCATGTAGCTGTTGGCAGGAGGTTCAGAAGAAGCCCACCACGTGGGCCTCTCTCAAGGCTGCTCAGAACATGCCAGCTGGTTTTGGAGAGAGTGCCGTGGGAGGGGGGCTGGAGGGAGAGAGACAGCGAGAGAGAAACTGCACAGTTTTATCTCAGAAGTGGGATGCCATCACCTCTCTGCAATCTACCAGTCACACAGACCAACCCTGCTACAGTGGAGGAGGGGCTACACAAAAATGTGAATACCAGGCGGGAGGATTATTGGGGGACATCTTGTTGAATGGTGACAACATAGGATTTTTTTATTTTCCTTCTTTTCCTAAATTTTTTTACCATGAACATATTATCTAACAAATTATACGGAAAGCTGCCAGCTGCTGGCAAGGGCGCTTCCTTCGCCCTGTTGCTGGTTTTTAGCCTTGCCTTACGGACCTCCTGGTTTCTTTTCCAATCCTATGTGCTCCACTGCCCTGCCACAGCCTAGCCAAGGATTGCTTCCACAGCCCAGTTCTCTGCCGCCATCTAGTGGCATCATCCAAAACTGCTGGCCCCAACAGGGGCCCACTACTCACCTTTTGGGTCAGGAGGCTTCACCTGCCTGCAGGAATGTAAAGCCCAGGCTCTCATGTTGGAGGCCCCAGAGATCTGCCACGTTCAGCCCCAAATAGAGCTGTGAAACCCCAGAAGGGATGGGATGGCTATCAGAACTTGGAAGCTTGGCCGGGCGTCGTGGCTCACGCCTGTAATCCCAGCACTTTGGGAGGCCGAGGCGGGCGGATCACAAGGTCAGGAGATGGAGACCATCCTGGCTAACACGGTGAAACCCCATCTCTACTAAAAATACAAAAAAATTAGCCGGGCATGGTGGCGGGCGCCTGTAATCCCAGCTACTAGGGAGGCTGAGGCAGGAGAATGGCGTGAACCTGGGAGGCGGAGCTTGCAGTGAGCCAAGATCGTGCCACTGCACTCCAGCCTGGGTGACAGAGCGAGACTCTGTCTCCAAAAAAAAAAAAAAAAAAAAAAAAAGAATTTTGTAACTTGACTAGTAAATTTAAAACTATACTGTAGCTTCACTTTTTTGAGGCAAGGAGGGAAAAGTGCTAAGTTTTAAACTAGTTACTCTTAAGTACTCCATATTCATTGGGAGAAGTTAGAAACTATAAACAGGTGAATATAAAAATAAAATCCACTCCTAATCCCACTATTATATTATTCTAGAGTTGTGTTTCTTTTCTTCTATGCACTTATTTAATTCTTATTGGGATTGTTCTCTGTTTATAGTTCTATGAATTTGTTTTCTCACTTAAGCTTTACATTTTATAAAACCACAGGTGATCATTCGGTTTTTCTTTCCCACAATATCTCAATTCCTAGGCTATACCTGGGTAAGGTAGTTTTTATCAAACTAAGTGCTAGGAGCAGAGAATGCTGTGCTATTTTGCAGGGTAGCCTAGTTTGGTTTGTTTTTTTTTTAAGTATGCAGATAACAGGTCAGCAATACAGTGTCTCCCTGCCTCCTCTAAACCAACACTGTGGGCAGAAAAGTTCTGGGACAACTTTGGCCTGAATCAAAACAGGAAGATGATGGATACTTTATCCGCAGCCCAAGCGCTGTCCCTAAGCAGAAAGCCCAGGAGAGCTAACTATATCATAACACACCCCCAACCAACTGGGTATCCATCCACCTGCAGGCTCATACCTCCAACCTTCTGGGAACACACACAATCTTAAGACACACAGCCACTTCCTCCAAGCCTCCTCTTCACTAAATTGCCCTGAATATGTGTTACAGGCTGAACTGGGTCCCTTCCAAAACTCATATGGTCAAGTCCTAACCCCCACTAAAACAGAATTTGACTACATTTGGAGTGTCTTTGAAGAGGTAATTAAGGTAAAATTAGGTCAATAGGGTGGGCCCTGATCCAGTATGACTCGTGTCCTTATAAGATTAGCCGGGAGCGGTGGCTCACGCCTGTAATCCCAGCACTTTGGGAGGACAAGGCGGGTGGATCACGAGGTCAGGAGTTCGACACCAGCCTGACCAACATGGTGAAACCCTGTCTCTATTAAAAATACAAAAAAATTAGCTGGGTGTGGTGGCAGGCACCTGTAGTCCCAACTACTCGGGAGGTTGAGGCAGGAGAATCGCTTGAGCCCGAGAAGCAGAGGTTGCAGTGAGCCAAGATCATGCCACTGCACTCCAGCCTGGGCGACAGAACAAGGCTCCATCTCAAAAAAAAAAAAAAAAGAAGGAGATTAGGACACAGACAAGCAGAGGGAAGACCATGTGGAGGCATGGGGAGAAGACAGCCATCTGCAAGCTACGAAGAGAGGCGCCTGAAGGCTGGGGCAGGAGAACTGCTTGAACCCAGGAGGCAGAGGTTGCAGTGAGCTGAGATCACGCCTCTGCACTCCACTCTGAGCAACAGAGTGAGACTCTGTCTCAAAAAAAGAAAAAAAAAAAAGGCCTCACAGGAAACCAACCCTGCCCACATCTGGATTTCAGCCACCAAAATTGTAGGAAGTAAATCTCTGCTGTTTAAACCACCAGTTGGTGGTACTTGTTACAACAGCCCTAGAAAACTAAAACAATCCGGAAATCCCAAAGAGAAATGTGTTTTTGTTAAGGATGCCCAAGTAAAATGCAGGCCAGTAAACTGCTTGGCACATTGTAAGAAGGAAAAAAGAAGAAAGAAAGAAGCAAAGGCATAATGCATTGACATTTTTTTATATTTGGTATTTGTAAGTCTTTAAAAAAATGTTTTCAGGCCATTTTTTCCTTAAAAAAAAAAAAAGCAACCAACAGCAATACTCTGTACAAGTATAACAAACATTAGAAATATGCATCATTCCAAAATAGTTACAGGAAAATTACAGTTTAGAGTCCACATCAACACATCCTATTTGTATGTGCCCCCAAGGGAGAAAAAGCTACAGTATGTTAAACACACAGCTGCTACACAGTAGTCTGAAAACCCAGGACTTAAAACTTTTGAGGCAAATCAACAACAGTCACCAAGACTTGTTTAGCTCAATAAGTACAATCAAGCATTTCAAAAGAGAACCAGGCTTTTTCATCCCAGATGAAAAACACACGTGATGGGCTGCATAGCTGACCCCCGCCCCTCGATCCCCAACCCCCGGGAGCCTCTGACTCAACAGAGCACAAATCCAGTGGAGTCAATTAGGCGGAAGTCTGGCTGGAGGTCACAGTATGGCTGCAGTGGGCAGACACCAAATGTCATTTCCTGCTGGTGCTGATCATCACTAGATCCAACTTTGGAGGCAAAAAGTCGTTGTTCCTGGGAGATGCTATCAATGGCCCAAATCCCCCAAACCAGCTGGCCACCAGTCTTTGGCCCTTTCATTGACACCCAAACCCATACCAGCTGCTTTTCTGTATGCAATTGTCAAAGACTGAACAGGGGTGCTCACACCATCCCCCCGATTCCACTGGACTCTTCCAATTTGAGCTCATTGTTCCTGGGAGGGGTTGAAGCTCAGAGGCACCCTCCTCTTGCCTCTGACCAACCCCCAGCCTGTGTGTCCTTTATATTTACACATTAATCTTCCCTTTTCAAGCACTGTGCTATAAATACCCTTACCACCCCCACTGGCCCTGTCCCCAGCCCTTTTCAGGATGCAGAGAAGCATCGTGACCTTCGTGTGACCTGCCCATTTGGAATCCCAGACCGCTCCCCCGCAAGAGTTCCTCCCATGATTGCTGGGGCCGCTTGCCCATTTCCCAAGCCCACACCAGGCGGAAGGGAAGAGGGTTCCTGTGTTTTTCATTTTTATACAATATGTTTACAGTTATGTTGCTTTAATCTTTTAAAGTATTTAACCTTTTAAAGGATTTTTTAGCAACAAGTCCCTTCCTCTGACTTCTCTGTGGCAGTGATGTGGGCAGAGCAGGGCTTAGGAGCTCCCTGGGATTTGCCACCCATCACAATGGTTTCGGACATATTGGAGGGGAGAGGGCCACAGCCCACAGAACTGCTGCCTGAACAGGGACCTATGAATGAAGTACCGACCGCTCCGAGATCTGTATGAGTTGGAGGCAGGCCAGTGTGAAGGTGTGGGAGGAATCCGCCCACACCCAGCTTCATACAGCACCCTGAGGACAATGTGGCTTCCCTGATTCACACCTACTGAGCCAAGGCCCCCTCTGAAGTTAGGTCAAGAGGGCCCACCCTAGCCGGGCCAACTCATTCCTTTGAGGACCTGATACTCAATGAACTGCTTACTACCAAAAAAATGCAAAGGATTCAGCAAAAAGTGCAATTTCCATTTGAGAAGTAAGATTCTCCCCAAAACATGACACCACCTTTTCATCCTTTCAGTACCTCAAAGGGAAAGGGAAATAAAAGGCATACAGCACTAACCCTCCGAACCACAGCCGGGGCTTTAAAAGTGTGGTTCACCCTTTAGAACCCTAAAAGACCCATTAACACGTCCAGTCAGTTATCGAAGTGCCAGTGAGGTGAGGGGCGTGGCAGAGTCAGGAGGGACCAGGAGGCTGGAAGAGCCCGCTCACATTCTCAACAGGACACACCTGTCCTGTTTACAGCAGGACACATTACTGTGGCAACAGCCACAGGACTCCAGGGACTTGGTTATTCCTTCATAAAACCTTGTCAACTTCATTGCCTATTGGAGGATAAACTCAAAACATCTTCAAAATATAACCTGAGCCACAATATAAAATAAAAAGAAAAAATCTTTTCATGTTAATGCCTTAAGAAGTTTACAGATTATGTACCAATAAAATAAATCCACATAAATTTGAAATTCTTGGTGGATACACACCTGAAGCAAAAAAAAAAAAATTAATCTACATTTTAAAAATCAAAGTAATTACAGCAGCAGTATAGTGAAAAGGTTTTAAAAATAATAATTACATCTTTGATACAAATTCAAACTTTGTACACCTCAATTCATAGGAATGACTGTTTTTGAGAGCTTAGTGTATATATATATATATATATATATATATATATATATATATATATATATACACAGTAGATTCCGATATGTGTCACGGCAGAGAGAGACGAAAGCCAGTGGACTTTGGGGAAGGAGGGATTAATCTGACACTGAATTCACGCTGAAGTGTTCACAGATTGCCACGCTTCTGAACATACACACACACATACAGACACAGACACATAAAATGCCAACCTGAGTAAAACGTTACTAAAAACCTAGAACATCATGAATCACTAATTCACATATTGCACCTTTAAATAATCCTTCATACCAAATACAGACATGAGAAAAAGGATAATACAGGGACAAGAAAAGGATTTCTGCCACTGTAGGATTCCTCTGCTTCTCCCATTCCCACCCACAGAAATTCTCAAGGTGATATTTGAGTCGCCATTCTCACCCAACCAATGGGTTGAAAATGTTGCCAACAGAAGAGTCTTTGGAGAAAACTGGGAGGGAAAAGGGAAGAAAAAATGGAGCACAAATGTACAGGGGGCAGGGGAAGCGGAGTCGGGGCAAAGAGGCCTCCCCTGATCAAATGAGAACAGAAATGTTACTGAGGAAGCAAACCTCTGATGCTAAGCTACTGTTTAAATATTCCGTATATTCCAATTATGAGATTCAGTACAAAAATATAGATCTCTACTGAGTTTTGCCTGTGGAAGCATAATTCAGAAAAGGCACATGTTCAAATAGAAAACCCATTCGGAAGAGGTGCCACGTACCCCTCCCTGCGCAATCATCATCCACAATTAGGTATTTTCCATCGGCTAGATTCCAAGACACAGTAGGTAAAAATAGACCTCTGATACTTAAAATATATTCAACCCAACACAATCCTGGCTTTAGCATGTGAATCATATAAAATAGTCTTTTTTAAAAAAGAAATTGTTTTGGAAAAAAAAATCATAGCTCCCTTTTCCTGGTTTTCCACAATCCTCAAGGGGGAAAAAAAAAAAAAGTGACCTCATCCCATTGGTCATCAGGAATGCAGATGATTTGCTCCCCACCCATCCACAGCCCCCGACAGCCCCAATTTGTCATCTATCATATGCAGCTTCATGCCCTCAAAATTAGTTCTCACAAAACAGAACAAAGAATTAAGATATTAGACATATAAAAACATGTCGACATCGGGGCATGTGCCTTCGCTGTGGGTGCGACGGTCTGGTTCACTCCAGAAAGGTTATTCCTTTGGAATTAGGCGATGTAACCATTGGTCTTTCCAAATGTGGTCACGGGCGCAAGGTTTTCATAGATTGTCATTGCAGTTGTGTTCTGGTAGATAAGATCTACTTTTGAGTCTTTCTGGGATCTGACAATATCCAAAACACACTGATTGAGGAAAACATACTGGTCCTGATAGAAAAACGAAAGAGAGAGACAGAAAATGAACATGGGTCCCAGAAATTAGCACCCAAAATTATTTTCAAACAGGTCATTCCCCCGCCCAACTCCCAAACCCCATCCACCCAACAGCAAACGGTTCAAGCGAACATGTTTCAAGAGGTAACAACATTGCAGTGAAATCTGAAATCACAGAAGCAAGATGTCCTTCCTCAATGATTCTCAACCAGAAGAGCACACTCCACACCTCCCCTCCCCAAGGAAAAATGCCACAGTCTCAGGGAAGGGCAAAGGAAGGAGGAAATGTAGAGGAAAAAATGCACACACACATTCGAACAATCAAATGTCCAACAAGATTGCCTTGGCTAGTGAGACTGTACAGAGTAAGAATCAACTGTAATGCTCAACCGAGGAGCGAGGTTAAAAGGAGATGATCAGGTGGAGCTGGATGAGGACTATCCTTCAGGTAGGTATATCAGAATCTGTGGATAGTGATGAAGAAAAGAGGAAACAAGGGTATAAGCTGACACAGAAAAATATCCATGATATTATAAGAGGAGAAAAAAAATCACAGAGAAGCAACATACATAAAACAGGATCTGGCCAGGCGCGGTGGCTCCTGTCTGTAATCCCAGCACTTTGGGGAGGCCAAGACAGGTAGATCGGCTCAGGTTAGGAGTGCGAGATCAGCCTGGCCAACATGGTGAAACCCCGTCTCTACTAAAAATACAAAAATTTGCTGGGCGTGGTGGCACACACCTGTAATCCCAGCTACTCAGGAGGCTGAGGCAGGAGAATCGCTGGAACCCAGGAGGTTGAGGTTTCAGTGAGCTGAGATGGCACCACTGCACTCCAGCCTGGGCAACAGAGCAAGACTCCATCTCAAAAAAAAAACAGCATCCAATTTTTTCAAAGTACTGTGTGTGCGTGTGTGTGTGTGTGTGTTTACAGATGTACATAAAGAGTCTTATAAAGATGTACACCAAACTATAAACATTGGCTACCTCCAGGAAGCAGGATTGGGGAAGGAAGAGTAAGAGAAAAATATATTGAGGCCAGGCACGGTGGCTCACACCTGTAATCCCAGCAATTTGGGAGGCCGAGGCGGGCGGATCATGAGGTCAGGAGATCGAGACCATCCTGGCCAACATGGTGAAACCCCATCTCTACTAAAATACAAAAAAAAAATTAGCTGGGCATGGTGGCACACGCCTGTAGTCCCAGCTACTTGGGAGGCTGAGGCAGGGGAATCGCTTGAACCCAGGAGGCAGAGGTTGCAGTGAGCCGAGATCGCACCACTGCAATCCAGCCCGGTGACAGAGCAAGTCTCCGTCTCAAAAAAAAAAAAAAGAGGAGAGAAAAATATATTGTCAAATGCTTTCATATGAATAAGTATTGTTTTCAAAATATAAAAAAGAGATTAGACTCTAGTAGCAGGGATAAGAGTTCTATGTTTCTCAAAAAAGGATAAAAGATTGAGAAATACTACTTTATATAATTATAGCAGAAAAAAGAAAATCTCTCTTTTGACCAACACAGGAGTTGAATTTCACTCTTTCCACAACAACCACCAAGCTCACCCCAGAGCACGCAATGTACCCAGGCATCTAGAACATTCCCTGCTAGACTCAAAAACACAGCACATATTCATAGAGTTCTAAATCGGTACAGGACGATAGCCTGATACAAAATTAATATTCTGCTCTCATCCTGGTCAAGGAACATTCACCCCTTTGAGGAAAGCAACTTTGCAATATGTTCTGTTGAAAACATGCCTCAAAAACACTTCTCAGTAACAGTTTGGGTAAAACCAAATCCAGCAGTAGTACAGAAACTATACCATAGATATTAAGTGTTCCTTTTCTCCGCTGGTCAGCCACCCTTCTGTAGCTATGATAATTGATAGTCTTTAAAATGTACAAGTCTGGGTGAGGATAAATTGCTGTATTAACATTTAAGCAGCATTATGATATGTCACATCATTAATGTTTGATGAGTTTGTTTCATTAGCTTATTTTAAAGATGGTCAGACCTTCTTAGAAACAAAGACTGGAAAATACCAGTTTTATGAGTTTAAAACCTGGAAGCCAAAGTTCAAAGATGTCCTAAGATTATTTAATGAGTCAGAGGCAGCAAGGTAAAGAATCCTGACACTATCTCAGTAGTAGTTCCATTACTGACATCAGTACTACTATGTCACTTGTATTGGGTAATTTAATTCCAAGTCAGCTTAAAGTCTGCAAAGAAATCCAGTGTTAGTTCACAGCCAAGAGCTGGAAAGATCTGGAAGGGTGACATATTTTAACACAAGTGCATGACACAATGCAACCTTTTAAAAATGGAGGGGAAGGGCCAGGCAAAGTGGCTCATGCCTGTAATCCCAGCACTTCGGGACACTGAGGCAGGCAGATCACTTGAGGTCAGGAGTTCGAGACCAGCCTGGCCAACATGGAGAAACACCGTCTCTACTAAAATTACAAAAATTAGCTGGGCATGGTGTGCGTGCCTGTAATCCCAGCTACTTGGGAGGCAGAGGCAGGAGAATCACTTGAACCCAGGAGGCAGAGGTTGCAGTGAGCCAAGATCATGCCACTGCACTCCAGCCTGGGCGACAGAGCAAGACTCCGTCTCAAAAAAAAAAAAAAAAAAAAAAAAAATGGAGGGGAAGGGTGGAATGTCAAATACAGATCTTGGCCTCACCTCTGTCTGCACCATTAAAGGCCTATGCATTCGAAGGTCATACACAATCCCATACACATCCACGGTGTTCTCATTCTCTATCTGGTAGATGAGACGATCAATGGCAATGAAAGTGCCCGTCCTTCCGACCCCAGCACTGAGAGAAAAGAGAAATAAGCCTATTACAGTGGGTTCCCTCGACTGCAACCCTCTTAGAGTTCCTCATTTGTACATATATCTTGCTTTCCTTCACTGTCACACTTTGAGGGCAATGCACAGGATCAGTACACATTTGCTCAGTTGAAGCCTCAGCAAGTCAGACAGCACTAGCTTGGGACTGGGGCCTAAGTCCCAAACTCACATTTGAGTCAGATGCCACACATATAACCCTTTGCTCAAGCTTCTTCAATCTCAGTTCCATTCAAGTTGCCCATAACCCAGGATGGCGGCACATTTTAGCCATTTTTTCCCCACTGGGCAACAGAGCCCCTCCTGTCTTCTGTCCTAAATTAATTCCTTTAGCTTCAAAGCTAACTTCTTATTGTTAGGGGTTGGCAAACTTTTTCAGTAAAGGGCCAGATAGTTAACATCTTAAGCTTTGCAAACCATATGGTCTCTTTCTGTCACTGTAGCAGAAAAGCAACCATAAACAATATATAAATAAATGGGCATGCTGTGTTCCTAGAAAATGTTATTTACAAAAACAGCAGCTGACCAGATTTGATCCATGGGTTACAGTTTGCCAACCCCTGTTTTGGAAGCTCAGGGCTTAGGGAGTAAGTCCATGGTTCCTTATCCAAACCTTTCCTGAATTCATAAATGCCTATTACATTCCCTCTTAGGCTTTGCTTTTGTAAAGTGCTCATAAATATATAATGACATTTGAAATCTGTCACACGTGACGTGCCATCTGCGTACCTGCAATGCACCAGAATCGGCGATTCGGGAGGACTCTGCTTCATGTAGTCACGAACGAGGTACCGGAAGTTGATGAGCAGGTCAGTGGTGTCGGGAACACCGTGGTCTGGCCAGGAGGTGAAATGGAACTGTCTCAGAGGGTGACTCTCACTTGTCTGGATCTAAAAGCCCAGAAAATGATTTAGATCCAGACAGAAAGGCTGCCTAACAACATCAAAAAGGCAGGGGAAATCAAGCAGAGCCTGAGTACTAACCAGGAGTTGTAATGACTAAAAATTAAACTTTACATTTGCACAGCAGCTGATAAAGTGCTTGCTCATCAAACCCTCACAATATGCTCAAGAAGGAGAGTTTATTATCCCCCTTTAAAGATGAGGCAGCAGAGATTCACAGAAGTGAAGTCATTTCCCCAACACTGATTTCAGATGCAACAGAAGTCCCTCATCCTCCAATTCTGCATTCAGATCCTTCCCTTCCTGCCACAGCTGCCTATCAATAATGAACTCACATTCTTACACCTGCACCTCCTTAGAGCTGCATGAGCCCCATCCCCGAGCCCCCCTGGGAATGTCACTGACAATAAAACCAAAAATAATTTACTCAAATACACCATGATAATCAGTGCCTTCTAGGCAAGAATGGCCTCATAATTCACTATGTCCCCTAGAGAAGTGAATAAAGTGACAGGCCACTAGCAAGCACCATGCAAATATTTAGAATTGGAGAGAGCTGAGAAAGGACTCCCCCAAAAAACCATCCATTTCAACATCTGAAAGACAATAGAGCTCATTATTACACAGACTGGTTCCCTACCTCATACCAAAGCATATACCTTGAAGCACCAGAAGCCCACCCCAGCTGGGGCGAGTCCTGTCCCTGACTCAGCTGTACTCGTTATGCCCATACCAGGGAATGACCATACCCATGTGACCTACATCCGTACCCATGTGACCTACATCTGCACTGCAGGCATTTCCATCTCCATTATGACAGCTGCCCTTTGACACTCATTTTTTGAAATGTATATTCATGATAAGAATGTGCAGTATTCAAAATTTGGAAAACAGGAAAAACAGACAGAGTGAAGGGAGAGGTGCTAGAAGACCTCATCACAGATAAAGTTAACATTCACACATTTAACCAGAAGTACTGATCCAAAGACAGAAACCAGCTGTGAGAGATGGAGGTGGGGGAAGAGGAAGAAAAAGGGAGGGAGAGGGAGGAGGGAGAGGGAGGAGGGAGAGGAAAGGGAGTGGGAGCGGGCAAGGGGAGAAGGAGGGGGAGAGGAAGAGGGAGAAGTGAGGAGGGTTATACTTAGTATTATCTTCGTGGAGGGGCAAAGGGGCTCAGGTTAGGGGTGGTAGTCAAAGGAAATCTTTAGCTCTGTTTGTAATTTCTCGATTTTCTAAAGGAAAATGTATTCAGGCATTTTGTATAATTAAAAAATAACATGGTACTAAATGCCATGTGGTGTCCTGGATCAGAGCCAGGAACAAAACAAGGCTTTAGTGGAAAAACATGAAATCTGAATAAAGTCTGGAGTTTAGTTAATAAAAAATAATAATCATAGTAACAGCAATTTTTAAAAATGATGTGGACAACTCCATCCTAAATTCCCCTCCACAAGGTAAGCCCCAAGCAGTGGAGGCAACCAAGGAGAAGCCAGTCAGTTCAAATGAGCAAAATCTATAGAAATAAGCATGACAGGCCGGGCACAGTGACTCCCACCTGTAATCCTAACACTTTTGGAGGCCGAGCAGGTGGATCACAAGGTCAGGTGTTCAAGACCAGCCTGGCCAATATGGTGACACCCCATCTCTATTAAAAATACAAAAAAAATTAGCTGGGCATGGTGGCAGGTGCCTGTAGTCCCAGCTACTCAGGAGGCTGAGGCAGGAGAATCACTTGGACCCGAGAGGCAGAGGTTGCAGTGAGCTGAGATTGTGCTACTGCACTCCAGCCTGGATGACAGAGAGAGACTCCATCTCAAAAAAAGAAAAAAAAGAAAAGAAAAGAAAAGAAATAAGCATGACATTTTTCTACTACTGTGAGCTGCATTATTTAGGTGGCCAGATCATGGTAACAGCTTTGATGGCATCTCCAGAGGAGGAACTGAAATATTGAGGCCAGACCCTTTGAGACACAGCAATTAGTAAAGAATTACTACTTAATATACTATACTTTATCCATGACTTGTGGAATCTTCAAGGATAATCTCATAAACTAGACCCTAACCCATCAACCCCCAAAACCCACCCAAAAGATTCAAGATTCAACTCCAGTGAATCTATACTTCCCGGCTTTCCTTTTATGCACTATTCATAATATGCATACATTTTCATCTCCTAGAATGTTTCTCTTACATTACATCCTACCATGTCCCCATGGTAATTATATAGTCTACCCATCCCTTATTTATCTTTTTTTTTTTTTTTTTTGAGACCGGGTCTTGCTTTGTCACCCAGGCTAGAGTGCAGCAGTGGCACAATCTCGGTTCACTGCAGCCTCGACCTCCTGGGCTCAAGCCATCCTCCTACCTCAGCCTTCCAAGTAGCTGGGACTACAGGTGTATACCAGCATGCCTGGCTAATTTTTGGGTTTGGTTTGGTTTTGTTTTTGTAGAGGTGGAGTTTCAGCATGTTGCCCAAGCTGGTCTCAAACCTGAGCTCAAGCGATCCTCCCACCTTAGCCTCACAGGTTAGAATCACCGCACCTGGGCCATCATTTCTAATAGCTGAATAATGATATTATAAGCAGACGAGTCATAGTTAAGTTATCCATTCTGCAAAAGCTACAAAAGCTACAAAACCATGTCTGCATGGTTTCCAAAGTTTTCCTCTATTATAAATAATGCTGAGACTCGTCTTTCTGAATAAGCCTTTGGTTGCATTTCAGATTATTTCCTTAGGATAGTCTCAGACTTCAAGCCAGCACATGCCTAATGTTTAGGCCTGTGATATAAACAGCAGAGAGTTATGCCAATGCACACACCCATCAACAGATACCAATGCTGCTTCATGGCACTGCCTCTATTTTCAAAGCATCCTTGAAAAAGAAAAAAAGCACATAAACTTGACTTCCTAGAATGCCTGCACAATTTAATTGGATTTGCTTTTGTAAATTTTGAGGGGAAGGAAGGCCATGTGCATATGCCCTGGAATCCTATTAATGTAACTGTTATCAATTACTCCTAACAGCAAGTGGCCGCTCCTGATGCCATATTTCTAACCAAATAATCCAAAAGGCTACAGTTTGTTCTGTAAAATCTATGAGCAAGTCACCTGGAAGTGGAAAGAAAGGAAAGAGTTCCTGATGTAGAGCCATGCTCTTAAGATTCATTTTATTCAGAAATAACTTAGGTTATTCCCAAGAAAGTAAATTTCCCAGAAAAGTCAAGGGGTTGCCTTGGAGTATACATGCATATGGATTGTTCTGTTCTGAAAGGAAAGCAGCAAAACATTTCTCACTGCATAGGAAAACATATTAGTTAATATCAACCTAAAACATATCACCCCCAAATTAACATATGGTAATTACATGAGCTCAACTGATCCTGACTTCTTACTTACATTTTTCACTGTGAAATCTCTGATGGTCCATTCCGGAAGAACAATTTCTGATGTCATTGCCACAGTTATGTCTCCATAGTCCTGAGCCTGCTTGGAGGGCCAATACTCCTCACATTTGGTCTAGAACAAAATTGCATTTTTATAAGAAGACTCAGATCATGCCATCTGCCATCACTAAAACCTCACAAGGGAGACTGGCTATTGAAAACTGGCATCAGAGATGGAATCAGACCTTCTAGTTGGGTTTTGTTTGACCCTTCGAATTTTTTTATTTTATTTTATAGAGACAGGGTCTCACTATGCTGCCCAGGCTGGAGTGTGGTGGCTATTCACAAATGAGATCATAGCACACTACCACCTCCAATTCCTGCACTCAAGCAATCCTCATGCCTCAGCCTCCCAAGTAGCTGGGTCTATGGGCACACCACAGCACCTGTTGGAATTGTTTTTTCTTTTTTTAATTTACAATTCTTGCCAACTCTTAAAATTTCTCATAAAAATCCAGACTTATTTTCTCTTTAAAAATCAGATCTGCCTACAACAGGCCCTGCTTTCAGCATGAAAATTGATTTAGAGCAGAGCAGCAGCTGTCCCTTGACCTAGGACACAGTCCCCATCCAGCTCCCTTTGCCCCTAGAGTAGCCACCACAACTGTTCACTGACCTCATCTTCTCCCATAACCCCAGACAGCTGGAAGAAATGAGGACTTTTTCCCAAGGCTTTCAGATATACATCGGTTGCAATACAAATACACACACCAATAAAGAAAATCAAATTAAATCATTCTGGGGTCTTTGATTTCTATAAAGTTGGTGGGCAGATGTGAACAGAAATAACCAGGAAACACCTGCTCTCCAAGAATATCTGAATACCCATTTGGCAAATGACCACACACACACACACACACACACACACACACACACACACCCCACATACACACACACACACACACCCCACATACACACACACGCACACACACTCAGTATTCTAAGGTGTGCTCTACTGCTGGTAGTTTTCAAAGCTAATTGATTATCTGACTCACCTGAGAAGTTTGAGTTGTTTTGGGTTTTGTTTTCTGTTTTTTGTTTGTGTGTTTGTTTGAGACAGTCTCACTCTGTCATACAAGCTGGGGTACAATGGCACGATCACGGCTCACTGCAGCCTCAACCTCTCAGGCTCAAGTGATCCTCCCACCTCAGCTTCCAGAGGAGTTTGGACTACAGAGACGTGCCACCACACCCAGCTATTTTGTATTTTTGTAGAGATGGGGGTCTCACTATGTTGCCCAGGCTGTTCTTGAACTCCTGGCCTCAAGTGATCCTCTCACCTTGGCCTCCCAAAGTGCTGAGATTACATGCCTGAGCCTCTGTGCCTGGCCTTGTTTTGTTTAAAAAGAGATGCCTGGGTTCTACCTCCAGAGATTCTGACTCTGGCTGCGGGATCTGTATTTCTTTAAAGACCCAGGTTCCAAAGAAACAACCCAGGATCTGGATACACACTGACATGGAGTTGATTCCCAGCTCAGCCTCTTACCAGGTATATTTTTGTTCCTACCTTGTGGGCAAGTTCTTAAACTCCCCAAGCCTCAGTTACCTCATCTATGAAATCATAATACCTCACAGGGTTGTTACAGAAAAAAAATAACATATATGGAGAATCTAGTGCAGAAAATACACTCCCTTCCCCATTCACCCAGGGTCACTAAGACTAACTTCAATCTTGATTTTAGATGAACAAAAGACCATTTAAATTCATCTTCATGTTCTCCATTAATGTAATTATGTCATTTTTGTTTGTCTAACAGATAGATTTATAAGAATGTTTCATGTATAAGGCCCTGGGCTCAACAGTATTAAAAAGCTTATTTGCATTCTTCTTTTTTTGTTTTGTTTTGTTTTGAGACAGAGTCTTGCTCTGTTGCCTAGGCTGGAGTGCAGTGGTGCAATCTTGGCTCACTGCAACCTCCGCCTCCTGGGTTCAGGCCATTCTCCTGCCTCAGCCTCCCAAGTAGCTGGGATTACAGGCATGCACCACCACGCCTGGCTAATTTTTGTGTTTTTAGTAGAGATGGGTTTCGCCATGTTGGCCAGGCTGGTCTCAAACTCCTGACCTCAGGTGGTCTGCCCACCATGGCCTTCCAAAGTGCTGGGATTACAGCTGTAAGCCACTGCACCCAGCCTATCAGCATTCATTTTAAAAACGCTTTTATTTCTATTACAGCCTATTCTCCTGATTCAACAAGAGGGTAAGGAGCCCACCCTCTATCACAAGCAACATGAGGATGGGCGTCATCTCTTACTGCTCTGTTATCTTTCCCTCCTCCATCCTCAGCCCCTAGCACAGGATCTTACATATACCAGGGGCTGGATAAACATCTGCTAGCTTACCATGAATTAAAGAACAATAAAAGAAATGATGCCTGAAGGGCTCCCACTATCCTGGGGACAGTACCACTCCAAGTGTGCACCCTGGTGCCACAGCAGTAGAATCACCCAGAAACTGGCAGAAACGCAATTCCGAATTAGAAACTCTGAGGGTAGAACCACCCTCCTGGTGATGCTGATGGATGCTAAAGTTTGAGATCCACTGGCTTAAGGAATCGAATCCTATTCCTCAAGCAATGAACCTACACTTAAAAACAACTCATAAAGCAACATTAAGTCCCATTCCTAAGGCACAGCATTTTTTTAGATTAGCATGTGTTTTTCAGTTCTCTTCACATCAATTCATGGAAATGCAGAATTTTATTACTATAAAAAATATTGGCCAGGGGCGGTGGCTCACATCTGCAATCCAGCACTTTGGGAGGCCAAGGCAGGTGGACCACAAGGTCAGGAGATTGAGACCATCCTGGCCAACATAGTGAAACCCTGTCTCTACTAAAAATACAAAAAGTAGCTGGGCATGGTGGCGCCTGCCTGTAATCCCAGCTACTTGGGAGGCTGAGGCAGGAGAATCGCTTGAACCAGGGAGTCGGAGGTTGCAAAAGCCAAGATCACACCACGGCACTCCAGCCTGGCGACAGAGTGAGACTCCATCTAAAAAAAAAAAATCTTATCTTTGATGGAAGCAGAAGAGGGATTTCAGGACGTTGCAGGAGAGAGGAGGCTGCTGAGGCTTATCCAGGGATAAGTCTGAGATTTTGCTTAAAGAAATGGTTCCAGGCCAGGTGTGATGGCTCACGCCTGAAATCCCAACACTTTGGGAGGCCAAGGAAGCAGGATCACTTGAGGTCAGGAGTTTGACACCAGCCTGGGCAACACAGTGAGACCTTGCCTCCACTAAAAATAAAAAAAATTATCCAGGCATGTGGTGCACGCCTGTAGTCCCAGCTACACAGGAGGCTGAAGTGGGAGGGAGCCCAGGAATTCAAAGCTGTAGTGAGCCATGATCGCACCACTGCACTCCAGGCTGGCTGACAGAGGAGACCCTGTCTCAAAAAAAAAAAAAAAAAAAAAAAAAAAAAAAAAAAACCCTGGGGTGGAGGCAGGAGGGGTTCAGTGCTCAACCTAAATTTGAAAATCATGGAGCTGATGAAAACCCTCATCTCACAGATGAAGACACCGGTTGCTTAGAGACATGATGGGCTTGTCCGTGTTCATGGGGCCAATGAAGAACAGAGCCACACCGTGAACAGCATCTTGCACTAGGCCTGGGAGATTTTGCTATTTACTAACTCCAGCAGCAACGTAATAAACAGAAGACACTGATATTTGTCCAAAAAAAAGATAATGACAAAATAGAATTGTTTAAAGAATGTTTTTAAACATTTCTCTTATGGGGAAAAAAAGACAGAAAACAAGTTTATAAGAATAAAGTGCTAATGTTTGAGTTTTTTTAAAGAAACAAATGGTTTTTAAGATACCCTTCTGCCACAATAAAAAGCAATTAATGTAATTTTAAATTTTAAAAACTAAAAAAGATACTTACTCTTCCCTGTTCAACACATTTAGTCAACATAATGATGGCATATACATTTTTCTCCCAAACCATACGCCAAAAATCTTTCAAAGTGTTCGGTAAAGGTCCTTGTGTGGCAATAAAATCTTTCTTGGAGTGGTAGCCCTAAAAATGGGAAACAGCACATAGTCAACCTCAAAGAAACAGAAAGAAGCAAAGCACACTGAAGATTTCATCGAAACAGTCCAGTGCTGTGAGACCGTCCCCCAACTTACAGGCATGTAGTTGGCATTGATGTAGTCATCCGTTGAATGGGTCTGGACCGAAAGTTTGACACGGGAAATATCATCTGTGACATTAAAAGAAAAAAGGTCCCCATTATAAGCAAATGTTTTAGTAAAGTTGGACACAAAACAGAAAAAAAAATGAAATTCAAAATGGCAAAACTGGGACTTGTGTCTTTGAAGATGCACAGTGTGGCATTTCATATAGACCACCTCATTTAATCCTCATGGTCACTCTATATGACCGTGGCACAGAGAAGTCACATGATCACCAGAGCAGAGCTAATGAGTGGCAGGGCCAGGATTTGAACCTGCAGCCTGACACCAGGACCCAAGATCTTAACCACACCAGATGCCTTCTCACATAAAATGAACCTGTTACTATTAGCATCCTCAGGTGTCTACCATGAGGGAATATGCTAAACAATTTTATTTACTCCTCAAAACCACCCTACAAGCCACTGCCCTGTTTCACAGATGAGGAAACTGAGGGTTACAGAGATTAAGTGACTTCTCCAAGTTCATATATCTGGTGAGGGGCAGTCAAAATTCAAATCTAGTGCCCCTTCCACTAGGACGGGGTAGGTCCCTAGGTTAACCATTCTACTCTGCCTCTATTCTCATATAAACAAGTTGTTATAAAAACAGAGTACCAAGTTCAAGTATAAATTGAATGTATAAGACTACTATGAGTAGGAGGGTCTAAAACACAGAATTATGTTTTATAAATATTATTGTCATCTCAAAAGCATACACACAAACTTGCCCAACTTAAGAGATGAAATAATAACCTTAGAACTGCAAGTGTCAGGCTGAGCCAGAAGCAGCACCACCTCAGTTTCCCCGTCTCTGATTGTACTACCTCACCCTCCTCTGGACAAAATAACATAACAATGCTAAGTCTAGTACTGACCTGAGTCTCAGCCTAAAGGCTTCCCAATAAGAACAATACCCAAACACCCACTTCCCAGCTCCCACTCCAGATCTGAGAATCTCCACAGACATTCACAAAAAGGGGCCAATAATCCCAAATTACCCTTACAAGGGCAATACCCCCAGCCTAGTTTTAAAAGCATTTCCCTCAGAACATGGGCCAATACTCCTTGTCAAGTACAAGGAAATAAATGGAGAGAAAGAACCCAAGAACTAGAAAATGCTGAATTTAAAAAGAACTTAATGTTTTAGTCCAGGAATGAAAAACACGGCTTCGAATAAAGATGATGACGTCCTGATGTAAAAATTATCTGCAAAGTCTATCAATTTCAGCTCCATCAGAACATGGCTACAATCTGCTTATGCTCCTCTCTGTGCCCTAATCCCCACCCAAAAGAGAGATTACAAGGAACTTTCAATGGAGAATTATTTACATTTCATCTAATGGTTTGATGTAATAAATAATTCTTATTTTAAACTCAATTTGCTGTAATCCTGTTGACTAAGATGCAGACATTGTTAATTCTCAAAAACAGGAAATGAGCTAAATATAAGTCATACTTAGCTGTGGAATTCACTCAGCCCATGTGTCTGGACACAGAGAGTGTGACTCCCCGTCTCCCTCTGCTCACTTTCATTCCAGAATTATAGAACTGAAATAAATAGTTGTGAGACAGAGGGGTTAAGAACACAGACTCTGGCCTTTTCCCTTACTGAGACAGACAGACCTAGTACAAAGCCGAGTTTTCCCGTCACTACCTGTGTAACCTTGGAAAGATCACCTAACCACTCTGTGCATTTTCCTCATCTGCAAAACAAATATTCTACTACCTACTTCATAAGGCTGTTGTGAGGATTTAAGAGAATGCACCTAAATATAGTGCTTAGCACATAGTAGGTGAATAATGGATGGTTGTGGAAGTAGGTGACTAATGAATGGTTGTGGAAGTGGTTACTTAGGATCACTGATTCCCTCCCCTCTACACTTAGAGATGTGATGGCCACTGATGGAACACAGAGAAGATGCTGTAGATAAAATAACTTACAGGGCAGAACATTATTATAGCGATTCTTTCCTCTATTCTCAGCCAGTTCTGCTGCATATTTAGGTTGACTAATTCCAACAAGCTTCAGATCCTGAAAACAAAACAAATGAGGTGTTCATTTATTTAGTCTTCAAATATTATTCATATTTAGCATAGCATATGACAGTGAAACCAGCCCAACAGTCCCATAGACAAGTTGTTTTTGAATAAACATAGAAATTTACCCTTCTGCTATTAAAGCCTGAAACTTGTATTTGTTTTATCTGAGTTCCTTTCTCAGGAAAGGACCTTCAGGGAGTAACAAAGAACTGAAACTAGTCAGATCACTGCACCAGATGCCTCCTTGCCCCTCCCTACTTCCTGTTTTCTTTTTTTTTTTTTTTTTTTTTTTTTTGAGACAGAGTCTCGCTCTGTCGCCCAGGCTGGAGTGCAGTGGCGCGGTCTCCTGCCTCAGCCTCCCGAGTAGCTGGGACTACAGACGCCCACCACCACGCCTGGCTAATTTTTTGTATTTTTAGTAGAGACGGGGTTTCACCATGTTAGCCAGGATGGTCTCGATCTCCTGACCTCGTGATCCACCCACCTTGGCCTCCCAAAGTGCTGGGATTACAGGCGTGAGCCACCATGCCCAGCCCCTAGTTCCTGTTTTCTTACACATTGTTACATTTCTTTCCTGCTGTATAAACCCCTGGTTTTAGTCAGTCAGCGAGATGGATTTGAGATTCAGCTCCCATCTCCTTGGCTGCAGCACCCGATTAAAGCTTTCTTCCCCGGCAATATTTGTCATCTCAGTGATTGGCTTTCTGTAAAGGTGAGGAGCAGGACCTAGACCAAACCCGTGGTGTTTTGGTAGCAAAAGAACAAAGTGGAAATGTAGAGGTGATATGGGTTAAACTGTGCCCCAAAAAGATATGTTGGATTTCTCGCCCCCAATACCTATGAGTGGGATCTTATTTAGAAATAGGCTCTTTACAAGCCTGCACTGCCAAGACAATCCTAAGCCAAAAGAACAAAGCTGGAAGCATCATGCTAGCTGACGTCAAACTATACTACAAGGCTACAGTAACCAAAAGAGCATGGCACTGGTACCAAAACAGAGATATAGACCAATGGAACAGAACAGAGCCCTCAGAAATAATACCACACATCTACAACCATCTGATCTTTGACAAACCTGACAAAAACAAGCAATGGGGAAAGGATTCCCAATTTAATAAATGGTGCTGGGAAAACTGGCTAGCCATATGTAGAAAGCTGAAACTGACAAAAATTAATTCAAGATGGATTAAAGACTTAAATGTCAGACCTAAAACCATAAAAACCCTAGAAGAAAACCTAGGCAATACTATTCAGGACATAGGCATGGGCAAGGACTTTACGTCTAAAACACCAAAAGCAATGGCAACAAAAGACAAAATTGACAAATTGGATCTAATTAAACTAAAGAGCTTCTGCACAGCAAAAGAAACTACCATCAGAGTGAACAGGCAACCTACAGAATGGGAGAAAATTTTTGCAATCTACCCATCTGACAAAGGGCTAATATCCAGAAACTACAAAGAACTTAAACAAATTTACAAGAAAAAATCAAACAACCCCATCAAAAAGTGGGCGAAGGATATGAACAGACACTTCTCAAAAGAAGACATTTATGCAGCCAAAAGACACATGAAAAAATGCTCATCATCGCTGGCCATCAGAGAAATGCAAATCAAAACCACAATGAGATAGCATCTCACACCAGTTAGAATGGCAATCATTAAAAAGTCAGGAAACAACAGGTGCTGGAGAGGATGTGGAGAAATAGCAACACTTTTACACTGTTGTTGGGACTGTAAACTAGTTCAACCATTGTGGAAGACAATGTGGTGATTCCTCAAGGATATGAAACTAGAAATACCATTTGACCCAGCCATCCCATTACTGGGTATATACCCAAAGGATTATAAATCATGCTGCTATAAAGACACATGCACATGTATGTTTATTGCAGCACTATTCACAATAGCAAAGACTTGGAACCAACCGAAATGCCCATCAATGATAGACTGGACTAAGAAAAATGTGGCACACATTCACCATGGAATACTATGCAGCCATAAAAGGATGAGTTCAGGTCCTTTGTAGGGACATGGATGAAGCTGGAAACCATCATTCTCAGCAAACGATCGCAAGGACAGAAAACCAAACACCGCATGTTCTTACTCATAGGTGGGAATTGAACAATGAGAACACTTGGACACAGGGAGGGGAACATCACACACCGGGGCCTGTCATGGGGTGGGGGGAGGGATAGCATTAGGAGATATACCTAATGTAAATGATGAGTTAATGGGTGCAGCACACCAACATGGCACATGTACACATATGTAACAAACCTGCATGTTGTGCTCATGTATCCTAGAACTTAAAGTATAAAAAAAAAAGGCTCTTTACAAATGTAAACAAATTAAAATGAGATCATACTAGATTAGAGTGGGCCCTGAATCCCATATGACTAGTGTCCTTATAGGAGGAAAAGAGACAAAGAGACATAGACACATGAGGGGAGATGGCCATGTGAACACAGAGGCAGACATCAGAGTGTTGCTGCCACAAAACCAAGGGACGCCTGGGGCTCCCAGAAGCTGCGGAGGCAAGGAAGGGCGCTGCCCAGAGGTTTAGAAGGGAGTGTGACCCTGCCCACACCTTAATTTGGGACTTGTGGCCTCTAGACAGTAAATTTCTGTTGTTTTCAGCCTCCCAGTTTGTGGTGCTTTTTTATGGCAGCCTAGAGAACTAATACAAAGGTTAGAATATAGGAAAAAGGATAACCCTTGCCTTCAAGCAGTTGCAACCTGGAGGAGAGGTGTACTGTACACAGAAAAAACTAACATTACAAAAAGGCAGAATTAAAGAAATGCTGAATATTGGTAACAAGCAACAGGGGAAACAAGGCAGTCTGAGCACACAGAACTCAAGTCCTCCTAATGGGATCCCAGAATGCCCATGGAGGAAGCAGCATGTGCACTGTGCTGAGTGCTGAGCAGGATTTCAAGAGAGCAAAGGCAGAGATGCTGGACAGGGCAGCACAGGAGGACGAGTGTGCATGGTCACTCTGAGCAGGGCTGGTTCCTGGGCTGGTTGGAGCACAGCATGGGGAACTGAAAGGCAGACACTGGCCAAGAAATTCCTTGTGCAGGGCTTCAGAAGTGAGCCTCACAAGCCATCCTAGGCCACACTGCCATCAAGCCCCAGACCTCTACATGCCCATTTGGTTTCTTTCCAGCTCATATAGCTTCCTAAGTATTGTGGCTAACAGTTCCCTGACTTGAATTCCTAGTTTCTGTTAACAGTTTTCTAACTTTCAGGAAAAACAAGCCAATTTCTAAGGAAAGTGGCTGTGCTTCAGTCAGGAGTAGTCCAAGGTAGACATCCAGGACAGTATGACGCAAAGGGTTTGGAGCGCAACAACCCCTTGCGTTATATAGCCATTTAATGTAACCTGTTTGTGTGAGTTCATACCTGGCTTTGAGCCACTATTGTCTGTGAGTAATATAACTGCACTGCTGACTCTGTAGGAGAGAGAATAAAGCCATGTCCCAACTGCCTACAGTCCCTCGAGTGTTCTTTCAGCTACCTGCCACCCATCCACCAACTCCCCTCAGATCCCAGCTTGGGTTGGAACCTGACACAATTAAAAACAGTATTTACAGCAACATACTTCGTATTCCTCTGCGAACCCACAGTTGGAGTCAGCTTGCTGCTTCTTGAAGTAGGCCTCAAAATTCTCCACTCTGATTAACTTAGATCTAAGAAAACAAAACTTATCAGGATTTTTTACATTCAGTGAAGTCCATATTCAATAGAAAAGTACAAGTTATTAAAAAAAATAAAGAGATTACTCACTTTTTAGGTCTTCATGATAGAAAGGGAAAGAAAAAATATGCAATTAGAAAGACTCATTCATACTCTAGAAATGACAGTAAACAATCTTCCCAAAACAACAAAACCCAGGGTATAATTTGGCAAGAGGGGGTCAGAGTACTATTATTCACAAAACACTAAAATATGATTCAGGAAATCTGATTTCTAGACCCTACTTTGTAACTAATTGGTTTTGTGACTTTAAGTAAGTTCTTCTCTCCCCTGGATCTTGATAACCTATTTGACGTTTTTTTAATCAAGAAATCCGTATTTATTGGTAGAAGAGTAGAACATGACAAGGAAGCCAGCTTCAGGAGACTAATAAAACATAGATTCCTTGCAGAAAACAGAGCTAGCAAAAACTTCCAGATGGTCATGGTCAAAATGTGCCAATCAGGAAAAATGACAGCAAGTTCCATCAAAAATTATTTATAGATAGTCACCGAACAGATTGGAGGATTTAAAATAAAGCTCATAATTTGAGAGACTTACTTAATTTGAGAAAAGGACACTTCATTATTCTTTGCATCTTTCCTGTTTTAAGAGAAAAGAGACCCATTAGACAAAAAAGGATTCCTTCCTGTGCTTTTCCCTTGTGTATCTGGAGTTGATGTCATCTATGAAATAAAGGTGTTACACCTTTTCCTCAGGCATTAGTTCACAGCTGACACCAAATCCTGCCCCCTAATACTAAACTTAATGACCCAAGCTGCAAATGCTAATTACAAATTTGTGAAGTTATTTTCTTTTGTACTATCTAAAAGAATGAAAAAAATCATATCCAAGTCACTTTTAAGAACTTCCTTGCAAATATATAGCAGTGGCATTACTTTAATGTAAAGCAAGACTTGTTATTTCATACTTTGTTTTTGAGAAAGCTTTTCTGATAAATGAATGCAATAAACCAAAAAACATATCAGATCCGGAACTGGCAAGTTGGTGAGGCATCTGCACACTCCTGCACTGTTGACTCAACTCTGCATTGGTATTTAAGAAAAACTTTCTGGAAGGTAATTTGGCAGTATGTATCAAAACTGAAAGCACGCATACCCACTGACCCAGCACTTGCCTAGCTTGGAATTTAGCCTAAGGAAATAATCGTGAATGTGCCCAAAGATTTAGGCACAAGGATAAGTAACTGTGGCCAAGAAAAAAAACTTGGAAACACCTAGGAAATTGGTTAACTAGATCATGGTACTGTCATACAGTTGAATACTCTGTAGCCACTTAAAATGATGATGAAATGAGCCAGGCACGGTGGCTGATGCCTGTAATCCCAGCACTTTAAGAGGCCGAGGCGGGTGGATCACCTGAGGTCAGGAGTTTAAGACCAGCCAACATGGCAAAACTCCATCTCTACTAAAAATACAAAAAAAATAGCCAGGCATGGTGGCGGGCACCTGTAATCCCAGCTACTTGGGAGGCTGAGACAGGAGAATCGCTTGAACCCAGGAGGCAGAGGTTGCAGTGAGCCAAGACCACGCCATTGCACTCCAGCCTGGACAACAAGAACGAAACTCTGTCTCAAAAAAAAAAAAAATTGTGATGAAATGAAGCTGCCAACAATGTCTAAGCTGAATAAAGCAGGCTTGATTCTAACATGTAACATGATTCCATGTGTGTGCACACATTTGTGTGTGAGTTTGGTCACATCAAAATGTTAAGAGTAGTTTTGTGTGGGTTCTGCGATTGCAGATTTCCTATTTATTTTTGCTCTTCTTTTCTATATTTTTTGCCATAAGCATGTATTACTCTTATTTTTAACAAGAAACAATAAAACTGTTTTATCCAGCCACTGACTGATCCATTTCCCCCCCCAAAATCAGAACCTAATCTGGCCAGGCACAGGGGCTCACGCCTGTGATCCCAACACTTCAGGAGGCTGAGGCGGGCAGATCCCTTGAGGTCAGGAGTTCGAGACCAGCCTGGCCAACATGGTGAAACTCCGTCTCTACTAAAAATACAAAAATTAGCTGGGTGTGGTGGCGGTGCCTGTAATCCCAGCTACTCAAGAGGCTGAGGCAGCAGAATCACTTGAACCAGGAGGCAGAGGTTGCAGTGAGCTGAGATCATGCCACTGTACTCCAGCCTGGGGGACAGAGCCAGACTCCATCTCAAAAAAAAAAAAACAGAACCTAACCTAAAAGCTGGAGCATGAGCTCTGCCTGTCACTCCAACAGGGCAGGGTGGCAGCACAAGGAACCGGCCTGGGCCGCATGAGGACCCCTAAGGCAGGATGGAGATTCCCTGGTTGGCAGCACCTTACAGCAAAGAAATCCCAACTAACACACACAGGCTTCACACACTACACAGACAAGAGGGCGTGCCATGAAGTGCAAGGACCAGGTTCAAGTTCTATTTCCACACTTCCTGACTCAGCTTCTGCATCCTTGGAAGGGACTTACTGGACCTGCCTCGCAGAGCCTCATGCATGCGATAATTCACAGAAAGCACAGATGCAGGCACACGGTGAGCACTCAAAACAGGGCTGCTACTTTTACCATTTAATGACCTCACAGGGTAGTTGTACAGATAAAATAATAGTAATAGCATACAAGGCACAAGACACTGAGAAGTGCCTTATTTATTCAATCCTCCTCAGCTTCACAAGTTAGGCACAATGATTATCCTCCTATCATAGATGAGGACATTAAGGCTAAGCTTCCTAAACAGCTGGTCAAAGACAGAGCTGGTGTTCAAACTTAGCTACCTCTGAAATGAAATCTCTTAACATCATAATACTATGAAACTGACTTGTAAACAAGAACATATCATTTGAAAGTAGCATCCCACACTGTGGCGTCTATCAGTGGCCTGATGTGACAGCTGGGAGCACATTAACATCGCCCAGCTGGGGGCGCAGAGGAAATAGGACTGGCCAAATGCAGAACACTATGGGTGAAGGGAACATGGCGCTCATCATATCATTCCTTCTGAATCTGTCAAAGTTTGAAATGTTCCTTAATAGAAAGCTTCCTTAAATACCAGAGTATTATTATTAGCATAAGCAATATCACCTCTTCTTTCTCCAGAAGATGAAGCCTCCCACAGTCACAATAACCAGGGCACCAAAGATACAGCCAAAAACCGCTCCACAGATGACACCTGAGAAAAGTCCAAATGGGAGACACTTCAAGAGGTGTTCATGCAGACCACACAATGTGCTAAAAACTGGCCTGGGACCCTAACACCAGAGAGTTAAAGTGTGTATACCATACACACACATGCATGCACACACACACACAGGCGCACACACACACAAGGGAGTTAAATAGCTTTGGACCTAAAACTAGTCTATGCATGCAGAAGCCAGGTTCCTGTTCCCAATCCACTACTACCTGGATGGTCTTGAGAAAGTTACTGTTCCTCTCCAGGTCTGTCTCCTCAACTGCAAATTTAGGGAACTGGGCTGGATTTTCAGATATTTTTCCTGCCACCTCTGACATTTTGAGACTAGCACCCACATATGAGCAGAGGTACCTACAGCAGCATCCATGCTCAGGTGACAGGAAACCCATTTGTTTACCGGGGAAGGATGTGGGGACTCCCTAAACTTTGCTTCTGGGGCAGGCATTCTTTCCTGCGCCCAACAACCACCAACTAGGAAAGAAAAGCAGACAAACTAACAAACCAGCCAGTCCATTAGCCTCTGGCTTGAAGGTAGGGGATGCACCCCTCTTGGATCCCTGAAGCTCCTGTATCACCTAGGTCTATGTGATAAAGGGTAGAAGCACTTAACAAGGGTCCAAGACCAGAATTTCAGGCCTGCCTCTAAAGCCATCGTGTAACCCTGGGCAAGTTACTTCCCCTCTCTAGGCCTTAAAAGTCTCACTTCCAAAAAGCAGGCAGAGCACAGTGGCTCACACCTGTAACCCCAGAGCTTTGGAAGAAGGTGGAAGGAGGCTTGAGGCCAGGAGTTCAGGACCAGCCTGGGCAACATAGCAAGACCCCATCTCTACAAAAAATTAGCCAGGCATGGTGGTAAGCAACTGTGGTCCCACCTGGGAGGCTGAGGCAGGAGGATCCCTTGAGCCCAGGAATTCAAAGTTACAGTGAGCTATGATCATGCCACTGTACTCCTGGGCAACAGAGCAACACTCCGTCTCAAAAATAAAATAAATAGGCTGGACATGGTGGCTCACGCCTATAATCCCAGCACTTTGGGAAGCCGAGGTGGGCAGATCACCTGAGGTCAGGAGTTCGAGACCAGCCTGGCCAACAGAGCAAAACCCCGTCGCCACTAAAAATACAAAAATTAGCTGGGCATGGTAGCAGGCACCTGTAATCCCAGCTACTCAGGAGGCTGAGGCAGAAGAATTGCTTGAACCCAGAAGGCAGAGGTTGCAGTGAGCAGATATCGTGCCACTGCACTCCAGCCTGGGTGACAGAGCAAGACTCTGTCTGAAAAAAAAAAAAAAAAAACATAAAATAAAATAAACAAATCAATAAACATAATTAAAATTATGAAGAAAAATAAACAGAGGATTGAACAAGACAATTTATGTGGCTTCCTCTGATTCTACTATTTAAGGATTCAATGCAATGTGTCAAACTGTGCACCTGGCATATGGGCCCACAAGTGACCACACATAGATAAGGGGAGTCAATAATCTTTGCAGATTGGAAGAACAACTGGCACTTAGAGAAGGGAGAGTGTGGGGTCCAGGCTGTGGGACCTCGGAGGAGGAAGCCCAGTAAGCCCGGTGACCCAGTGACATCTCAACCTCTGGGAGGGGAGAGCTGGGCACACCAACCCTCCTGAAGGTCTGAGGGAGGCATGTACACAGCTGGCCTTCTATGGACACGTGGAGCAAAATGCCACTGAACCAGTGCCAGGACTGTTGTCTTCTCCCTACCTGGATCCTGGGGCAAGGAAACAGCATCTGAGTAGCGACTGAAGGACACATAGCTCTCAGCCCCATCAATGAGCCCCTTGTTTTGAGGGTGGAAGGTAATGTTGGTGAAGCCAGCCACACAAGCCCTGTGGGATAACAAAGAGCAAAAAGAGGTCCCTGAGACGTGTCTGACCGCAGGCATGTAGAGCTTTATGCTCATGAGGCTCAGCCCCCAAAGAGTAAGAACCAGAAGACATTACCGGTAGGAGCCCAGAGGTTCCAGCTTCCCATTGTAATAACCAAGTGTGGTTGACTCATTCCCAACGTCAATTTCATATTTCAAAACTTCAGACAAGCTCTGAGAACGTCCCTTTTCTTCTGTTCTTATGAGGTATGTCACATAAGTATCTGAGGCTCCCTTTTTGAAATCCTCATACGTGTATTTCAGGACATCTGCAGAAGGGTGACCAGCTAAGAAAGGTACACAGAAGGAGAATCATAAGAAAGTGATGGCAGAGAGATTTCTTCTCCTGCATATCTACATGGTGGTGATGTTGGGTGATAGTGATCAGCAACCATCTCTCAAGTATCTCTCTGTGCCAGGTTTGACTTACATTGAATTCTAAGGGTTTCACCTACAGTAACTCACTTCATCCCCATGAATCCCATCACATAAGCTTATTGTCTCCATTTTACAGACAAGAAAACGAAGGTACAAAAGGCTAACAGGACCAGGCACAAGGTCACACTGCCTATGAGGTAGAGTTGGGTTCCCAATCCAGGGCATCGGGCTCAGAGCCCAAGGTTTCATCTAATCACAGGCCAGCACTGGTCAGTCTGGCTGCTATGCAACATGGCCTTCCTCAATGGGACTTGCTGACAAGCATCACAGCAAAATGACTAAGAGCTGGAAACAGACCCAAAATTAAAAGATAGAGATTTCAACCTCACTTTTTGAAATTTTGCCACAGGTTATGGCACCAGCAAATTTCTATCCTCCCAGATCCCTAACCCCGACAGTGTGTTTGGTCTCTATCCTCCTCAAGGACATGAGGACAGCACCACAGTAGGAGAGAGTGGGCAGAGGAAACACTGCATTATTCATGCATAAAGAATCTCCCAGACCAGGCACAGAGGCTCATGCCTGTAGTCTAGTCCCAGCACTTTGGAAGGCCAAGGTGGGAGGATTACTTGAGTCCAGGAGTTCAAGACCAGCCTGGGCAACATGGTGAGATCTTGTCTCTAAAAGAAAGAAAGAGGGAAGGGGAAGGGAAGGAGAAGGGGAGAAGGGGAGAAGGGGAGGAGGAGGAGAGGGGAGGGGGAGGAGAAGGGGAGGAGGAGGAGAGGGGAGGGGGAGGAGGGGAGGGGGAGGAGGGAACCCCCACAACAAAACTTGGGCTTTTAAATCTAGGCCTTATGCAAGCACTCAAACACAGCTACCGAAGAGACTCTCGAATGATTCCTTTCCTACCACAAAAGAATGTAACAGAGCCCTTTAAGGAAAAGCAGCTTTTAATCCACCTCTTCTCTCAGCTAAGGAGATACTCTGCAAATTCCCACTAGCAAATGCAAATCTTTTTCTATTTTCTTTCAAAGGAAAGTCATCCTCTGAGGATGGCATGTGTGTACGTGTGTAGAGTGAGAGAGAGAGACAGAGTTGGTTAAAACTAATATTCTACCACCTAAAAGGCCCAGTGAGGTAAAAGAGAAGAAAAACCTAGATCACAGATCAGCAAGTTATGGGCCACAAACCAAATCCACCTGCCATGGTAAATAACATCTAGTGGGAATGGTCCCACTCATTCCTTCTGTATCTTCTGTGACTGCTTGCACACTACAATGGCAGAGTCGAATGCTTGCAACAGACTCTATACCACCTGCAAAGCTTAAAATATTGGCAATCTGGCCCTTTCCAGAAAGTTTGTCAACCATCAGGCAAATACCTCACCCTCCTTCTCTGTCTGAGTACACAGCATAGGCTGCAGTGAGAAGACAGGCGTGTGTCTGCATTACTCACATGCCTCAGTGGGCACAGAGAAAGCTCTGGTCACTGCATCACTCATGGGCTGTTTAACCCACGGAGGCCTCTCCTTACCTTCCCCGGTGGTGAGAATGACAGCATAGGCTTTGATGGGTCCGTGGCTGGCTTCAAATCCACTGAACTTGACCTTTACTGAATTGTGACTGACAGATGTAATATTAGGGGATCCATCTGGAGGAGGGGGATCTAAAACAAAACAAAACAAAACATGATCACCCAATATTGAAAACCAAAGCAACACATTAGGTAGAGAACATGCTTCAGCAACCTCCTCAAGATCTTACTCTGGAAGCTACATGCTGGGCTCGTGCAAAACAGCAAATCCAGAAGCAAAAGGCAGGGAAGGAAACTGGTGAGGAGCAGAGACAGCAGATCCTGGGAAACCCACCTAGCTCACAATGACCCCTTCAGGGCATCCAGCCAAATCCCCAGGGCAGGCACCCAGCAGCCTTGTTTGGTTTTGCTATTGTTGTTTTGAACAGTACATGCTTTTATTTTATTTTTTAACAGATTGATTGAAATATAATTAGAATACAATCAAGGAGATGAAAGACTTGTAGAGTGAAAACCACAAAACATCGATAAAATAAAGAAGATACAAATACACAAATACATGCAAAGACATCCCATGCTCATGGATTGGAAGACTTCACATTGTTGGAAGACTTGACACTACTCAAAGCGATCTATAAATTCAATGCTCCATCAAAATCCCAATGGCAATTTTTACAGAATATAAAAAAAAAATCCTAAAGTTCACATGGAACAATCAAAGACCAGGAATAGCCAAAGTAGCGTTGAGAAAGAATAAAGCTGGAGGCCTCACACTTCCTGATTTCAAGATATATTTATTCAAAGCTACAGTAATTAAAACAGTATATTAAAGGCATAAAGACAGACATCAACCCATAGAACAGAATACTGAGCCCAGAATTAAACTCTCACATATACAGTCAACTTATCTTCAACAAGGATGTCAAGAAGACACAATGGGGAAAAGACAGCCTCTTCAACAAATGGTGCTGGGAAAACTGTGTATCCGTGAGCATAATAAAACTGGACCTCTATCTTACACCAGACACAAAAATAAACTCTGAATAGATTCAAGCCTTAAACATTAGACCTAAAGCTGTACACTGTAAAATTTGTTTAAAAAAAAAAAAAAACACATTGGGGAAGAGCTTCTTGACATAGTATTTACAATGGTTGCTTGGATACCACACAAAAAGCACAGCAACAAAAGCAAAAATTGACAAGCAAGATTAAATCAAACTGAAAAGGTTTTGCACAGTAAAAGAAACCATCATTAGAGTAAGAAGCTAGTATCCTTGCATGAGGAAGCTAACCTGCCCTTGTCCTCTCCCCCAGTCCCATATGACTCAAGATGAGCCGGGTTCATTATCCTGAGATCTGGGGTGGAAGAAGGAGAGTGAGAAAGAGACTGTGGTGGAACTCTAAGGTGTGGCCTTGGGAGCTGCACAATGACACCACATGGACTTGGCTTGGCCCCAGGATCAGCTGGTCAGCTGAGAGCAAAGACGGAGCAAATGTCCAAGGAGAAGAATCACAGATGAGGTGGGAGAGAACACACTTTCTGCTGAGACCTGGGCACAGCACTTCTCTGTGTTCTTCATAAACAGTCCCCACATTTTTCCCAGAGTTGGTCTCAAATACCACCTAGAGAAACCCAACAGATCCTCTTCCCAGAAACCAGAAAAGCCCCCACAGGACCCTCCATGGATGGCCTCCATGATTGTGCACACCCCCCCTTTCCAAGCCAGGGTATGGAGCCACTCTCTGAACTAACACAAAAGAAAGAACACACTGAATTAAAGATGATCCACTCCACACACTCTCTCTCTCTACCTAAATTCATCTCACACATACAGTTTGGGTTATTCCCATTTTTTTTATATATTTTTAAAAAATAAATGAGATGGGATCTCGCTATGTTGCCCAGGCTGGTTTCAAACTCCTGGCTCAAGCAATCCTCCCACCTCAGCCTCCCAAAGTGCTGGGATTACAGGCATAAGCCACCACGCCCAGCCTGTTCTCATTATTATATATATTCAAGATTCAAGGAGACAGAAATCTGAACTCCAAAACAACCACAACATAATTGTCTAAACCTGTGCTGATACAGCAGCCCTCTAGCCACATGCGGCTGCCAAGCCCCTGAGAGGTGACCAGTTTGCATTCAGATGTGCTACAAGCACACAATACAGACTAGATATCAAAGACTTAGTACAAAAGAAGACATAAAATAACTCATTAATACTTCACAGAAATTACATGTTGAAATAATACTTTTAATATACTAAGTTAAGTAAAATGCTATTAATACCAATTTCGGCTATTCCTTTTCACTTTTTTTTCAGTGTGGCTTCTAGAAAACTTTAAATTATACCTGAGGCTCACATTGCACATCTAGTGGGATGGTCCTGCTCTAAACTACAAGCTTCAGCAACCTCGCAAGTATGCGGCAGCAGTGCCCGCTGGGAGGTGGCGTTCCCATGTTAATGGTCAACTGCTAGCACAGGCTCCTGCATTTCCCACCAGCTCTATACCCTGTAGCTGGCCAGAGAAGGTCCATCCCCAGGTCCTTGCTGCAAAATTGGCAGCAGCATGCTAGCTCACCCACCACCAGACCTGGAAATCCTCTCCCTCTCAATGCTCTTCTCAGTCCTATGCTCCAGGGGCCCTGTCGCCCCTACTCACCATAGTATCCCTCACCATAGCACACAGTAAGCCACCAACAGATGTGGGCTAAAAGACGACCAGGCGCAGTGGCTCACGTGGGTAATCCCAACACTTTAGGAGGCCAAGGCGGGTGGATCACTTGAGGTCAGGAGTTCAAGACCAGCCTGGCCAACATGGTGAAACCCCATCTCTAAATACAAAAATTAGCCAGGCGTGGTGACATGTGTCTGTAGTCCCAGCTACTCAGGAGGCTGAGGCACCAAAATCACTTGAACCCAGGAAGCAGAGGTTGCAGTGAGCTGAGATTGCGTCACTGCATTCCAGCCTGGGTGACAAGAGCAAGACTCCATCTCAAAAAAATATAAAAGAAAACATGGCAATGAGGCAATGAGTTATGCTGTAAAGAAAAGGAATCTTTTAGAATGTAAAAAATGAGCCCCTCTTACTCTGCTTTTTTAGATTGATTTCTATAGAATGAGAAACCAGTCTATGTCAGTAAAAGCAAATATTTTAGGGGAAATAAAAAAACAAAAACAGATTTCTAGTCCACACGTGCAGACCCACTGTGGGTCAGCCGCTCCAGGAGTGATCACAGTGCCAACTGACCAGCCCCTGCCTTGTAGCCCACCTGTGATGCCAGTAGTGCAGGTGTTCCGGGTGGGGGCTGCCATCTTTCCACAGGACACAGTGGTGATGCTGATGTTGTACGAGGTAGAAAAATTCAAATACGTGACTTCCGTTCTATACTCAGTGCCATTCTCAGAGGAGCAGCTCTCCAGGTGGGTCGCATTGTTCCAGGCTCCACTGCTGACCTCCAGCTCAAAGCCTGCATTGGCGCCAGGAGGGCAGGTCCATTTGAGAACCAGGGCTGGCTCTTTGGGGACCACTTCGCAGTCGAAGGAGGCCATGGACGCAGGATCTGCAAAGCAAGTACAGCACAGCATGAGATTCCGGGACTTTTGCCTTTGCAAACATGGAAATAGGGAGTAGCAGAATCCTGGGGATGAGAAGGTGGGTGGGTGATGTGGTGGAAGAGGCAGGGGCTGACCCTAAATTGGGCAACACCAAACTGTGTGAGCTTGGGTCAGTCACCCAACTGCTCTGAGCCTCAGCTGCAGGACTCTTTGAAGAGTAAATTGAACAATGATGTCAGGCACCAAGAAAGACGCCTGGAAGAGACCAGGGCTCCATGAGAGTCAGCTGTATCATCCTGTGAGAAGTAGCAACCTCCTCACTTGCACCATCTCATCATGAGGACCCCCTTTTTTTTTTGAGACGGAGTCTCGCTCTGTCGACCAGGCTGGAGTGCAATGGCGCAATCTCAGCTCACCGCAACGTCCACCTCCCGGGTTCAAACAATTCTCCTGTGTCAGCCTCCCAAGTCGCTGGGACTACAGGCATGCACCACCATACCCAGTTGATTTTTGTATTTTTAGTAGACATGGGGTTTCACCATGTTAGCCAGGATGGTCTCGATCTTTTGACCTCCTGATCCACCCACCTTGGCCTCCCAAAGTGCTGGGATTATAGGTGTGAGCCACCAGCCCAGCCAAGGCCCTCTTGATGATACTTCTGAGACAGGTGAGGCCTATACTGTCCCATCTGCAGATAAATCCACAGAGGCTCAGAGAGGTTAAGTAATTGGCTGATGATGACATGGCAGGTGGTGAAGCCAAAACTAGATCCCAGGTTTTCTAAGTCTAAGTTCAAGACACTCTCTACTCACATAACATACTGCATCATCCATTGATGATGCATCAGTTTCCTCATCTTCAAAATAGAGTGTTATTTGTCTCTATCTGAGGGCCATTAGATTTTTACTGAGGACTAACATCAAACTGATGTAAATAGAAAACTCCATATTACAACTGGAGGACAGTATTATCATTAATTGAATGTCACAGAATTTTAGAGCAGGAGAAGCTCTACCAAGGCACCTAGTGCAACACCCACATTTGCCACCCAGGGCCTGGAAAGGTAACCTGAACACTGCACCCACTTTTACAGCTCCTGTTCCACCCACACCCAGTCATAAATGCTCAGATACAGTTTTTCTCTTGCTATAGGCTACAAATAACTATAGCTAAGATAAATATCAGCAATGAAAGGCACCCAAATATCAAAGATGGGTGTCTAGACCAGGTGGGATGGAGCAGAAGTGACCCAAAGCTGCAGGGATTTCTGTGGCCACCCCACTCACCACTGAAAAGCCAGAGGCCATCAAGGCTGGAGCTCCTATACTACCAGGGAGGCTGATCCCATGAGACCATCACTTCCAAATCAGCCTGAACATATCTGAATGGCCTGGGCTAAAAAGGGAAGAGGTAGGAGCGAGAAGGGCAGAAAATGAGTAGTGCACGGGTGCTGAGTGATAAAGGTGCCACAGTCAGCACTGTGAGCAGAAGTGCCCACCACTGTCTGCAAAGCCTTTCCTGGGCTGCCCTGAAAGCATCCTCAATTACACAGAGGGCTCTTCTCTTTATCACACATTTTCAGTTGTGAGATAGGTGAGGATCAAGAAGGATGCAAAGGCTGGGCATCATTTCAATAAACTTTTCATCTTCTCCAGCACAAAAGACAAACCAATGCCAGATATCATCCACATCCTGGCTCAGCCCCACTCAGGCCTCACCTCCCACCTATATCCTCCTGTTCCTGCGGGTCCACTCCTCCCACCCTTGCCTCCTGCTCTTCCTCCAGCCTCCAGATACAGTGGTGATGCTGCACAGGCCCCTCTGCACAGGCCTCTGCCTGTAATGTTCTCATGCCCTGATATCCACATGGCTGGCTCCTTCCCTTCATTCAGATCTTTGCTCAAAAGTCACCTTGTCATTGAGGCCTTTCCTGAGCACTCTAGGTAAACATCCCACTTCCTCCTTCGAAAAGTTCCAAGAAGGCAAGGACTTGACTGGCATATGGTATATGCTCAATAAATATTTATTGAATGCAGAAATGATGAGGGCATCGAGACAGCACCGATAAGCTAACAGGATGCCTCGGAAAGCTCAATGTCCATCACTGCACATCACACAAAACCAGACAAACTACAGACTTGGGAGGACTGACCTGCAAGGTCAGCACCACTCAGGGAGGAGTCCAAGAGGCAGTTGGGGCTACACTCACCTGTACAGAATGACTTCCGGCCAGGTTCCAGTGACTTGATCCCATCCCCTACTTGTGCAAAGATCTCCACTGTGTATGATGAGCCAGGTATTAATTCAGTGACTGTAGCGTCAGTAATTCCAATGTCCGTGACTACTTGTGTTGCGTTGCTGGAATTTCCAGCCTTCTCAATAAGAAGGCAGTAGGAGTACGTGGGAGAGGCGTCATCAAAGTTCTGCCAACTTAAAGTTGCTGCTGTGGTGTTGGTACTTACATCAATGTTGGACACATTGCTGGGCCCTTGATTTTAAAAAAAAGGCAATTCATGTAAAAGCACAGATTAAGTAGAATTCCAGGACTATTTACTATATCCAAAAATAGCCTGGCTCGTTTTAGAAAGAATGAATAAAACTAGTATTTGCTGGCTCAAAAGATGGAAAACTTCCCAAAAACACATCAAGAAAATAATTATACAGATTAAGTCTCAAAAGAAGTTTAATTTAGGCTTCTTTTAATACTTCAAGTTTATTTCAAATATATTTTTAACATTTAATTTCTAATCTGTTTTTTAAATCTAATAGATGGAGAAAAATATACTAAAAACATATTACAAACTAACATCTTTACCATGTATTTAATTCAAATATTCGCAAAACACCTCCCTAACTGTTGCAGGCGAAGCTCCTCATCTGGGCAGTATCTTCCAATACCAACATGACAAGGTGACCCTTCTCTACTCTGTATTCTCAAGGAATGACTAGAACCATTTCAGTCACCATTCCCAAGGAATCATTTCTTCCTTCTAATGACAATTCTAAGTTCACATAGCTTGAAGAACAGTGCCCCATGGTGACAGCAGAACCATTGCTGAGACCAATGTTTTCAACTTCAGCAGTTTCAGAGTCAACCTGGATCCCAGAAGCACACTGGCCATCATTTAACCAGTGCCTCCTCCAAGAGACAGTTAGAGAGGCTGTTCCTTAGAAGGGCATCCTAAGAGACTTACGTGTGTACTGTGCAGTGGAGTTGGGGTCCCCCCAGACGTGGTCCACTTCTGGAGAGATGGTGATGTTATATAAGGTGCCCGGAATCAGGCCCTGGAGAGTAATCGCTTTGTCATACGTGCTTGTGTGGTTAGAGCCATGCTTGGACTCTATGACTAAATGGTAGACATACTCGGAAGCACCGTCAGGGCTCTTCCAGTCCAGCCACATCTCCGTGGTGGTGACGTAGACCACGTGGATGTCAAACACTGCACTGGGAACTGCTCAGAAGAAAGGAAGGAGAAGGGAAAACTGTTACTATCATGACGCCCAGCTTCCTCTCCAAGTGCTGTCGAGAGGACCTGCTCTTTTGCCATTACGCTTTCTAATGAGTTCACAAAAGGCACACTCCAAAATCGAGCTGAGAAATGCACACACTCAGTGCTCTCAAGAATTTCAGCTCTTCTGTGACGCACATGAACTTCCCAGTTTATCTTACCAGTTCTCCAGTTTTTTGTTGTTGTCTTAAAAATGAGCCCTTAGGCTGGGTGCAATGGCTCATGCCTGTAATCCCAACATTTTGGGAAGCCGAGATGGATCACTTGAGGTCAGAGGTTCGAGACTAGCCTGGCCAACATGGTGAAAACCCATCTCTACTAAAAATACAAAAATTAGTTGGGTGTGGTGGTACACGCCTGTAATCCCAGCTACTCGGGAGGCTGGGGCACAAGAGTCGCTTGAACCCAGAAGGCAGAGGTTGCAGTGAGCCGATATCACACCACTGCACTCCAGCCTGGGCGACAGAATGAGGCTCTGTCTCAAAAAAAAAAAAAAAAAAAAAAAGGCCAGGCGCGGTGGATCACGCCTGTAATCCCAGCACTTTGGGCAGCCAAGGCAGGCGGATCACCTGAAGTCGGGAGTTTGAGACCAGCCTGACCAGCATGGAGAAACCCCGTCTCTATCAAAAAAAGTACAAAATTAGCCGGGCGTGGTGGTGCATGCCTGTAGTCCCAGCTACTTGGGAGGCTGAGGCAGGAGAATCACTTGAACCCGGAAGGCAGAGGTTGCAGTGAGCCAAGATCGCGCCATCGCACTCCAGCCTGGGCAACAAGAGCGAAACTCCATCTCAAAAAAAAAAAAAAAAAAAAAGCCCTTCAAGGGGTCATCTGAAGTGGAAATCACATTCAGTTTTTTTATATGGGTGCTGGTAACAAGATGTGTTCAGTTTGTAAAAGTTCATGAAGCTATGTGCTGAGGATACATCCCTTTTCGGTATGTATATTATATCTCAATAAAGAGGTTTTTTTGTTTTGTTGTGTTTTTTAAATCAGTCACTCAGAAGGAAACATCTTCCCGTGACACAGCCTTACATACCAAAGAGGAAAACTGAAATGGAGAGCTGACCTTTACTAAGTTGCAGCATTTGAGGACGGATGAGGAAGGGAAGAAAACAGGCACACCCTGCACCTTCAGAGCAGAGTCAGAAATGGAATCTCCCACAGGAGCCCATCCTCCGATCATCTCCCGCTGCCCACTCAGCCACCTGCACCAGGGATGCCTACATAGAGGCCCGGAAGTAACCGCGGAGGCTGGGCCTATTTTCTACCGCGGCTTTCAACCCTGTCTCTCTTTACCTGGCAACAAACGTCACCTCCAGGGAGAGGAAATGGGCAGGTAGGGGACAAAAAAGGGAAATGCTTTCACTGCAAACACCTTGTCCAAAAAACAAAAAAAATTGTGCCATGTTTACGTACTATCTACTCCAAAATTAATTTTTTTTTTAATTTTAAGTGGATTCTCCTTACAGAGAAGCCACTGGGAGGAGCCTTTGTTTCCTACCAGCAGATTCCTGATGTCAAAGGGATTCCACAGACAAAAGCCCATGAAAGGCAGCCTTTGTCTATAAACATAAAAACCTAGAAACAACCTAAATATTCAATAACATGGGGAGGGCTGTGGGCACTGTGATCTGGCTGCATGATGAAATACTCTTTAGCCACTAAAAATATGAAGGCCATGCTAACTATAGGGGAAAGTTGTGGTATAGACTGAGTAAAAAGAAATTCAAATACAAAATAAAAGTATTTGTATAATAATTACAGTATACAAGCAAAATGTATGACTGTGGACACAGAGAGAAAAGGAATTCAGTTGGGTTAGAAAAATAGAGATATTTGTTCCTTTTCATTTTTATTGTGGTAAAACATACATACCATAATATTTATCATCTTAACCATTTGTCAGTGTACAATTCGGTATCATCAATATTCACAATGTTGTGTAACTATCACCACTACCTGTACCCAAAACACTGTCATTATCCCCAGCATAAACTGTAGCCATTAAACAATAATGCCCACTCCCTCCTCTGAACAGCCCCTGGTAACCTCTATTCTAATTTCTGTAGAATATTAAGTTGCCTAATCTAGGTACTCATGTAAGTGGAATCATCCAGTATTTGTCCTTCTGTGTCTGGCTTCACTTAGCATAATGTCCTCAAGATCCATCCATGTTGTACCATAAATCAGAATTTCTTTCTTTCTTATGGCTGAATAGTATTTTGTTGTATGGATGAACCACATTTTATCTATCCATTCATTTGTTGATGGGATCTTGGGTCCACCTTTGGCTACTGTGAACAATGCTACTACTATGAACACTGATGTACAAATAACTGTCCAGGGGCCTGTTTTCAATTCTTTTGGAGATATACATAGGACTGGAATTACTGGATCATATGGTATTCGTTTCCTTTTTTTGAAATTGCTTTTAATGCTGTTAAGCTGACTTTTTCCAATAACAATAAAGGTTATTTGATAATAGAAAGGTAACCCCCCTAAGAGTTTAGATCTTATAGCAAGCCTTCTTGACTTTCATTCAATGGGACCATTGAATGAAACGGGTCCTTTGAGACAATGCAATTCCAGGCAGGTGTTAAAATTACCCTGTAGAAATACTGATATTAAGAGGAAAGAATATTCACAATAAACTATAGTAAAAGAGATGCCCTCTCCTCACTAATACTAAACTTTACTGCTGTACCACATCAAAGTGTCAATCTACATGGTGGTTAAGCACTTGGTCTTAGACAGCAGACACAGGTCAGTTTGCCACCTTGTCACTCTGGGCCAGTTACTTAAGTTTGCAGAGCCCCCATTTCTTACTCTGTAAGACAGAAATGATAATAATACCTGCTCCATGAAGTTGTGTTAAAAATGTAAAATGCAGTATGAGAGCACTCAGCACTTCGCAGACCCCCAGCATATTATATTATTGTTACAGTAAGTTCTGGGCAATAGCAAGTAGCACAACATCATGCATCTCCCTCAGTGGTGATCCTCTTACCATTATCCACATCCTTAAAAGACAGAAGAAACATGTTGACGTTAAGACGTCATGTCAACAGTCTGAAATGCAGATTTGCAAAGGGAATACTGCATTTCATCTGAGGGATGCATTTTAGTAGATCCCTTATTTCAGAAGCAGATCCTCTGAGTGACTATCGGTGCTTAACCCAACCAGCACAGTTGAAGAAGCTTCTTCAAGGAGAATCTCAAAAGCGTAACTCATTTCATGTGTGTTTCAAGGAATCTGTCCCATTTCTTTTATATATATATATATGTTTTTATTATACTTTAAGTTCTAGGGTACATGTGCACAACGTGCAGGTTTGTTACATATGTATACATGTGCCATGTTGGTGTGCTGCACCCATTAACTCATCATTTACATTAGGTATATCTTTATTCTACCCTCTGTATAAAAGATTTCAACTATCTTGAATCTTAGATCAAGGAAGACTGTATGTTTTTCAACCTTTCCAAAAAACAATTATTTCAAAATTTTAAAACAACAATAATGAACATTACTCTCTAGGATTTCCCAGAAGTTTCTCCTGTAGGCCTAGAAATAATTTAATAATTTAAACTGTTTCTATAAAAAAAAATTTTTTTTTGAGACAGGGTCTCCCAGGCTGGTGCTAGTCTGCAACTGTTGGGCCAAGCAATCCTCCTGCCGCAGCCTCTCAAGTAGCTGGGACGATGGGTGCAGGCCACCGTAGCTGACTATAAAATGATTTTATCAATTTCAATTAGCCTTCTAGAACTAACAAAGTATCTCATCACAGTGTTGTTTAGGAAAGACTGTGAACAGTCCACCTGCCCAACACAGCACAGTAGTTAATTTCTAACACATCTTGACCAGAGGTTCTTAAACTTTTTGCTCTCAGGACTTCTTTACCATCTTAAAAGTTATTAAGGCTCTCAGAGAATTTGTATTTACATAGGTTATATTTATTAATATTTACTATATCAGGGATTTAAAATGAAGAAATTTTTAAAATGTAAGAATCCACAGCATATATTCCATTAGACCTGAGAGACAATGTCATCCCATATCGGATCAAAGTTGGAAAACTCCAAAAGAGAATGAGAATGAAAAAGCCAAATAACATTTTAGTATTGTTATGATAATACTACCTTGGAGACCCCTTGAAAGAACCTAGGGATCCCTAGAGAGCCCTGGACCACAATTTGAAAACCACTGATCTAGCCCAGAGGTCAGCAAACATTCTCTGTAATGGCCAGAAAATAAATATCTCAGGCTTCACAAGCCACACGTTCTCTGCTGCCACTACTCAATTCTAGCACCAAAGTAGCCATAGACAGTACATAAGCAAATGAACATGGCTGTGATCCAATAAAACTTTATTTACAAAAACAGACAATGAGCCAAATTTGGCATAGGGGCCATTCTTATCTGCCAACTCTGTTTCAGATGATGGAATTCCAGGCAGGTGTTCAAATCATCCTGTAGAAATATTTTATTAAGAGGAAAGAATATTCATAATTAATTGGCAAGTTGGGGAAAAGGCAGATTACAAAACCACATGTACAGATGGCCTCAATGTTTGTGAAAGAAATAAATATATATTTGTGGGCTGGGTGCAGTGGCGCACACCTGTAATCCAAGCACTTTGGGAGGCTGAGGTGGGCAGATCATTTGAGATCAGGAGATCAAGACCAGCCTGGCCAATATGGCGAAACCCTGTCTCTACTAAAACTATAAAAATTAGCCAGGCATGGTGGTGCACACCTGTAATTCCAATTACTCAGGAGGCTGAGGCACAAGAATCGCTTCACTTGAACCCAGGAGATGGAGGTTGCAGTGAGCCAAGATCATGCCACTGCACTCCAGCCTGGGTGACAGGGTAAGACTGTCTCAAAAAAAAAAAAAAAAAAAAAAAAAAATATATATATATATATATATGTGTGTGTGTGTGTGTGTGTATTAAATATTAAATATATATGTATTAAATATATGTATACTCACACATATATTTGTGTATCTATATGTATATGTTTAAAAATTGTAAAATGTCATACATCAAAAGTGATTATCTCTGCTTGATGGTTTCCATGTAAGTTTTTTCTACTTACTTGTCTGTATTTCATATAATAAATAAGCATTAGTGTTATGAAAATTTTTAAAGTTTTTTCTTAGATAATTAAAAGAAAAACAATATTTGGAAACATTATGTTTATTAATTATACTGATTTCCTTTAAGAAACATGATGGTTTAACAGAAAAGCCTATTTGCTTACCAGTTCTATTGCAAACTGTCCGAGATGCCCCTTCAGTCCCATTTGGTCCTTTTGGAACTATTTCAAAGCAATACTTGGTTCCAGGGAACAAGCCACCAATGATAATACTTTGGTTGGTGGTTATTTCTACCCGAGAATTGCCAGCTCCCTCCTGTGTGATATGCATCTGAAATGATTCTGCATCATGGCTGCTCCATGCTAAGCCGATCTCCGTCGTGCTGACCACTGTCACTCGGAAGTCAGAAACTGGAACAGGGGCTATGCAAAGAAAGTAAACAACTAGATTAAAAATATACTTCTCCAGGAGACAGGGATGCCCCACCTCAGAAAATACTGAGATGAAATGTACACTTAGGACACCTGATCCCTCTCTCTGTCTTCTTTGTATCATCACCTACAACATGAGCCCCTCAGAAACTGCTGTTTCTGGCCATGGAGAGAGCACTTGATCATGAGAGTGCAGAAGCTCTGTGCTTACATTGCACACAATCATTCACAGGAAATGAGAGGAGGCGTGAGCTCCTGTGGTCAAGGGCTCAGGCTCTGGAGGAGAACCTTGGCCACACTGGCTGCTTTATCTCGAATGCATTACTAGCCTCCCAGAGCCTCTGTTCAGGGAGGGACAGCAGAGAGAGACCAGTCTTGACCCCCAAAATCCATTCCCCCATTTTCCCTTCATCATACCCACCCAGATTTTTAGCCCTGTGTGTGCATACCTGTTGGAAACAAAGACCACATTTCCCAGCTCCCATGGAGCTAGATGTTGCAATGTGACTAAGTTTTGCTCAACGAAGCATGAGCAGAGGTACTGGGTGACTTCTAGGAAGTGTCCTTTAAGGGTGGGGCACAACCTTCTGCCCTTCCTCCTTCTTATACCTGTAGTGTGGATGCAATGACTGGAGCTCACGCTGCCTGGCTCTAGAACCAAAACCTCAGCGGTGGCTGCAGCTTCCTGATCCCAGGATCACAGCTCAGAACATAGACCCCTGGATCCCGCAACTACAGCAGAGACTTCCTGATTCCTCCCTCTGCTGTCTGTGACCAAGGTGGTGACTCTCCAGGGGGTCAGTTCTGCAGACTTAGTCCAGGAGTCATTTCTTGGGGCGAGGCCTAAAGCCTGCTCCTCAACTGTTATGAGCTGACTTGTGCTCCCTCACCCCCAAATGTGTATGTTTATGTCCTAACCCCCAAGACCTCAGAATGTGGCTGTCTTTGGAGACAGGGTCTTCAAAGAGGTAATTAAGTTAATGTGAGGTCATGAAGGTAGGCCCTAATCCAGCAAGACTGGTGTCCTTATAAAGGGAGATGAGGGCATAGGCACACGCAGACTAAGGACAACCATGTGAGGGAGAAGACAGTCATCTATAAGCCAAGAGGGAGGCCTCAGAAGAAACCACACCTGCCGTTGCCTTAATCTTTGACCTTCAGCCTCCAGAACTATGAGAAAGTCTATTTCTGTTCAAGCCACACAGCCTTTGGTACTTGTTCTGGTAGCCCTAGCAAACTAATACACCAGCTCTTCCAATGATTCTGCAAAACCTCAATTCCCAGGATAAATCCCTTTTGGTTAAAATAGCTCACAGTTTCTGTTTCATACAACTGAGCCTTGGATAACCTCTATCATCCCCATCCTGCCTAGCACTGGGCTTCTGTTACAGGAGAGAGAAATAAACCCCTGTCTTGTTTAAGCCACGGATACTTGGGTTTTGTTGTTGTTGTTTTTGGTGGTGTTATTCGTGGCTGAACCTAATCCTAACTAATAAATAGTAAAAGAGTAAAAGGTAAAGAAATGCAAGCATATTTCATTTTCCCAAAGATCCAGTCCAAAATACATCTATAAGAATGCTAAGGTGTGCTTCCTGCGAAGGAATGGACATTCTTGTGGGATAAGCCTGGGTCCAGAGCCACACACCCCTGAGTTCAAGTCCTGCTCTGCTACTCACTAGCTCTGTGGCTTTGGGCAAACTGTTCAGCCATCAGGGTGTCATTTCCTCATCTGTAAAAGGGGACCCCAATACCTACCTCGGAGGCCACTACAGTGTCTATAAATCTCATGGCACAGTGCAAAATGCAGTGCTGGTGTCACTACTATTGTTTAATAGTATATAATCAATATTATACCACTGTACTACTAGTGCACCATTACTGTTTTATTTTACATTATCGGACCTTCTTTGAAACCTAAAGCTTTTTATTTGCTGCATAAAATCTTATTTTTAAGGGACATTTAAACAAACAAAGATGAGATACAGCTGTGCCAGTGATTCGTTATAATGTCAGCACCCAAGACACAAGGGGATATGAATACCAGGTCATTTTTGTCTCCCTGTATCAATTCACTCTAGGTCTCCTCCACACTGGAAAGAGAGTTACAAGCGCAGGCTCCAGGTGAGAAATACCAGAGGCTTAATCTCACCTCTGCCACTTTCCAGCTGTGATACCTGTCTAGCACCTCTCTCAGCCTTGGCTTCCTATCTATAAAATAAGGCTACTTCCAACCACATCACAGGGCTGTTGTGAGCATACAATGTGCCAGTGCAAGGAAAGCATGTCACACGAAGCTTGGCGTGTGGTCAGCCAACAGTCACCATTACTACATCATGCATCCTGTGTCTGGGCCTGGCACGGAGCAGGACAGCAGGAAAGGGTGGTGAGAGCCAGGCATGAACTCACGGGTGTGCACTTGGAGGAAGCCCGGCGTGCCCTCGATGTCACCTAGGACAGGACACACTGTGATGTTGTAGAAGGTGCTGGAGCGGAGTCCGGGGATGACAGCGCGAGGCTCACTGACGTTGAGATTGGAAGAATCTGTCTCCCCCGCCACATGTATCTTGTAGGTATAGTTAGATGACGACTCGTTATCGCTGACTTTCCAGATCAGGGTCAGGCTTGTGGCACTGATGTTCACAGCGGTGACGTCAAAAACCTGAATAGCATCTGTGAGAACACAAGAGGAGTTCAAAATAACCAGAACGGCCAAGGCAGAGGGAGGGAGAGGTCATCAGGGCATGCTGTCAAGCCCAGCAAACTCTCCTGGGGGAGTGTTCCTTCCTCCTCTGCACCATCAACCGTGGCTAGGAAAGCATGACGGTCCCAGCCAAAGTCAGGCATCATTGGGCGGTGAAGAAACAACCTGGCCAATGGCACCTGCAGGGTTATTCTTTGTTCCTTTTTGTAAGTTGACTTTAGAGATTTGACCTAAATGATGACTTGGACTCTATGCATGTCTTACCCTAGGGCCAGGGGCACCCAGAAAAGTTGTCAAACACACATGATGCAAGAGCGAACACTGCGATCTATGTGATCGCCCGAGATCACAGAAGTCAGGACGAGGCAGGCCTGGGTTCCAGGGCTCACTCTGCTATGACACCCAGGTGGGCCACAGGAAAACCACTTGAGCTCAGCTTCCTCACCTATAAAACTGGAGAGCAATCCTAACCTCAAGAAAAGATAACCCGAGTGCCAGTTATTCACCACCTGCCCACTCCACCCTCCCGACATATCCACTGCCCTTCCCTCACCTGCTCTGGGCCCAGGAGGCTGACCTTGTGCAAGGCATCATGGGGGGTCTTGCCACATGGGCTGTGACCGGGTTCCACTATGAGCCAATGGGCAGGCCCCTGAAGGGCCACAGGAGAAAGGAGTCAGTGCCTTCCTCCATCACCTCCTGCTCTGGGCCTCCTGTCCTGACACAGCTGTGTCCACCACTGCCCCAGCTCTCACTGGGCTCCAGAAACACCCTGTCCTCCTCTAGCCCTTCAGCCCTAGAGGTGGCTTTCTGTCGTGTCTTGGGTGCCTCAACAATGTCCTCTGATGGTTTCCTTAACCCTGCCCCACCTAACTAGTCACTTGAAAAGTGCAGGGTGCTCTGGGGTGGGTGGAAATGTGTGTTTATCTGTGTGTGTGTGTGTGTGTGTGTGTGTGTGTGTGTGTGTGTGTGTTGCAACAGACTGAATGTTTCTGTCCCCATAAAATTCCTATGTTGAAATTGTAACCCCTGATGTGATGCTTTTAGGAGGCGGGGCTTTTGGGAGGTAATTAGATCATGAATTACCTCCCTCCTGAATGGTATTAGTGCCCTTATCAAAAAGGCTGGAGAGAAACCACGCCCTCACCCCTTCAACCACGTGAAGACCCAGGGAGTCTGCAACCTGGAAGAGGAAGAGGGTGTTTCACCCGGAGCCCAGGCATGCTGCACCCCAGTCTCAGACTTCCAGCCTCCAGAACCCTGAGAAATAAATGTTCATTGTTTACGCCATCTAGTGCATGGCCATTTGTTACAGCAGCCCAAACTGACTAAGACTTATCTATACACACACACTCGCCCCTTATAGAGAGGGAAAGGCTACTATAATGATTATTTACCAAGCATGAAGACAGTTCAACCCAAAGCAGGATGTGTGTGAATTCACACCACCAAGAGCCTGAGATGTAATCACTACTACTTTGCTTTTGCTCAAACTGCTTTAAAAAGCAGGGACCCCAGGCCCACACAAATCTACAAGTCCTTTTAGCAAATCAGTCAAAGGGACCTTCCCCTGGCTGGACCCAGCCCTGGGTGCATGGCTTGACGCAGGGCACACAGACCAGATTTCAGCCCCTTTCACTCTCTCACGCAAGCTTACCATGTGCAGGACACCCCACCACTGCCAACCGCACCCACATAGGAGCCCCTTCCTCCTCCTCCAACTAACCCACCCTCTGGAATCCAAGCCCTCCTCACCCGAGAGCCTCCCACCTGCCACTCCTGCCAGGTCACTGCAGGCCCCATGAGGTCAGGCAGCCTGTCCTACGGCCGCATCCTCCCCACCCACTCCCACATTAGCAAAACAAGTACAAAGGGAAGGAAGGACACAAATGGACCCTCCTTCAACATGGATACCAGGAAAAACTGTCATTCCTTACAGAATGGCTTCTCACCAATGTCTTGCCAAAACTTCTAGCCCTGTACAAGTAACACAGCCTGGCCAGTAACTACCTCTAAGTATTCCCAAATGTGTTCACCTCCCGCTCTTTTCACCAAAGCCTCCAAATATTGGTGAACTTACAGAGTGAAAGTGCTGATAAATTATAGCGAGGAAGCAGCAATGTGCATGTCAACAAGCATTTCAACAGAAAGATCGGTATGAATTACAAGGCGGGTGAAAAAATGAAACTCACTTTCATAACTTTCTTAACTCAAAGCAAAGGAAAAACAAGCAATGATTATTTGTTTTTAAGAGGAAAGTATGATGCCAGTTTGTCTCATCAGCCACCACGCAAAGCTGTGAAAGATGGCGTGAGGCAGTGCCTGGTGCCCGCACACAGGGGCTGCTCCATGTATTTGATTTCACTTAATGAGAGATGTGCACTGCCCATGGAGTTAAGAAGAAACTGAGCAGATCTGCTCTGTCCAAAATCTCCTCCAGGAAGCTCCCTCTGACATCAAAACTAGCTGTTATGCAAGAAATCACTCAGAATCAGAATCACAGGAGACAGAACATTGTGCTAGGAAACTCTGGCTGCCACCATTTTACAAAGTTCAACCTACTTGTCCTGAACTCTATGGCCTGGGGCTGTCCTTCTGTGCCATTCGCTGCTTGGGAATAAACGGTGGCATTGTATCGGGTGCCAGGCTCTAACCCGACAAGCAGGACTTCCGTGTCTCGGGACTGCTGGCCGGAGGATGGGTCCACAGGTCCCACGAGGGACTCATCATGCACAGGGGCGGTGGGGCTCCCTGCCCGGCTTCTCTCTGTATTGCTGGCATCTGTTTCAAGCACAGGAGACAAAAAGACATCAACCACAAGAGGGACACATCCCCCATTTTCCTTCGGAGCCCCAACCCCATCAGATGGCCATCAGACAGTGGCCACAGTTGGTGCTCCATCAATATCTGCTCCCTTCCTCCTCCAGAGAGAGAGGCAGCCCCATAAAAAGGCCTGATAGCTCCATCTCCATTTGTACTGTTATTCCAGTAGCACCACAGATATCTGGTGCTTCTCTTTCAAACTCTGCTTATTTCAGGTCATTCTCCCTTCTTTGGGTTGTTATCTTCTCCTGTCCCAGCATGGATTTCCAGGGACAGCTCTGTGAAGCAGACTTTGCTAATCAGACCCCACTCAAGACACGTTTCCCTGGACCAGACCCTGGTTGGTGGGGCAGCTGGCTGGTGGGGCAGCTGCAGGGTGTGAAACAGGAGCAGCTGGGCTCCTTAAGTGTGCAGAGGGAGCTGCTCTGAGAATGAAGCTGATGAACAGAAAGAAGCAAGAGGGAGGGATGAGAATTGCCTCATCTCTTTCTCTAAGGCCTCCCGCTAGCAGGAAAATCCACATGAGCCAATAAATTGTTCCTTCTGTCTGAGCTATCCAAAGTCTGGTTTCTGTCACTCGCAAGCAAGGATCCTGACACCCACTCTGTAGCTCTGTTTTCTTAAGTATAAAATGCAGATTAAGTGCCTGTCCTCCTCATGGAGTTATCCTGGGGATCCTCTGCAAATGCTATGAAACCTGCAAATGACAACGCCAACATCAACCAGCAGACGTGATAAGTTCCTCTGAAGGCCCAACTTGGGTTGACACAGCTGTTAGATAGAAAGCTAAAGGGGCCTCTAACTTTCCTGGGTGCCAGACTCTAAAAAGTTTCAATTCCTATTGCTGTTCTCAGCCCCAATGTGTTCCCCTGTAAAATCAGAACACGTTTCCTTCCTTCCTCATGCAGGTGGGGGATCAAACTAAAATGTGGAGGAAAAGCCCTTTATAAATTCTAAATCTCCATACACATGGAAGAGCAATTTATTTTTTAGAACATTTAGTTACTGAAAGTAAGAACCAGTAAGGGAGACGGAAGGTACCCTTTGTAACTCACCCAAGCCACCTTCTGTGCCCAAGGGGTCTCCCTTTGTCTTATTTGATTGTAGAAGATACGGGTTGATGTTGTATTGAACCCCTGGCTTCAGGCCCGAGATATTGACCTGAAGTCTTGAGTCTTGAGTCAACTCCTCATGGCTTCCAATGCTTTCAAGAAGAACCCGGCAGGAGGCAGTGCCATTGCCATTGCTCCAGGAGAGAGCAGCCTTCCTCACACCCGTGAGGGCAACACGGAGATCAGAAACTGGGATCGGCTCTATTTTAAAAATACAACATGCATTAATGGAACAAGATATATGCAGTCACCTTCATTAAGAATGACTGGGGTTCAGTGCTGGGAGCGGGTTTTAAAAGAAAAAAAGAAAGAATGACTGAGGTCACTGATGTCCCAATGTGACTCACTAAAAATACTTCCTTTCTATCAGAGCCCAATGCATTTCCATCATTTCACAGCAGGGCTGGGGGAGAAAATAATAACACGGAAGAGAAGAAAAAAACCTTAAAACTGAAATTGTTTAGGATCCACACTGTTCTCCAAGATTAACCCCAATAGTGACTGGACACTCTTCTAAACTGTCCCTTTTAAATGGTAGCATTTAATTGTATGTGTTTTAGATATCAGGAACAAAGCCTCAAATAAAGTGACTGTTTACTAATCTAAAGGTCTCAATTCAAGATAATGCAAATAATATCATTTTAAATTACCAAGACATTTCAAGTAAGCAGCACATTCAATATCCCAGCACCAAGGGGATTTTTCAGAAGACGTTCCATCTCCACTATATCCTGGACCTTCCTCCCATCGCGTTATTTGGTTGATGGTGACATAAGTCAAACCACTTCACCCAAAATGACATGCACTCCCCTCACTTTTCCAATAAGAACACGAAGACCCAGAGAGGCAGGGGGGCTTGCTCAAGAACACACACTCCTGGTAGCAGTGGGGACAGGAGAACCCAGGGCTGCAGCTTCATGTACAGAAAAGCACAGGTAGTGCTGCAGATAGAGCAAAACCCCTCCTGAGGGCTGCAGGGGCCTGAAGGTAAAGACATCGGCCTAGATGATTCTAAGGCACCGTCCAGCTCCGAAACGGTAAGATGATTCTTCACAGCACATGTCTCTCATGCAAAGAGTTCTAAATCAGGTCAGTCATGCGTCTTTTTGTTTTATTAAGTAATGCAGAACCAATAAATTCCCAGCTCGGTGACTGTGGATAGCTGTTATGAACATCACTGCACCACAGTGGTCTAGAGTTAGACTCCGGGTTCCAGCCCCACCACTTGATACTCAGTAACTCTGAGACACCGGAAGAAACTTAACTTCTCCACATTACAGTGTCTTCTGCTGCAGCCCCCAGGGTTACTGTGAGGACAAAATAACATTAAGGACAGAGAGGCACATGTGCCGTGCTCAATACGCAGCAGCTGATGGACCTGCTCCCATGCAGCCCTGTGCTCAGGGCTTTAAGCTAGATAAGGACACTCAGCCCCTCTACCGGTGCTTCCTGCACCTCCGCATCCCCTTTCCCACAGCCACCCCCTCGGGGTCACCTTGTCCTCATGACCATTTCCAAGTTCTATGCTCTTTTCTCTCATTCTCTTCTCTTCTGTCATCTCTCTGTGCTCTCCTTTCCCTCTCTTTCACAATGTAACAGAGCAAACCTTTATGGCAGGTTTTCCCCCCTAAAATAGTGCTCTGAGGAGCTCCAGGAGTTTTGTCAGGGTGCCCGTGACTCCCATTTCTTTGGCTCTTTTCTCTCCAGTTTTTTATTTTTACTTTTTGGGCTCCTGGGCAAGGTTTTGTTTAAAGAAATAGTTTCCTGACTTAAAATGTCGGAAGCCACTGGTTTCATATTTGCTGCTCCACGCTGGACCTCGTTCACCTCCAGCCGTGGGCTCCAAGAGCTCAGGCGCCCATGGCCGACTCCAGCCCCTGAGATCACACTCCCCAGCCCCCTAGATCAGAAAACTAACAGAGGACCTCTTTCTTCAATTTTTGGTTCTCCTCACCTTAAAAAAGTTTCTCCACCTGTTTTTTAAAATGTTTGGTTCTTTTCAGCTTAAAAAAAAAGCTAAGTTTGCAGCTATAATAGATGGCTTCGGTATTGACATCTAAGATAAATCAAAATCTAAACTGTCAAATCTGAATTAAAATTTAAATATCATCAAACTCTTATTTCATTTGAAACACACACTCCCCTATAAAATACACCAAACTTTCCTGCCCAACAGAAACTCCTGGGAATATAAACACAGCATCAATTTCCTGGGAGCTTAAAAGGCTGGTAATTACCATGAAGACACGCGTTTTTAAGGAAGTCTCTACTCCTGAGTCTTAACAGAAAGGTAGGTGTTAACCAACAATAACAAAAGATTTTAAAAACCAAACAGAAGTAGTTAGAACTTCCCAAAACACATAGGGCCTTAATACTGAATGATGTGGCCACCAGAAATCCCAGGCTTGAAACAACATAGCACCTTTTCTCCTCTTCTAGTTTATGAAAACCATTCTCTTTCCAACAGGCAACTTGAACGGACAAGGCCCTAGAATACACCATAATAAGAAATGGTTTGTCATCATCCCTGGGAGCCAGTCATCTTACCTGTGATGACTTTTATGACTCTGGGATCTCCCCAAGTCTCATTGCCTATTCCTGGAGTGATGGAGAATACATATGAAGTCGCTGGACGTAAGCCTGTGATGTTACACCATGGTTGATGCACAACAGTAATTGTCTTCTCATTTTCCATCTTATGCTTTACTACATACTTGTACTCAGAAGCAGCTGTGTCATTACTTTTCCAAGTTAAGATCACATTGGTTGGACTGATGGAAACAGCTTTAATGTCAAACACAGGACTGGGCCCTATATTGTTAAAAAAAAAAAAAAAATTATTGCACTTCAAAAAGAAATGTAAGAGTGAGGTCTGCTCTATATGTCTAGTTTCCAGAAGTGACTTTCCAATCACAGAGTTTTATCTCTCTTTGCCTCCTAGACTTCCCTGCACCAGAATTTATTTAAATCCATATGCATACATGTATGTGTGTATGTTAGTAAAACAGAAGCCTTTGGAACAGAAGCAAAACTGACAGAAGTTGACCATGCTGGCTGTGACTTAAAAATGGGGTTAAGTCTGTATAGAAGCTGATACAAAAAGAGACCAAACTTTAGGAGGTCAAGGCGGGTGGATCACCTGAGGTCAGGAGTTCAAGACCACCCTGGCCAACATGGTGAAACCCCACCTCTACTAAAAAAACAAAAAAAACAAAAAAAAATTAGCTGGGTGTGGTGGCAGTCACCTGTAATCCTAGCTACTCGGGAGGCTGAGGCAGTAGAATCACTTGAACCCGGGAGGTGGAGGTTGCAGTGAGCCAAGATCGCGCCACTGCACTCCAGCCTGGGCGACAAGACCGAGACTCCATCTCAAAATAAAAAAGAGAGATCAAAGATGCAAAATGAGTCCCTCTCCCCATTCTCAGAAAACGCTGCATGACGCAGAAGCACATGATAACTTTTTTGCCAAACCCTGACATCTAGAAGGAAGCTCAGTGGTTTTCTGACATAAAGATAGCAGGGACAGAGCAGCGTAAAGAGAAAAGGACTGGTCTTGGAACCCAGATCTGGGATTAAAGACCTGCTCCATCCATTAGCTGTGTGACCTAGAATTAGTCCCTTCAAACCTCTCAGTCTCAAGTTTCTCTGTTGATAGCTCTAGTACACCACACTAAACACGAAGAATTATTATTGAACCACCATGATATGATAAACAAGGGACAAGATTTGGACATTAGAAATCTGGTTTCAGGGTCCAATTCTGCTAGTTGCTCACCATGCAATTTTACTCAAAGTCATCTCACCTCTCTGAACCTTAGTTTCATCATCTTAGATGTACAAGATCGTAAACCAGTGGAAGCCATCAGGGTTACTAACTGTAAAACTACCAAATGGATGCATCCTAATTGAGCTGAAGACTGAGGAGTAACAACCAGAAACCGAAGAGTAAAACCCAGGTGATACGGCAGTCATTCTCAAGGAGCTTGGGACTAATCCCAAAAGAGTAAAGATGGTGTAAGTGTTACCATCTTGCTATGTGCATGGACAGTGTGCCTCATCTGGCTCATGGGATATACAAACATTCATCCAATCAATAAAAAAACTGCAGGAAGCCAGGCACACTGGCTCATGCCTGTAATCCCAGCACTTTGGGAGGCTGAGGCAGGCAGATCAGATCACTTGAGGTCAGGAGTTCGACACCAGCCTGGCCAACATGGTGAAACCCCGTCTCTACCAAAAATACAAAAATTAATTGGGCATGGTGGCAGCCACCTGTGATCCCAGCTACTCGGGAAGCTGAGGCAGGAGAATCACTTGAACCCAGGAGGCAGAGTTTGCAGTGAACCAAGATCACACCACTGCACTCCAGCCTGGGCAACAGAGCAAGACTCTGTCTCAAAAGAAAAAATAAATAAATAAGGCAGGAGAATAAACAAGAGAAAGGAAAATGGAACAAGCAGGGAAGCATCTTGTGCCCCACAATTCAATAAACGTCATGCCAGAAGGCCCCTCCAAGCTTGAATTTCCTCTTTATAAAGTGACAAGTTCACAGAGTCAGAGTGGCATATTTGGAAGATGACCACTGTGCTTCCATTTACAATCAATAACAATGATGGTGACGAGGATGATGAAACAACATCAGTTACAGTGGTGCAGGTAGCAAGAACAGCAGCACTCCTTTTGAGAGGCCGTCCATGTCCCAGATGCTGTACAAGTATGTTCTCATTTATGCCTCACAACAACTTCATGAGAAAGGTATGGCACCATTATTTCTTTTTTTTTTTTTTTTTTTTTTGAGACGAAGTCTTGCTCGTCACCCAGACTGGAGTGTAGTGGCGTGATCTTGGCTCACTGCAACCTCTGCCTCCCGGGTTCAGGCGATTCTCCTGCCTCAGCCTCCCAAGTAGCTGGGATTAAAGGCACACACCATCATGCCCAGCTAATGTCACCATTTTAAAGAAGGAGAAATGTGTTAAGAACTAAATTTTGTTGATTCATACAGGGATTCTGGGAAGGTTTTGGAAAAGCAAGTTCTTAAGTTCAGAAAAGAAAGCACAGTTAACAATATTTTTTGGTCAAATGTTTTTTCTGCATCTACTGAAATGATTGTATGGTTTCTGTCCTCCATTCTGTTAATATGGTGTAGCACATTTATTGTTTTGCACAGGTTGAACCCTTTTTGTATTTCTAGGAAGAATCCCAGTTGATCATGGTGAATGATCTCTTTAATATGCTGTTAAATTAGGTTTGCTAGTATTTGGTTAAAGATTTTTGCATCTTGGCCTATAGTGTTTTGGGTTGTATCCTTGTCTGGTTTTCGTATCAAGGTAATACTGCTCTTGTTAAATGAGTTTGGAAGTATTCTCTCCTCCTCAATTTTTGGAAGCAATTGAGAAGAACTGTCATTAGATCTTCTTTAAAGGTTTGGCAGAGGACTGGGTGGCTCACACCTGTAATCTCAGCACTTCGGGAGGCCAAGGTGGTGGGGGTCACTTGAGGCTGGGAGTTCAAGAGCAGCCTGGGCAACACAGTGAGACCCCATCTCTACAAAAAAATTTTAAAAGTTAGCTGGATGTAGTGGTGCACACCAATAGCCACAGCTACTTGAGAGGCTAAGGCAGAAGGATCATTTCAGCCCAGGAGTTCAACTTACAGTGATCTATGATCACACCACTGTACTCCAGCCTGGGTGACAGAGGGAGTCACTGTCTCTTAGAATAACAACAGTAATAAATAGAAATGGGAGATGGTCTATTACTGATTCAATCTCCTAACTCATTATTGGATTATTCAGATTTTCTATTTCTTCATAATTCAATCATAGTAAATGGTATATGGCAAGGAATTTATCCATTTCTTCTAGGTTATCCAATTTGTTGGCATATAATTGTTCATAATTGTTCCTTTGTATTTCTGTGGTATCAGTTTATAATGTCTCATTTCTGATTTTCTTATTTGAGTAGCGTCTCTTTTTTCTTAGTCTAGCTAAAGCTTTGTCAATGTTCTTTGTTTTCAAAAAAACAACTTAGTTTATTGATCTTTTCTATTGTTTTTCTAGTGCCTATTTCATTTATTTCAGCTTTGACCTTTATTATTTTGTTCCTTTTACTAATTTGAAGATTAGTTTGTTCTTATTTTTCTAGTTCCTTAACGTGCTACATTAGGTTATTTACTTGAGGGTTTTGTTTTGTTTTTTTCAGACAGGCTCTCAAAACCCAGGCTGGAGGTATGAGCTTGCTTTTTTTTTTTTTTTTTTTTTTTTTTTTTTTTTTTGAGACAGAATCTTGCTCTGTTGCCCAGGCTGGAGTGCAGTGGTGCGATCTCGGCTCACTGCAATCTCTGCCCTCTGGGTTCAAGCAATTCTCCTGCCTCAGCCTTCCTAGTAGCTGGGATTACAGGTGTGTGTCACTACACCCAGCTAATTTTTGTATTTTTAGTAGAGACGGGGTTTCACCATGTTGGCCAGGCTGGTCTCGAACTCCTGACCTCAAGTGATCCGCCCATCTCGGCCTCCCAAAGTTCTGGGATTACAGGCACGAGCCACTGTGCCCAGGGAGCTTTCTTTTTTGATGTAGGAGTTTATTGCTGTCAACTTTCTTGGAAGGGCTGCTTTTGGTGTATCCCATAGGCTTTAGTATATTGTGTTTCCATTTTCATTTGCTTCAAGAAATTTTTAAATGTCCCTTTTAATTTCTTCACTGACCCATTGATTGTTCAGGGGCATTTGTGACAAAACAATTAACAATAGTTACTGTGGGAGATGGCAAGATCAGCATGACCCCTGCTGGGGACCTGCTGTAAGTGACCTGGGGACAGATCCTATACCAGGGGCTGTACAAGCATTTTCTAATTTATGTCTCACAGCAATTTCATGAAGGAGGTTATGGCACCATTTTAAAGAAGAAAAAGAAATATGTTAACAAAATTGCTTAAGAAGTGATGTTTGTCTCAAGATATTTTTTAGTTTCCCTTTTAATTTCATCATCAACCCATTAGTTATTCAGGAGCATGTTGTTTAATTTCCATATATCTGTGAATTTTCTTAAGTTCCTCCTGTTATTTATTTCTAGTTTGATGCCATCATCAGAAAAGATACTTGATATGATTTCACACTTCTTAAATCTGTTAACACTTGTTTTGTGGTCTAACATATGATCTACCTGGAGAATGTTCCAGGTGCAGTTGAAAAGTGTGTATTCTACAGCTGTTGGATGGAATGTTCTGTATATGTCTGATACATCCATTTGGTCTAAACTGTAGTTTAAGTCTGATGCTTCCTTATTGATTTCCTGTCTGGATCATTGTCCATTGCTGGAAGTAAGGTGGTGGAAGTCCTCTACTATGAATGCATTGCAGTCAATCTGTCCATTCAGATCCATTAATATTTGCTTTATATATTTAGGCATTCCAATGCTGGGTGCATATATATTTATAATTGTTAAGACCTCTTGATGAATTGATCCCTTTATCATTATAAAATGATGTTTGTTGTCTCCATTAAAAGTTTTGAACTTAAAGTCTATTTTATCTGACATAAGTATAGCTACTCCTGCCACTCTTTAGATTTCCATTAGCATGGAGTATCTTTTTCCATCCCTTCACTTTCAGTCTAGGCATGTCCTTGCAGGTGAGGTGAGTCTCTTGTAGACAGCATACTATTGAGATCGGTTTTTTTTTTTAACCCATTCACGCACTCTATGTCTTTTGATTGGAGAATTTAAACCCTTTACTTTCAAGGTTATTATTGATAGGTAAGAACTTACTACTGCCATTTGGTTGTTTTATAGACTCTTTGTTCCTTCCGTCCTCTCTTACTATCTTCCTTTGAGGTTAAGTGATATTCTCTAGTAGTATGTTTTGATTCCTTGCTTTTTATTTTTTGTGTATCTACTAAAGGTTCTTCTTTGTGGTTACCATGAGGCTTATAAAAAGAATCTTATAGTTATAACAGGTTATTTTATGCTGATGACAACTTTGATCACACACACAAATTGACCTCTACACTTCTAGTCCATTCCCCACTCATATTATGAATTGTTTATGTCACCATTTACATCTTTTTATATTGCATATCCCCCCTGCAAGTTATTGTAGTTATTATTTTTTAAGTATTATCTTTTAACTTTCATATTAAAGATATGTATGACCATTACAGTATTCATGTATTCTGAATTTGACTGTGTATTTATTTTACTAGTCTTATCCTTTCATATGTTTTCAATTAATCACTAGTGTCCTTTTCTTTCAGCTTAAAAACTCTCTTTAGCATTTCTTATAAGACATGTCTAGTGGTGATGAACTCCCTCAGCTTTTGTTTCTCTGGTAAAGTCTTTTATCTTGCCTTCATTTTTGATGGCCAGTTCTGCTGGGTATAGCAATCTTGGTTGGCAGGTTGTTTTCCCTCAGCATGGTGAATATATCATCCCACTCTCTCCTGGCCTGTAAGTTTCTGCTGAGAAGTCTGCTGCTAGCTGAAGTGGAGCTCCCTTACATGTTATTTGCTTCTTTTCTCTTTTTGCTTTCCAAATCCCCATTGTCTGTGATGTTTGACAGTGTGATTATGTTCTGGAGTAGTCTTGTTTGAATTGACTCTGATTGGAGTCATTTGTCCTTCCTGTACCTGGATATTTATATCTTTCTCCAGGTTTGGAGAGTTTTCTGCTACTATTTCTTTAAATAAGCTTTCTACCTCTTTATCTTTCTCTTCCCCTAGATGAACTCCAATTCAAATACCACGTCTTTTGATGCTGTTGCATAAATCCTATAGGCATTCTTCATTCCTTTTTATCCACTTTTTTATTTTTCCTCCTCTGTATATTTTCAAATAATCTGTCTTCAAGTTCAAGGATTATTTCTTCTACTTGATCAGTTCTACTCTTGGTGCTCTCTATTACATTTTTCATTTTGTTCAAAGTATTTTTTAGCTTCAGAATTTCTGTTTGCTTCTCTGTTAAATATCTCAATCTAGTCACTTATTGTTTTCCTCATTTCTTTGAATTCTTTATCTGTATTTTCTTAAAGTTTGCTAGGCTTCCTTAAAACATGTATTTTGAATTCTCTGTCAGACAGTTCATACATCTCCCATCTCTTTATGGTCAACCACTTGCACTTTATTTTGTTTCTCTGGTAATATCACGTTTCCCTGATTATTCTTGATCCTTGTGACTCTGTGTTGATGTCTGTATATTTGAAGAAGTAGGTTCTTATTCCAATCATTGTAGATTGGCTTCCTCTGGAAATGCCCTTCAACAGTAAGCCTGTCCAGTGATTTCTGGGAAGACCATCTGGTATGGTCCCAACCTCTAAGCCCAAATTTTTGTAACAATAATTAACATAAGCTTGCTAGGAATTTTTCTTTTTTTTTTTTTTTTTTTTTTTTTTTTTGAGACAGAGTCTCACTCTGTCGGGAGTGCAGTGGCACCATCTCCACTCACTGCAACCTCTGCCTCCTGGGTTCAAGCAATTCTCCTGCCTCAGCCTCCCGAGTAGCTGGGATTACAGGCATGCATGACCACACCCGGCTAATTTTTGTATTTTTAACAGAGACGGGGTTTTGCCATGTTGGCCAGGCTGGCCTTGAACTCCTGACCTCAGGTGATCACCCACCTTAGCCTCCCAAAGTGCTGTGATTACAGGCATGAGCCACTGTGCCCAGCCCCTTAGGAATTTCTAAAAGTTTCTCATATTACCCTAGAAATAATTCAATGACTTATTTTAACTGTGTATGTGATTTTATCAATACTTCTAGAACTAACAAAACTATTGTATCACAATGTTTTTTATGAAAAATTATAAATAAATAATCTACCTTCCCAACAACAGGGGAGCAGTTAAATAATTTACAATGCTTTTAGACAAGTAATTCTTAAACACTGTGGTCTCAGGGCCCTTTTAACTTCTTAAAAATTATTAAGGCTCCCGGAGAATTTTTGTTTATATGGGTTATATTGATTAATATTTACCATACTGTATTAGAAATAAAAAAGATAAAGTTTTTTAAACAATATGAAAGCATACATTCCATTAGCTGTAAGAGTGACAGTGTCATCCCAAATCATATAGAATCTGCAAGACTCCACTGTACACTCATGATAAAATGAGAGTAAAGAAGCCAAATAACATGTTAGTAGTATTATGAAAACAATACCCAGAAATACCTTGAAAGAATCTAGGAGACCCCTAGAGATCTCTGAACCACAGTTTTAGAATCAATTATCTAACCCAGGTATCAGCAATGTTTTTCTGTAAGGGCCACAGAATAAATATTTCAGGCTTTACAAGCCACAAATTCTCCATTGCCACTACTCAATTCTAGCATGAAAGCAGCCATAGGCAGACTCAATAAAACTTTACTTACAAAAACAGAAAGTGATCTATATTTGGCCCAAGGACCATTATTATCTGCCAACCCTGATTTAGAAAATAGAATGCCAGGCAGGTATTAAAACTGTCCTGTAGAAATGTATATACTAACAGGGAAGAATATTTGTAATATATTGGTGAGAAGCTACATGTAAAGGATGACCTTGATATTTGTAAAACAAAATAAAACATATATATGTATATACATATGCACACAGGCATGCATATATCTTAAAATTATAAAACTCGTATATCAAGTGATCAATGGTTATCTCCAGTTAATGATTTACTTGTTATTCTTTTCTTGTCTATGTTTTATATAATGAATATGCATTACTATCTTTATAAAAATTTTTAAAAAGATTTTCTTAGGTAATTAAAAGAAGAACAGTATTTGGAAAACATGACATTTATAAATTCTACCGATTTCCTTTAAGAAACATGACTGGCAGAAAAGCCTATGCTTACCAGTGCTACTGGGAGTTTTTTGAGATGCCCCATCAGTCCCATTAGATCCTTGTTCAGGTGTTCTTAAACTATCGTTGGCTCCAGAGCTTTCACCATCCTCACTGGTGTTTGTTTCCACCTGAGGTGTTCCAGTTCCATTCTGTTTATGAAAGGATTCTGCTGTACTGCTGATCTGCGTTATGCCATTTTCCCCTGTGGCAACAGTTGCTACTGAAGGGTCAGGAATTGGACTAGGGGCTATGCAAAGAAAGTAAACAATTAGATTAAAAATATATTTCTCCAGGAGACAGGGATGCCCCACCTCACAAAATATTTACACTGAAATGAAATGCACACTTGGAAAAACTGATCCCTCTCTTTCTCTTCTTTGTATCATCACCTACAACATGAGCCCCTCAGAAACTGCCATTTCTGGCCACATGGAGAGTACCTGGCCACGAGAGTGCAGAAGCTCCATGCTTACACTGCACACAGTCATTCACAGGAAAGGAGAGGAGGCGTGAGCTCCTATGGCCAAGAGCTCAGGCACTGAAGGAGAACCTTGGCCACACTGGCTGCTTTATCTTGAATTCATTACTAGTCTCCTAGAGTCTCTGTTCAGGGAGGTGCAGCAGAGACCACTCTTGACCCCCAAACTCCATTCCCCCATTTTCCCTTCATCATACTCCTGGAGATTTTTGGCCCTGTATATGCATAGCTGTTGGGAACAAAGACCACATTTCCCAGCCTCCCATGCAGCTAGATGTTGCATGTGACTAACTTCTGTCAAACAGAGTGTGACCAGACGTTCTGTCTGACTTCTAGCAAGTGTCCTTAAAGGGTGGAGCACAACCTTCTGCCCTTCCTCCTTCTTATAGCTGTAGTGTGGATGCGATGACTGGATCTCATGCTGCCTGGCTCTAGAACCAACACTGTGGCAGTGGCTGCAGCTTCCTGATCCCAGGATCACAGCTCAGAACATTCACCGCTGGATCCAGCAACTACAGCAGGGACTTCCTGATTCCTCCCTCTCTGCTTGCTGTCTATGACCAAGGTGGTGACTCTCTAGGGGGTCAGTTCTGCAGCCTTAGTCTGGGAGTAATTTCTCAGGGCCAGGCCTAAAGCCTCCTCCCCAGCTGTTATGAGCTGACTTGTGCTCCGCCACCCCCAAATTCATATGTTGAAGTCCTAACCCCCAAGACCTTGATCTTATTACAGCAGCCCTGGCAAACTAATACAGCGGCCCTTCCAATGACTCTGTAAACTCTCACTTCCCAGGGTAAATCCTTTCAGTTAAAATAGCTCATGATTTCTGTTTCCCGCAATTCTACTACCTACGGTAGATGTTTGAATAGAAGTGTTCTTCTGCAGCAGTGATTCAAGCCTGTACAAGGTACCCACCAGTTTATTTATTAAACTAATTAACAGGAAGAAAAACCAACGGCAGTACTCTTCCCATTGTTTGCACAGGCTCTAATTACCATTATTAATTGAGATTTGCTTTATTAGAAGATTTCAGCAAGATCTGCCCATATATGCTTCCATGAGTACAATCTAATTATTTTATCTCACAAACTGAGATTTTACCAATCAGGAAAAAAAAAGTTCCCAAATTTTGGGGAGAAACAAAAACCATGGTTTTTTTTTTTTTTCCTAAAAGGTACATTTTTTAAAAAACTACCAACTACTATTATTTTTAATTTTTTTTTTTTTTTTTTTTTTTTGAGATGGAGTTTCACTCTTGTTGCCCAGGCTGGAGTGCAATGGAGTGATCTCGGCTCACTGCAGCCTCCACCTCTCAGGCTCAAGCGATTCTCCTGCCTCAGCCTCCCAAGTAGCTGGGATTACAGGTGCATGCCACCACACCTGGCTAATTTTTTTGGTATTTTTAGTACAGATGGTGTTTCACCATGTTGGCCAAGCTGTTCTCGAACTCCTGAATTCAGGTGATCCACCTGCCTCAGCCTCCCAAAGTGCTGGGATTACAGGCATGAGCCACCAGGCCCGGCCTTCAATTCTTATAGAAATGTTTTATGACCAAAAAATTAGTAAGGACATAATCCAGGGATGGATGGTGCTTTCAACTGAATATATTTAAGCTTCCTTAAAAAACTTCTAGTCATATCCTTATTTTTCTCATTTTATTACCAGGGAATGAACCAGCACTGTCAGCAGTTGGGACTCAGCCCTGTGCATGAAAGCAAAACATGCGGGAGTCCAGGTCTCATTTTCCAAAGGTTATGACGATCTTCCACCCCATTCTTTAAATGTAGCAATGTAGCAACAAAAGGGCAATGTAGCAACACAAGAAAATACTTAAAGGATAACAGCACATAAACAATATACAAATAATGTATTACAATTTCAACTAAGTTAAATCGCCCACAGATGAGGCTAGAAAAAAATTACAGAAAATATAAATTTTCATCATGATTGCACAATTAATTAAAATTTTTTCTTTCATTTGTTGTTTCCACCCTCACTCCTACTTCTAAAGAAAAATTGGGGCCGGGCGTGGTGGCTCGCGCCTGTAATCCCAGCGCTTTGGGAGGCCAAGGCGGGCGGATCACCTGAGGTCAGGAGTTCAAGACCAACATGGGGAAGCCCCGTCTCTACTAAAAATACAAAAAATTAGCCGGACATGGTGGCACGTGCCTGTAATCCCAGCTACTTGCTAGGCTGAGGCAGGAGAATCACTTGAACCCGGGAGGCGGAGGTTGCAGTGAGCCGAGATGGCACCACTGCACTCCAGCCTGGGCTACAGAGCGAGGCTCCAACTCAAAAAAAAAGAAAAGAAAAAGAAAAAGAAAAATTGGAAACCGAGCAGGTTTTAATAAATTAGCATTTCACATTGCTGTTAATGTTGCTGTGTGTCCATTAGGGGGCAGTAGCGAACAACACAAGAATAGAGAGGAAAAGGGTACTCACTGCCACCTGCGCACAGGATCTGAAACAGAAAAAGAAAACGGAAGTCAGCAGATTCATTCAGCCATGGAAAATGCAAATCAGAAATAAAGCAGTTGAGGATTTAATAATGGGGGTGGGGTGGTAAGAAGCACATTAAGCAAAGGTCTGCTGGTCAGGGTTAGGCCGTCTTGGGACATTAAACACAGGGAATCATTGCAACCTCGGGGTCAATTACAAAGGATTAACTGGGTTATGTGGGGGCTGGCGGCTGCTGACTCCCAGTGCCCAGTGTTTCTCCCCAGACACATCCCCCCACCTCCAGCCCTCTCCCCGGAGCAACTCCCCAGGTCAGCACCTCCCTCCACCCACTGTGCGATGAGCTGAAGCAGAAGGACACAGAAGCAGAGACCAGATTGTCAGGGCCAAAAAAAGGGGGTTGGGTGGGGGGGATACCAAGCCCAGCACACCCCTTCCCCAGACCCATTTCCCAGTCCTGACAGCACAGTGGAAACCAGAAATCCACTGTGTTTGGGATTTTCATTGTACAAAAATTCATCTTCTTCTTTCCATCAGTAGGTGGCAGTAAAAATTTTTAATCACATGTCAAGCAGCTTTGGGAAGAATTAATGCTTGACACACAAGAGGCCTTAAAGGTTTAGCTGACAGTGTCAGCTGGGGAGGGGAGCAGCCCTCAAGGATATTCATTGTGATCCATAATTGTTTCCCTATACTTTAAAAATCTAAAGTGATTCAAGGTTGTACACTCTATTGTTTCACAAACACACCTTTTTGGTGAATAAGATTTTTTTTTTTAAGTAGGATCGTCACGAAGAATAAAATAATCAAAAAGGACCCTGGTGGAAAAAACCGTCCTCCTACTTTCCATGACACTTAGAATAAAATTCAAACTCAGCCACAGCCCACTAGCCCCTCTGGTCTCACTGCCCCCTCACATTCTCGAAACTGATTCTCCCCTAGAGCCTTTACATATTTATTCCCTCCCACAAACACACTCTGCCCAGACCTTTTCATGGCCTGCCCAAAACGCCACCTCCTCAGCAAGTCCTTCTCCGAGCAGCCATGGAAACCAACACCCCTCACTCTCTGTCCATCACTGACTCCTCCAACCACACTGTGTGCTCCATGAGAACAGAGATCTTGTCTGTGCCCCATGCCTAGAATGGTGGACCCAGTAGGCACTCAATAAACGGCACAGGAAGGAAAGAACGAGCCCAGAGGGGGAAAGTCTTGCCCCCAGGTCCTCCAATTCTCAAACTTCCCATTCCCACCTTCCACCCTACCATCAACTCCTTCGCGCCTCAGGCCTACCCTTTTTCAGCTCATCTTCCTCCTCCAGCCCCTGCCCTTTAATCTAGGCTGAGCCTCAATCCACAGTCTAGGATGGATCATAGGAGAGAGGCAGAAAAAAGAGAAGTCAATAGCTAGGCAAGTCGCACAGGGCAGCAAACATTTTTTTGCCCAGTAAGGGGAAAGATTAAAGTAAAAGCACTGTGGGAGGCTATACTTGCAAACGCATTCTGAGGATAAAAAGGAACTCTAACTTACTAAGCACCTACTATGTAACAGACACTGTGCTGGGCTTTCTACATCCCTTGTCTCAGCACAGAACCATGGAGTGATGGCTAAGAGCTGAGACCTGGACTCAGACCGCCTGAAGGAAGTCGTTCAGTGCCACTGCTTCTGGCCATGTAACTGCGGGCAGGTAGCTTGCTTAATTAACCTCTCTGTCCCTCCCTGTCTGTATCTGCCAACAGGATGATCTTTGTACCTGCCTTGCTTTGGCGAGAATTAAGTTAAATGATCTATTTGAGCTGCTGTTGTCATCATCATCATCCTTACATCTTCACTGCAACCCTGTGAGGTATTTTTATCCCCATTTTACAGGTAACACCACCGAGGCTCAGATCCTCCTGATAGAAACCAATGTGCAATCTGAAGCTCATACTCTCCCCAGCATTGTTTTCCAAAGTATTTTTTGAATAACTTTTTTCTTAAGAGACAAGGTCTCACTCTGTCACAGGCTGGAGTGCAGTGGTGCAATCACAGCTCACTGCATCCTTGATCCCACATGCTCAAGCGATCCTCTCACCTAAGCCTCCCAAGTAGCTGGGACTACAGGCATGCACCACCATGCCCAGCTAATTTTTTTATTTCTGTATGGGGACAGCATCTCACTTTGTTGCCCAGATTGGTCAGAAGCTCCTGGGCTCAAGCAATCCTCCCACCTTGGCTTCCCAAAGTGCTGGGATTACAGGCATGAGCCACCATGCCCAGCTTTTTTCTCCAAGTATTTAAATAGACCAACAACCCAGTTGCAGAGGGCACGGAGGCCCAGAGACAGTAAGCAGCTTGTTGAAGGACACACAGCCAGAGAGGAGGCACAAGAACCAGAACCCAGATCTTGACCTCAACCACTCTCCCTTACATCTTCACAGCAAAGTCACTGGTACAGATGACCCAAAGCTTCTGCTGGCCCCCATAGCTGGACAAAAGGAGCAAACACTAAGAAAAGAGATCAAGCTCACGACTCAGCAGTGACAGACACGGGAAGAATGCAGTACGGCCCACAGTTCTGGCCAAAGACTTCCCTATATACCCCAGTTGTGTGGCAGAAAACCCGTTAGTCACCCAGATGTGCCCAGGAACACCCAATGCTACCCAGGAGGTGGAAGCTTCTCTGTCCCCTTTCCTGAGGGGAAACCCCTCGCCGGTGAGCCTTCCAGCCTTGTTCATTGCTAGAACTGCCCTAGAGATGGTTCTAGTTTCACATCCTCCTTTCTTTGTGCTGATAAGTCGAACTCTTTCTTTTCTCTTTTTTTTTTTCCTTGCCAGCAGGAAAAACCACTGCCAGTCCCAACTGTGGTTCCAGTCACAAGGATCCTCCTCCAGGCCTCAGAGAAAAAGAAATGGTTAACACGGCTTTCTGCACCATCCCAATTCAGCCAAACCTGCAGCTATGACATCAGTGGTCCACTCTGAACACTAGATTCTTCCCACTCAAAAACTAAGGCCGGGAGCAGTGGCTCACACTTGTAATCCCAGCACTTTGTGAGGCCAAGGCAGGTGGATCACCTGAGGTCAGGAGTTCCAGACCAGCCTGGCCAACATGGTGAAACCCCAACTCTACTAAAAATACAAAAATTAGCCAGGTGTGGTTGCATGCACCTGTAATCCCAGCACTCTGGGAGGCTGAGGCAGGAGAATTGCTTGAACTGGGGAGACGGAGGTTGCAGTGAGCTGAGATCGCGCCACTGCACTCCAGCCTGGGCAACAGAGTGAGACTCTGTCTTAAAAAAAAAAAAAAAAAAAAAAAGAAAGAAAGAAAGAAAAGAAAAGAAGAAAAAAAAGAAACTAAGTCATAAGGATCTTACCAGCTGCATTTACACCTAAAACTTCTAAAATTTTCCCCAACTCCTCTACATGAAAATCCTACATGTACATACACATCAAAACAGACCCCCTACGTATTCTCCTCTTCCCCTCTCTCTGACATGACTGTGTCATTAAACCTGTCTCCCAGTCTGCAAACCAGAATAACTTCTGGTTCTTCCCTCTGCTTCACTCTTTGTGGGTCACATAAAGATGTTTCCTTGCCCAGCACACCTTGACTTCCCCGCTTCTGTACTGTGCATATTGTAAACCAAGTCTTCATAACCTCCAGCCCTAAATCACAGAAACAGCCTCATCCTAGGGCTGAGAAACACTCAGGCCATTTCCATTTTCATTTCTTGAAGCTCCAGGTGCACACATGTACACACAAAATTAGGAAGTACCAGAACAGGGTTGTATCTACGGCCGTGTATTTTTGGTTTTGCTTCTGTTAGAGCAACGCCCTGACTCGACCTATAACCCCTCATTTGGAATATAAGAGGACTTAAACGGGAGCCTTTTGTGAACACCAGTGGTGACAGCCAGGCCCTACTCCTTCATCCATATACCTGGTTGCCTCTCCCTTCAATCCACAGTAAAAAAATAAATAGAACTGCGAATTTTTCTTTCTGAAACATGCGGTATTAGCCAATATCCTAGCTGGAGCAGATGACACACTCAATGAGGGTGAGTGAGGAGAGTTTTAAAGAGTCTGTTTTCAAGGGTGAGGGTGGGGTTAAGGAAAACCAGTAAGGGATGGGCAAGAATCCTGGGGTAGCAGCAGCGAGGAAGGGCAAGGAGAGAGGCCAAGGCTACCTCCCCTCATCTCCAGCTAGGGTCTCTCGCCAGACTGGCCCACTGGAAGCTGGAGACCAAGGGCACCCACTGGTGTAGAACATAAAGGTCAGCCTCCTCCTAGTGGGCACAGCAGGGTAGAGACAGGCGGGCAGAGTCTCAGGAGCACACAGAGATCTGCGGCACAGAGCTCCCAACACATCACCACTGAAAGCCCGTCAGCCTGACAGGTGTGGACTAGGGTGGTTAAAAGGTTAGTTCAACTTCCACTGTCACTCATGAGCTCTGGCACTTGAGGGTCTCGTGGAGCCATTGTTTTCATCAGTTGTAAAATGACGCAGGGGCATTTGCAATACAGACCCCATATCTGAGTTGTCCTGAGACTCGAACAACACAAGGTTCCTTAATTCCCAGCCTAACAGCCTTCTTCTTGCCTCACTGAACCTCCAAAGCCACCACCCTTCAATTCACTTGGTGACTTCCTGTGACTGCTCCAGCCCCTAGGAGCTCTCCAGGCTCTGAGACCCTCTCCGTCCATGCTGTTGTCCATGCTGCTAATTGTGGCCCTGCAGGGCCCCAGGCCCCAGGTTAGGTGCCAAAGATGCAGAGGGTGCTTAAGGTGGTCCTGACTCCCCAAGAGCTCACAGGCAAGAAAAGCAGTGAAAGATCTGGGTGCGCCAGGACCTGGTGAGCTTGGGGGATGGGGAGGGAGGGGCTTGAGGGATGGGGAGGGAGAGGCTTGGGGGTGCTTCAGGGTAATATGCAGGGGTAGAATGGGAGAAAACAACATAGTGACCCTGTGTGAGAATCTAATGCTGTTCCATTCTACTTATTATAATATTAACTAAACCCTTTGCTACCGTCCAGTCGCAAGTCAGATGTTGTATTTATCATCTCATTCAAGCCTTACAATAATCCCAGCAGGGAGGAACTGTGTTTATCCCCATTTTCCAGATGTAGACACCGAGCCTTGGAAAAGTTAAGGTCCTGACCGAGCATCTTACAGCCCCAGGTCAAGATTCAGCCCAAGGTCAATCGGACCCTGAAGTCCTTGAACTTAACCACCCCCAGGGAGCACTAAGCTGGTTCAACCCTGGGCAGGTCTCAACTGAGACCATGAAACCCAAAGGCAGTTCCAGGGCTGCAGGTCACAAACCCCTGCCTGTCCTGGGCCTTGGGAACAGCCCCCATCAACCCATTTGAATTGACTAAATTAAGGCAGCTTGTACAAGTTTCTCAAAAGGAGCAGTGTTTGGGGATAAATTCACAGGGCAGCTTGGATTTCAGCAAGTGACAAAGCTCTCCAGGTTTTCTGTTATCCACGTTGGGCTTTTAAGGATGGGTAATAAGTGACTGAATAGCACAATGGGTAACAATAGACTCTTTATCCTTCTAAAGCCAAGCCCACACACCATATGACAATAGTTATTTTTACCCACTGACGTAATTAACCAAAATGTGAACCGCTTCAAGCAATGTTTAAAATCAAATAGCAGTTTATGGGATTTGGAGCAGCACAGATTTCAACTCTGAAAGGCCATCATTCTTCCTGCTCTCCCATTTATCTGCCTTGTGAAGATTATCCAACAACTCCCTATAAAACTGGCTCCTCTAAGGTAAATCATTAAAATGACAGGCTGGGTGGGCCCTCCCACTGAACCCAGAAGCCAGACAAGGAACACCCAAAAGCTTCCCTGAAGGCAGGTGTGGCACTGTGGGGTGGCCTATCTCCCATCCAAAAGGCAGAGACAAGCAGGCCAGCAGGCAGCACAGTGAACAGTGCCCCAAGCACAAGGCATCAGGCACAGCAAGATGAGAACAGGCCGGCTTCCCTGCCTCATCTGCAAATAAACTCTCTGAACTTCATGCTGTCATCAGGGACTGTGGGGAAGAGGCAGAATAATTCACAATTCCAGGTCCCAAAAATGCCATGGAAGGCTTCGGTGGAAGGAACGAGAACCAACCACCCTGCAAAGATCCCCGCTGGCTCATCTTCCGCCTTAGGGAGCTGGAGGCACGATGGCCTCCTCCAAGAACACACAGAAAAAAGTACCCAGAAGGGCTATTTTGGTGAGGCTGTGTGGACTTTGAGACGCACAGCCGAGGGTGAACTTGGAAATCCCAGGCCAGAAGTTTCCATTGGGTATTTTTAGCAATGGAACTATTTTCTCAAAAAGACTCTTAGGAGGAACTCCATACATACGGGTATAGAGTTCCACATTTCATACATATCTGTGTATGTATACACCGTGTATACACCTGGATAAAAGCAGCTGTTTCAAATTACCTTGTTTTTTACTTTGAACATAATTGATGTATAATCAAATTAAGAAGCAGATAGTTTCCAGCGAATTTTAAAATTTGATGTGATTCACTATTTGGGCAAATGTGTTGGTTGGTTTTTTTGGTTTGTTTTGTTTTTTAATTTGTTTTTGTTTTGTTTTTTGTTTTTTTGAGACAGGATCTCACTCTGTGGCCCAGGCCAGAGTACAATGGCACAATCATAGCTCACTGCAGCCTTAAACTCCTGGGCTCAAGCGATCCCCCAGCCTCAGCCTTCCGAGTAGTTCAAACTACACATGTGTCCCACTATACCCAGCTAATATTTTTGTTTTTTGTAGAAATGGGGTCTCCCTATACTTCCCTGGCTGGTCTCAAACTCCTGGCCTGAAGGTTTCCTCCACCTCAGGTTTCCAAAGTGTGGGGCAGGCATGAGCCACCACACTCCATCCTGAGCAACTGCTCTCATTACAATTTCAAATATACTCAAATTTGAGAGTACAGGCTGCTTTTAATAAAACTGAAAGCAAATGCTTATGGAACCCCTGACACACCTCAAGGAGCACACTTTAAAAATGTGTGATCTACCTACCCTTTGACTTTATGGAGGAAGAAAGTAAGTCCCAGAATGGTCTAGCAACTTGTCCCAGAATGGTCTAGCAACTCAACCCAGAACACCCAGTACCAAGACTAAAATACAAATCCTGGACTCCTCCACAGGGCTAATCTCTTCATCTGAAGAGAGGGTCAGAGTTGGCAATCCCCAAGTCCCTATCTGAACCCTTCCTCCACCTTGTATGATAAATCTGGGGGTCCTAAATTGAGGCTCCCCTGTCTGAATCTAGCCCACTGCCATGCATTGCTTGACCTGTGATGTTTCTTAAAATCTTAAGTATTTAAAAATTAGGGAGATAGAAGCCAGGTGCAGTGGCTCACACTTGTAATCCCAGCACTTTTAGAGGCTGAGGCAGGTGGATCACCTGAGTTCAAGGGAGTTCAAGACCAGCCTGGCCTGTAACATGGTGAAACCCCGTCTCTACTGAAAAAAATATATATACAAAAATTAGCTGGGCATGGTGGCCTGTAATCCTAGCTACTCGGGAGGCTGACGCAGGAGAATCGCTTGAACCTGGGAGGCAGAGGTTGCAGTGAGCCAAGATCGCACCACTGTCCTCCAGCCTGGGCAACAAGAGCAAAACTCTGTCTCAAAAAAAAAAATTAGGGAGATAGCATTTTTTAAATCTTGTTTTTTGGCTTCTCAGAAATACATCTGGCTTTCTCATTTGGCCACATTAAAGACATGAATTGGATCTGAGTGTCAGCCTCGCTTCCCGGGGGGAAGTGCTTGGAGTTCACAGCCATTCCCTAGTAATGTCACCCCAACGCTGAGGACAAATGGCAGTTGCCAAGCAACACTGCCCCCACGATGTTGATTTTCTCTATCAAACATGAGCATGCGAAAGACTGAGAGGCAGTATGCTTTTCCATCTTTTTGTCCATTCCCTTTATTTATGTCCCCAAATGTCCCTGAAGACATTGGTGTTTGTAACCCTTGATCAAAATGCACCCTGCAACCAAAGTCCACGGGTTGAAATGATTAACAAACTGTTTACTTTCCAAGTGTCTCTCTTAGGAGAGGATTTCTGGCCCATGTCAGGTGTGAATAATGTGCACAATATGAATATAAAATGTACCATTCTGCCTGCCACTACCTTTTCTCCTCACTCATGAACCAGCCCCTCACACTGCCACCATGACCCCCAAAAAAGAGCAGAGAGTTTCAATTCTTCAGTTGAAGACTTCTGGCTGCATGCACTTAAATCTGAATAATGAAACCACTCCATTAATCCTACCAGTTCTCTCCTGCGCCGCTCGTCCACCTTAGAATACGGATAAAAACAGCTAACAGGCACCATTTACCAAATGCTTGCTGTGTTCAGGGCTAGCTCCCCACGGAATCCTCCCTTCCCCACTGCCCAGCTGGGTGTATATTCAGTCCATGCCTTCCTGGCTCCCCAGGCTCCACATCCCTCCCAGAGGAGGAAACCAGCTTCCAAGTTCCAGGTTCACAAACTGCCTCTGACTGACCACAAAATGCTAATCGGGTCTCTGTCTACACTCTGGCCAGAAAGCCAAGGGTTAGCCCTATCACAGGCTCACAAGGAAGATCAGCAGTGAGGTCAACAGTCCCAGATGCTTCTCACGGAACTATCTGCAGTCACCTGGGTCCTTCCAAGGCTTTGCAAACAGAAGTTCCCACAGTCAAACGACCACCCCACCGAGTCCCACCACACTACAGAGGTGAGGAGGACAGAGACAGGGTGGGGCAGAGAAGCTGCGGGACTTGAAGTCAGGCCTGAGTTTGAAGCCTGGCACCACCACCTATTAGCAGGATGTCCCCGGACCCGTGACCTAACTTCTTGCATTTTTTCACCTGTCAGTTACCATCCGCTCTGCAAGCTTGGTGAGGGGATTAGCAGCACACAGTAGGGGCTTTAGAAACAGCAGCAAATGTCATGGACCCCAAAAGGGGGAGTCACCTGGCACCGTCAGCCACTGAGTGCAGGAACTTTGAGGACAGCGGGATCCTACCAGCTACAGGAACCTGAGAAAGCCCCTTACCCACTCTCAGCAATGAGCAATGACAGGAGGGAGCTGAAGCAAAGGAGGGTAAAATGCTGATCAGTACTGAACCTGAGACATGGGCACTTGGAAGTCTATTTGATCTTTTTTTTTTTTTTTTTCTTTTTGAGACAGAGTTTTGCTCTTGTTGCCTAGGCTGTAGTGCAATGGCGCAATCTCGGCTCACTGCAACCTCCACCTCCCAGGTTCAAACAATTCTCCTGCCTCAGCCTCCCAAATAGCTGGGATTATAGGCATGTGCCACTACACCCAGCTAATTTTTTGTATTTAGTAGAGACAGGGTTTCACCATGTTGGCTAGGCTGGTCTCAAACTCCTGACCTCCGGTGATCCACCCGCCTTGGCCTCCCAAAGTGCTGGGACCACACCCAGCCCATTTGATCATTTTCATAACTAAGAGAAAATGGCAAGGGGTGCTTGGGATATCTCTGTGAAACTTCCTCTACATTTTGCTGTGAACCTAAAACTGCTCTAAAAATAGTCTTTTTAAATATATATACAGTATTTACCTCATAAGACTGTTGTGACAAGTATTAAATTATATAATCTACGTGAAGCACTTAGCATACGAGGGGCACACAATAAATAGTAGCTATTATTGTCATCACTACCACTAGCACAGCCTTGGGAAGGAGAGTTCGAGCAGTGAAACACGGGAGAGGTGAGCTGCCTCACTAGGATAAAGCAGGGCCAGAAGGTATCTCTGCAACACAGAAGCCTCAACAGCAGAGAGGGGCAAGTCAGTGTCTTGGATTCTGCTGCATGAAAGGAGGAACTTGGGCTGAAGTTCTCAGAACAAGAAGCTACATTCTTGTCTCCTTCTGTCCATCATGGCCAGAGCTGCACTGAGCCCCCAAGGCAGCCACCCCACCTCCACCCAAGGAGCTCAATGCCCTCCAAAAAGCCTCCATCACCCCCACAACACACACCTGCCAGTGGGGTCTGCTGAGTTTAGGTGGGAGCCCAGGACCCAGGCCCCCTCTTCCCCACGTGCCAAGAAAGTCCAAGGGTGGGCTCAGACATCTCAGGTGGTGGTGACAGGTCAGCTCTTAGACAGTCTCCCGCCTACAACAGTCCCTTTCAATTAAAAGTTAGGGCATTATTCAACTTCAATCCAGACAGCACAGGAAACTGCCGCTGTTCTGCAATCCTCTTTCAATGATAACCTAAATACAACCATCAGCAAAGGCAAAACAAATTCAAGGCAAACCCATCCAGTCATCCTAAGACTTTTGATAAAATGGCACCTTGGCAAATCACATTGGGCAGGTACTCTCAAGCCAGAAATGCCACAAAGCAGACACTTTTATTTGACATCCATGCAATGGAAAAAGAACTCTGAGCATCAGATAGGAGATCACTGGAGAGCTGGTGCACCAGAGCCTACCCACAATCAGAAGAGAGTGACGGGAGGAGACAGCTGATTTTCAACATCTCATCAAGCCTCATGAATGCCCTAAATCAGGGGTCAGCAAACGTCTTCTGTAATAGGCCAGACAGTAAACATTTTAGGCCTGGCAGGCTTTAAACTGTGCCCTTGTACTGCGAAACCAGCCATCGATGATATGTAAACTAACGACTGTAGCTGAGTTCCAACAGAACTTTACTTACAAGCGTTAAATGTATATTTTACATAATTTTCATGTGTCATGAAACATTATTCTTTGTAGATTTTGTTTTCTCCACCCATTTAAAAATGTGGAAACTATTCTTGGCTCTTGGGCCACCCAAAAACAAGCAGTGGCTGCATTTGGCCCATGGGCTATAGTTTGCTGACCCTTCCCCTGAATCATCCATTTACCCTGGACAGAGCCACAGGGATGGACCCGCAGCAGCTCAGAGCAGGGACCATGTGGTCTAGTCCTGATTCTATATCCTGGTTCTGATGATTACTAGCTTGAGATCTGAGCTAAATTTCGATCTTCCCCTCTGAAAGGAAGGATTATGGCAGGACTCTCCTCAAGCCCTTGAGAGAATTAAGCGAAATAACATCAGGCAGGAGGCAGATGTTCGAGAGAAGATAACTCTGTTATTACTATCATTGTTTCTAGATTTCAATCAACCCAATTTAAGAACACAGGGTCTCAATCCTTGTCTGAATTTCCAATTGGAGATTTTTGGTGGATAAGACATGGGAAGGAACAAATGAATACAGGTTATTTAAGAGATAAAGGCCGGGCGCGGTGGCTCACGCCTGTAATCCCAGCACTTTGGGAGGCCGAGACGGGCGGATCACGAGGTCAGGAGATCGGGACCATCCTGGCTAACACGGTGAAACCCCGTCTCTACTAAAAATACAAAAATTAGCCGGGCATGGTGGCGCGTGCCTGTAGTCCCAGCTACACAGGAGGCTGAGGCAGGAGAATGGCGTGAACCCGGGAGGCGGAGCTTGCAGTGAGTCGAGATCGCGCCACTGCACTCCAGCCTGGGCGACAGAGCGAAACTCCGTCTCAAAAAAAAAAAAAAAAAAAAAGAGATAAAATGATTTGAAATGTGGGTCCACTGGCAACAGAGGATGGTGCCTGGTGGTCAAGGCTGTGGGACCACAGCTGCCTTCTCAAAGCAGGCCCTGTGGTGTCCAGGACTTATGCAGCCTGGCCCACTCTGTGAGCCTCGGCATAAGCCTTGCATTTCCATAGATTTACCTTATCCCGCTAGTTACAGTAGAAACTGTTGAGGTAAGAGAAGTCACACACTTCCTACCCACCAGAGCCTAGCTCGTGGCCTTCCCCATTAAATGCTGATTCAGCACCCCCAGGGAACAGGCTAGTGAGTGGAGTTTTAATGGGATTTTCAGGGCCTGGAACAGAGCTGGCCTGGCCTCTTGTGGGTCAGACTGAATAGGCATGCGCGGACACCAAAGCCTCAAGGGCAAGCAGTGGAACTGTGTGATCAGTCATAAAGGGGACAAGATCCTAGGGATTGTCTATACCGACATCCTCTGTTTGGAGTTGAGGAAAAAGGCCCAGAAAGGTAAAGTGACTTATCCAGAACACCTGGATCTGAAACTCATTCATTCATCCCCTTCACTGACTGTGTCCCCTAAGTCAGGCCCTTTGAGCTCTCTAGGGACGGAGTGAAAGCCCCCTAGTCTTGGGTTGCTTAAAGGCCAGCAAAACCAAGAAATAAATAAACAAAACAAAAAAAAATTCAGGCCGGGTGCGGTGGCTCATGCCTGTAATCCTAGCACTTTGGGGGGCTGAGGCTGGGGATTGCCTGAGCTCAGGAGTTTGAGACTAGCCTGGGGCAACACGGTGAAACCCCGTCTCTACTAAAATACAAAAACTTAGCCGGGCTTGGCAGTGTATACCTGTAGTCCCAGCTACTCGGGAGGCTGAGGCAGGAGAATTGCTTGAACCCGGGAGGCGGAGGTTGCAGTGAGCTGAGATCACGCCACTACACTCCAGCCCATGCAACAAAGTGAGACTCCATCTCAAAAAAAAAAAAAATTTTCTTCAGGTGGAACCATTTAATCTGGCAAGAACAACTTTTCACATCTTACCATTTTATGTCTCCACTTGATCTTGTTCTGAACTTTTCAACATACACACTATCTTAAAAAACAACAGATGTAAATCAATGCTTATGTAAAGGAAAGGGTGAGTCACAAAAGCAGGACTCACATTTCAGGTACATTTTTCCATGTATCAACATACCTCAAATTCCCTGAATGAGCCATGTTGTCATCCCCTACCTTGGTTCATGCTGGTCCTACTACCTAGAAAGTGAGAGCTTCCTCACTCCCTCCTTTGCCCACTTAATTCCTGCTTATCCTTCTATGAGGACGAGCATAAACTCCCCTCCCCCAGCACAGCCAGAGCCTTCCTCAGTGGGTCCACGCAGCACTCACCTCTTACCACCAGGTGCTGGAATGTCTGTGGACCGGCCTGAGACTCGATACCCCATGCCTAGCACTTGAACTGACTGGCAGGGGGTCTGGCTGAATGGGGAACAGGAGGGTGGGCTGAAGGATGAGAGCAGGGACAAGGTCTGGGTGTGAAAATTAAATTTGATTTGGACAGCCGGAAGGAACCCAGAAGAGCACTCAAGCCAAGAAGAAGGTGAGAAAAAATTTCAATGGCAAGAAATCACAAAGGAGTAGTTCTCACAGGCTAGGAGGTAGCAGAACCATCCAGGGAACTTGGTAAAAACAAAGGCCCAGCACTATTCAACTTCAATCTGGGCCTCTGTTCTTATCAGCTCTCGAGGTGACTCAAAACCCTCTCCAAAGTTTGAGAACTACTGGCTTCAGGTACTTTAGAGAGACAATGTGGAAGGATGATGCAGCCCAGGGTCTGCTCTGATCTGAGGCAGCCACAGCCACAAGCCCCCAGGAAGGGCCTCAACAGCTCTGGGGGGTGAACTGAGGGGTGGTTTGGTTTGAGGAAAACTCAATCCAGAATAAATTGAAGACGTTCTTTAATGGTCTTTAAACAAACAAGGTTGTGGGGGTGGGGGCGGGCGTGGGAAACTGTTGGGCTAAAACCAGGATAGTTTTGGCGGAGAAAGTGGCCAAAGGGAGTGTCTCCCTCCGATGCCCTGTAAACTTCTGATAGCTTCTTCCAGTTCTCCCTTCAACAAATCCAGCAATCCAACAAATCTTAAAAACAATCCCATCGGCCTTCGCAGGAATTTGGGCTAAGAGTGATTTTCCTCACTAAGAACTCCATACGGTTTTCATACCAAGGTCAGGAAGAACAATCCTCTGCCCCACCCCCAGCGCCTGGCAGATCGTTTTCCTGCCTGCTGACCAGCATCATCTGTCCACACAGCACACGGTGGGTCACACTGCAGAGCCGTGCTTTGCTTTGTGTGCTTTCAGGAAAGAAAATCGACACTTAAAAGGCACAATGGGTGCAGACAAATTCTGTAAACGGCAATGAACTGTGATCAACTGAGTAAGTCAGCAATTTACAGAAAAAGAACAATGCTGTGGGAGTCAGGGCTGAGTTTGAGTCTCTGCCCCATAACCCACTAGCTGAATGCCATGGGTGAGCCACCAATTCTCCTGAAGTGTCAGTTTCCACATATTCATGGGGGAGCAATGTGGCCAACCACGGCTGTGGCAGGAAAGAACTTCTGCAAGCTCTTGCACAAAATAGATGCTTGAGGCAGGGCATGGTGGCTCATGCCTATAATCCCAGCACTTTCAGAGGCCGAGGTGGGTGGATCACCTGAGGTCAGGAGTTCAAGACCAGCCTGGCCAACATGGCAAAACCCTGTCTCTACTAAAAATACAAAAATTAGCTGGGTGTGGTGGCGTGCACCTGCAATCCCAGCTACGAGGGAGGCTGAGGCAGGAGAAATCACTTGAACCTGGGAGGTGGAGGTTGCAGTGAGCTGAGATCATGCCACTGCACTCCAGCCTGGGTGACAGAGCAAAAACTCCATCTCAAAAAAAAAAAAAAAAAGTATATGTTTGATAAACATTATAGCTGGCTATACCCATAAGGTGCACTCGTCTTCAGAAGTAGCAACATTTGGCTTTGAACAAAAGATATTCTCCCTCTCCTCCTACCCTTCTCTCTCTCTCTCCCTCTCAAACACACAATGGTATTTTACCCAGTTGAAGATCATTATTAGCTATTAACAATAACTACCACATTGTACAAATAAATTGCATTACAGAAAGAGTTGCTCTCTTCCAAAGTTTGCATTAACAAAGAAAAAGCAAAAATTCTCAAAGTCTCATAAGTCCAGTCCATCTTTCTTTGCCATCTAATAAAACACTTTTTATTTCCTTTCATGGGCTTAAACTTCACTAAAAGGCAAATTGTCTGAGGGCACGCTGCTGAGACAACAGGACTCTGTGTGTGCTCAAATAATCCCCTGTTCCAGTTGACTGTTTTCTATTTTTCTGAATAGACACTGGACAGAATTGGGAATCAGAAACGGTCCTGTGATCTCTCTAATTGCTTCCACAGGCAAGTCCAAAATGGGTAATTTTTTTAAAAGACACAACTGACTCAAACTCCAAATGCTTCTCAAGGAGCCTCAGCCTTCTCTCCGACCATGGCCCGGCTCCCTTGGCCAGCCCTCACCCCCTCAGGGCTGGGCAAAGATTCACATGGCAGAAAGGGCTGCCCCTCCAAAGACCCATCACTACCCAGAACTTAGAAGACAGGGGCCAGGAAGTCGGAGAAAACATGTTCTCGGGTATCCATCCTCTTGCTACCCTGAAGTTGACCCAAAGTCTAATCCAAAATCTAACGTTTGAGAGCCTCTCTGTTACCCAGAACTTCTGCGCCCCAAACACATCCTTAAAGGCCACATACAGACTTCAAATACACACACCCATCGCAGTAAACACAGCAGAAAAGCCCACCAAATCTCCAATTTGACACATCCCAATAGAGATCAGAGTCTAAGTCCCTCCAGCATTTTACTGGGGTTCTCCAAATCCTTGTATTAGATCTACAAGAAAATAGGTCCAGTTAATCAAAAGGTTGGGCCAGCAAGCCCATGCAGAGGTTAATGTCTTATCAGGAAAGAGTGCAAGGTTCAAATTCCCCACAGGCTTGACATCAGACAAACAACACTTCATTTCGGACATCAACCCCTGTCAAAGTTATTTCCCCACTCGGTTAATTTATGCCACAAAGATCTCATTATGGTACTTGGTTAGCTTGACAAAATGACTTTATTGCCATTCGCTAAAAAAAGATAATAAGAAGCTCCAGCAAGGTGGTTTTGGCAAGGTTGCTTAGTGGCACTCTCTTTGGGACCTAACAATGTAAGAACTTTCTTCTTCTTACATGTTTTAGCAAATTAAATATCAGGGGAACATTGTACTTGGTCCTTGCTGTTCAATTTCCCTACTTGCACTGTGGCTTCTTGACATCCTGCCAAGTTTCAGACACTGAAATATGAATGGGATTAATAAGGATTAAGAAAGAGTAAATGCTATTAACAGCTCTTCTATTGCATGCATCTATCTTACTCAGGAGCCAATGACCCACCAGGGAAAAAGAAGGGCTGGGAGGGAACTGAGCTCATTCAACACCTGCTCACAGATGGCAAGGTCAGCAGTTAATGCTGGGCTTTCTCCAACCACAATCATGTGTCTGTCAAAGGTCTGCACCACTCATCTTGACACTTAATCAAAGAACACTTCATCGAGGATCGTCAGAGCCGCAGGAGCCATTAGCAACCAGTGGCTTCCCTTTTTGTCTTTTTCTTTTTCTTTTTTTTTTTTTTAGGGCAGCAAAATCTTCTTGAGAAATTACATTTTATAAGAAACCCAAATAAACTCGGATAAAATAGTTAACATTATTAGTAAGCCTCAATTTGAAAATTCCAAATTCACAACATTTGCTTATTATAGAGTATCAATCTATTTTATAAAGGCAATTTGAGCAAACAAAAAATACATAAAATCGCTTGTTACATTTCCTTCATTTCCGGGTTTCATTTAGTTGTACACGATCAATAAAAGTCTGACTCATAGAGACGTGTAGTTGCAAATGGTAAAAGTTTAACAATTCATCTCCATTAAATAGACAGCAGAGGTTTTCTTCCTGAAGATGTCATAAAAACAAGTTAAGCTGGCAATAAAAGCAGCACATGGATGGTCACCAATGCTAAAAGTTTTAAATAATAAAAAGAAATGCTTTAAAAATTGAACCAAACATGTAATGAAATTCCTGAAACATATCACAAAATATTTGATTGAGAAAGTTTACTCACTTACACTCTCATCTTAGACCACTCTACTAAATATTTTTAGAAGGATAAACATTTCCCTCATTCTATGAAGCCAATATAACTTTGATACCAGGACAGACAAGGACAAAATGTGAATGAAAAGTTACAGAGCAATCACATACATGATCACTGAGGCAAAAATCTCAAACAAAATATTAGTGAAAACGAATCCAGCTATGTATAAAAACGAGAGTAACACACTGAGTTGATTTATACCAGGAATACACGAGTAGTTTAGAAATAGAAAATATAGGCCATCAGATTTTTTTAAATACATAAAGTCATCTCAGTGAATGCAGAAAAGCATTTGATAATATTCAACGCTCATATATGAAAAGCTATTTGCAAACTCAGACTGGAAAAGAGCTTCCTTAACTCAACACGGCAATTTGCCCATGTTCATTGCGGCACTATTCACAATAGCCAAGACATGGAAACAAGCCAAGTGCCCATCAGAGCCTGGAGGACATTATGCTGAGTGAAATATGCTAAACACATAAAGACAAACACTGCACAACTTCACTTATAGGTGGAATATTTTCAAAAAGTCAAACTCAAGCCCGGCGCAGTAGTTCACGCCTGTAATCCCAGCACTTTGGGAGGCTGAGGTGGGTGGATCACCTGAGGTCAGGAGTTTGAGACCAGCCTAGCCAACATGGTGAAACCCTGTCTCTACTAAAAATACAAAAATTAGCCAGGTGTGGTAGCGAGTGCCTATAATCCCAGCTCCTTGGGAGGCTGAAGCAAGAGAATATCTTGAGCCCAAGAGGCAGAAGTTGCAGTGAGCCAAGATCTCGCCACTGCACTCCAGCCTGGGCAACAGAGCAAGACTCTGTCTCAAAAAAAAAGAAAAAAGACACTGAATTTTTCAGCAGTAAGTAAGATGCTACCCTTATCAGTTTGGTAACTACCTTGCTATCCCACAGCAGTAGCTAGAAGCACCTACCTGCATTTCTTTTTTTCTTTTTCTTTTTTTTTTTTTTTTTTTTTTTGAGATGAAATCTTGCTCTGTGGCCCAGGCTGGAGTGCAGTGGCGCGATGTCGGCTCACTGCAACCCCCGCCTCCCAGGTTCAAGCAATTCTTTTGCCTCAGCCTACTGAGTAGCTGGGATTACAGGCATGCACCACCATCCCTGGCTAATTTTTGTATTTTTGTAGAGTTGGGGTTTCACTATATTGCCCAGGCTGGTCTCGAACTCCTGAGCTCAAGTAATCTGCCTGCCTTGGCCTCCCAAAATGCTGGGATTACAGGCATGAGCCACCGCACCCAGCCACCTACCTGCATTTCTAAACAGCACCCAGGGGACTCCAGAAATAACAATTCATGTTGCCAAAGCATGTAACCTACCAGCTTCACAGGGGAGGCTTACCTCTACCCCACAGACCAGCAATGAAAGCTTCAGCCCAGTCCTATCCTCAGCAAACTCTGGGCCCCAGAAAACAGGTTTGGATCGTTCTTATGGTTGGGGAGGGGACACCATCCTTTGAAATAACAGTCCTGCATAAAGAGCAAGGCCTCTTGGGAGGTATTTCCAAAAAGCTGACTTCATTCTTGTTGGTTCACTTAGTCTTGTCTTAAAGCAATTCTGAGGAAACAGGTGACTTTTCGAATTTTTTCAATCACCTGAAGGAACAAAAGGTCAAATCCAGAGCAGAAAGGGAAAAGAAAAGTTGCATAAACTACATGTTTTTCCCCTAGAGAAGGCCAAGTCAAGAGCTGCCTTTAAGCAGACAGTAATTGTAAGATCAGCTGGGTAGGTGACTTCTCCAGCAGTCACCAAACACCCCTAACTAAACAAGAGCTATCCTGCCCTAAGGTTCTAAAGAATTTTACTTTGACCTTTTAAATATACACACACACTTTCACACACTTAACGCCTAACAGGGAAATAACAAGAAAATGCATATCTGGGATAGTAATGATATTAGGGCAATAGCAAGCTTCTACTGAGCTCTTCCCCTAGGCCAGGAAACATTCCAACACCTTAAGTAATCCTAATGACATTCCTGTGATATAAGGGATGCTCTCAGCTCCATTTTACAAGAGGGAAAATTGAGATGCAAACATAGGAAGGGAATCACCCAAGACCAGACAACTCGCCTGCAGCTCCAAGGCACAGAGGCTCCTAACATTGCCCCGCCTTCCTCCTCGGGGCACAACTGTTCCCTAAAAGCCCACACACCCTCCGCCTTTCATCAAGGAGGGGTTTGCTGGATTGCAGATTGAAGAACCCCTCCTAGGCAAACAGGTAAATGCCCTCATCTGAAGTCTTCGGAATGTGGTATGACAAACAGCCTTGGGTTTGAGAAGCACCACCACCTCCCCATACTCATCCTTTGGAGTGGGGCAGGCTGGGTGCCTTTCCCACAGTGCTTGACATCATGAGGCAGATGCACCACCAGGACAAGGACTGGGCCTGAATGACTCACAGTGGAGAGTGCTGGCCACAGGACCAGGCGGGCAGGACCAGGGGACGGACAGCTCCAGGGCACAGGCACCTGAGAGAACCAAAGATGGAAAAGCCAGTGGCCCATGCTCTTCTCAGGAAAGGGAAAGGTACACTCCTGGCCTCTCGAATTTAAGCGAATTGGGAAAATGTTCATCATAAGGTATTTATGACATTCTGACCGTTTCAAACAAACCAGCCTTCTCTGACACTGAGGTATGCTGGGTCTAAAAAACAGCAGCATTCCAGGGCAGAAAACAGCCTGCGAAGCCCACGTGTACCTACTGCTAGTCTGGGAGGACAACAGAGGTGCCATCCTGCTGCACGGATCTGTCTCTGAAGAGGACCACTGTGCTCGGCTCTGACCAGAAGATGACATCGAAGCCTTCTCCTTAGGGGTGGCTTCAGGAGACACGTGAAAACCAGCCACCGGGCTCTGTCAGATGCCACGCCCTTCAAGACCAGTGTGAGCTGGGGGTCTGGGAGGGAGAAACCACCTCCTACTTCCTACTTCCTCCCTGAAGCCTGAGTAGCAAGTGTTTGGAGGAGACAAAAGAGGGTACCAGAAAGAAGGGAAGGATGCAGGGCGCCTGGGGCTGTGAGCCTCATTCATCAGCTAAGGATGCACAGGCAGGTGCTGTGCTGGGTAGGGGACAAGTGCTGTGTCTGCCCTCGAGGGCTGCTCCCAGGCCAGCACTGAATCACAGCAGACTGGGAATTAAAGAGAGTTTCCTTGGTTGGGGGGAGGGAGGGGACTGAACACCAGCTTTGTTTAAAAATGTGTTTTCCAACATTTTCCTGAATAATAACAACCAATACCTACTATGAGATGACCATCCGGCAGCAGTGCTCTAAGGATCTTACATGGGATATTTCATTAAATCCTTATGACAGCACTTTGGGGTATATGATAATTACCCCCATTTTACAGGTGGGGAAATGAAGGCACTGCACTTCAATGGCTGGCTCGAGGCTCTAGCAGCCAGATATAGCAGAGCCAGGCCTGGAACAGGGCAGTCTGGCTCAGGAGCCCACTCTACCTTACACCCTCCATAAAAATTCCTTCCATTTACTGTGAACAGCTCCAGGTGCCAAGCACCTTGCTAAGCATTTTACATTTATGACACAGCAGCCCTTCAAATGAAATCTATCAACTCCACTTAAAAATTTATATACGGACATTATGACAACTACATTTTTTAACACATTTTTTAAAAGACTAAAAAGACACACAACCATTAACAATGGGCTCCTCAGGTGATAGGTACAGGCAATATTTATTTTTTGTTGTGTGTGGGTTTTTTTTGTTTTTTTTTTTTTTTTTGAGATGGAGTCTCGCTCCGTTGCCCAGGCTAGAGTACAGTGGCACAATATCGGCTCACTGTAACCTCTGCCTCCCGGGTTCAAGCAATTTTCCTGCCTCAGCCTCCTGAGTAGCTGGAATCACAGGCCTGCACCATTATGCCTGGATAGTTTTCGTATTTTTAGTTGAGATGGGCTTCACCATGTTCCCCGGGCTAGTCTCAAACTCTTGGTCTCAAGTGATCTGCCCACCTTGGCCTCCCAAAGTTCTGGGATTATAGGCGTGAGCCACCGCTCCTGGTTAATGTTTTTGTAACATGTTTCTGGGCTTGTCATGATTTCCACACAGGACATAGCTTCCTTTTACAATTTCTTTTTAAAATGGGGTTTTATTTCACGTCATTTAACAACAACATGTTGGTATGAATAAATAACCAAAGCAAAAATGTTCAAAGTGGTTCTTAAAGACAACAGGCAGCCCTCCTGGCGCACAGCACGCTAACCGGGGATGAAAAATGGGAGTAGCACCGAAATTAGGAGATAGAAGTGTGTTACCTGAATAAATAATAGATGATGAGCTCTTCACAGAGTCACTAAAACAAAGCATGTGAGCTGACTTGGCAGAAGCCAATACAACATGCGTTTCCTTAATGTGGCACAGCAGGGTGGAGAGTGCATTTGCTAACATCACCCTGAGCCAAGCACAACAAAGCCTCAGTAGAAAAACCAAGGAGGGGGAGAAGGAGACAGCCTTGTGCACAAACAGACCTGTCCTGGGTACCTAGTTCATCCGTCCTGCAGAACATAAGAGCCATAAGAAGCTCTTATGTTACTCAAGTAACATGGAGAGTAACATGGAAAGACCTCAGGACCTGGCCAGAGTCAGGAATCCCCAGGTGATGACCTCTATAGAGGGCCCATAGAAGGCCCACTGGACACCAAGAGCAAAGGTGGGCATTTTTCACACATCACTGTGCCCAAGTCTCAAGGACAATCCTGTGGCAGCAAGCCAGGAGCGTTTGGAGCTGTTTGCCAAGTTACCACGCTTCCTTCTTCTGCAAACATATGCAGCCACTAAAACTGTCACCAGGAGAGTCCGGTACAGCACAGCTTAGGCCAGGGCCACTCCATTCCCACAAGATAATTTATGGCAGTTATTACAAGCCTTCAAGAGGGAACATGGGATGTTCTTTGGTCTTGATATCTGCCAGGATGTCATGAGAATGTCTGCATGCTTGCTACTCTGTGATATCTCTGTTAAAAGGCAGCCTCCCAGTGCTCTAGATGAGAAGAAAACGTTGTAAAGGAATGTTATTGTTGTCAATCATCTTGGGTCTCCAAGAAGGGGACATGTCATCTCAAGAAAGGGAAGAGTGACCAAGCGTGTACACAGCATTTGACCCTGGGCAAAACCCTTTTTATCTCATCCTCCAAAGACCTGTGCTGGGACTGGAGACAGAAATGCTGCTAGAGGGGTTTCAAAGCTCTTCCTAGATCTTTGAACTCATTCAACAGCTAAAGAGAGAGATCACCAAGAGAGAGCTGAGAAACCAACGCAAGCAACAGCTGATATTACTTAGGATTGTAATCATACATGCAGGGACCTTGCTGAAAACAAAGCCCTTCTGGCTGATGCTGCTCACTGACCTTTCACAAGGATCTATTTATTAACAGGTGAGGGGAAGGCAGGGAGAAGAAGGAAGGGGAAATTTGTCAGTTTTTCCTAATCCAAATCATCTTATTAAATCCTCCCGTGAACCCCTTGGGTAGGTATCCCACTTTCACAGGTAAGAAATCAGCTCATAAGTAACAGAGGTAGAATCTGAACACAGGTGTGTTCAAATGGATGACTCAAAACCAGTGCTCATGACCATCGTCTATGGGTTTCTAGCCCTGATTTGCTTCAGATTTGCTGTGTGACCTTAGGCAACTCACATGTCTTCTCTGAGCCTGAAGTTCTTTATGAACTAATTCCTAAGATCCCTTCCAGCCCTGTCACTTCTTGGTTTTATCTACCTGGGTTTGGGATTTTACAGACCAATGCAGTTTCAAACATTACACACACCAAAATGTGAAGGGTTGACAGAGGGCCACAACTTTGTACTATGCTAAATAAAAAGTACTTACCACCTACTAACACTTTTGTCTCACAAAAGGAAATATTTTCCTCCAAAAACTATAGGAAGGACATATTCTCATTGAAGGATGTTTATTTAGCTTCATTTAGCTTCACGAGAATCTCAGCACTTTATCCTTTATCTCTTTCCTTTATCTCTTTTTAACAAGGACCGCTGAAAACTTCACGGGCTGTGTTCCATCTGCACACCAGTGTTTGGGAACCACTGCCACATGCATTTCCAACCATACTAATCTTAGGACATAAAGTTTACTGCTGTTCCTGGCACACAGGAGAACCAAAGCATTTTAGTTTTAGAATAAGCTTCTGTACTGTGAATTATACAAGTCAACTATCAAGATTGCTAAAGAGATATAACACTATCATAATGATACATTGTGTTATTATTATTATTATTACTATTGAGTCAAAGTGCTCAGTGCTTGACATGCATTAGTTCATTTAATTCTACCAATACAACTTTTTTGTCCATTTTCTATCAAAGTATGCATTTCCTCAGGTGCACAATGATATGGAAATACTTTGGACTAGAAAAAAAACAGACTGAACATATTTCATGGCTCAAAGTGGGGAAATACACACACAGACATTTTTTAAAGCACTGCTGCTCTGAGAAGAGCACCCGGAAGTTATAGAAGAGCAACTAAAACACACACACACACAGTGTCTTCCTTGAAGAATAACTGGTCAGTCGAGAGACGCAGGTGGCCTGAGGCCAATGACCTCAGTGGCTCAATAAATCCCAGGAAAAGATCCCATGGAAGGTCACTGCTGTCATCCTGGGCTAGGGAGGAAGGAAACAAAGCTTCAGGCTACAGGTTGGAGACAGTCTGGGACCCAGGATGAATGTAACTGAGCCTTCACCTGTCGCTACCTCAGTTTACCCATCTGCAAGATGCAGTGGTCCCCACATATAAATGTCCTTTCTGGGCTGGGCACGGTGGCTCACGCCTGTAATCCCAACACTTTGGGAGGCCGAAGCGAGTGGATCACCTGAGGCCAGGAGTTCCAGACCAGCCTGGTCAACATGGTGAAACCCCGTCTCTACTAAAACTACAAAAATCAACCAGGCATGGTGGTGTGTGCCTATAATCCCAGCTACTCGGGAAGCTGAGGCAGGAGAATCGCTGAACCGGGAGGCAGAGGTTGCAATGAGCCGAGATCATGCCACTGCACTCCAGCCTGGGCGACAGAGACTCCGTCTCAAAAAAAAAATTTTTTTTAAATATAATAAATGTCCTTTTTGCCTGCCTCACAGGCAACCCTTGTTCAGCTTTACATGTCACCTTTTCTCTAAAATCTTCTTTCACTGTTTCAATTCTCACCAATCTCTTTCAGAGGAGTGAACAGAGCTAACAAGTGGAGGTTCCAAGAATTAAACATGAAAATGTTAGAGATGAAGGAGACTCAACCCATTTTCTTACCACCCCACCCCCAGACCCCTGGGCCAGTTTTTAACACATGAGCAAACGAAGGAGCACAGAGACAGCAACTTGCCCAAAGCCCCGCCGCAGCTGGAAAGGCAAACCTCTCATTCATACAGAAACCACCTGACATAGGGCTACTGAATAAACACTAATCATTCGCTTAGAAAAGAAGCCTATAGGATCCACAGAATGGCTTCAATCCCTTCCATAGTCCACAGGGCTCTGTCTTGACCAGCACATCTTAAACTTTTTGGTCTCCTTTATGCTCTTAAAATTATTGAGGACCCCAAAGAGCTTTTGCTTATAATAAATCTGTTGTTGGGCATGGTGGCTCATGCCCGCAATCCCAGCCCGCAATCCCAGCACTTTGGGAGGCTGAGACGGGTGGATCACCTGAGGTCAGGAGTTCGAGACCAGCCTGGCCAACATGGTGAAACCCCGTCTCTACTAAAAATACAAAAATTAGCCAAGTGTGGTGGCGGGTGCCTGTAATCCCAGCTACTCAGGAGGCTGAGGCAGGAGAATCCTTTGAACCCGGGAGGCGGAGGTTGCAGTGAGCCAAGATTGTACCATTGCACTCCAGCCTGGGTGGCTGGGTGACACAGTGAAACTCCGTTTCAAAAAAATAAAAAATAAAAATAAATAAATCTGTCACCTGTTAACATAAATGACATTGTATGGAAAATGATGTTTCCAATACAAAAAAAAAAAAAAGTGAGAGAGATAGCATTATTTTAGATATTTGCAAATCTCTTTAATGTCTGCTTAGTAAGAAACAGCTGGATTCTCATATTTGCTTCTGCGTTCACTCTGTTACAATAATGTAAAGAAATTCTGGACTCACACAAAAACATGCAGTTGAGAAAGGGAGTATTTTCTCAGCCTTTTCAGTAGTTGTGGATATTTTTCTTTGCTGTTACACCAAAACTCAACATGTGGATGGCAGTTATTAAAAACTTCTCTGCATCGTGGAATGTGAAACTGTGTCGGTGAACTTTTCATATTCTGTTACATGAAAATCCATTGGTCTTTGCATCCACTGCACTTTGGGTTTTTTGCTGTTGTTCTTTTTTTAATTACAAATAATTGTACAATTTATAATGTATCCACTGCACTTTGAATGGCTCTGTGAACAAACATGAACCTGAAAAAGGCAATCCCCTCAAGATGGACCCCAAGCAGCAAAGTGTACCTAAATTTAAAATACAGCCAAGTGGCCATTTGCTGACTAGAGGTCACACTACGTACTCCAAGTTTCACAAAACCCCACACCCTTTTGACTTGGGACTTTCAGAGCTCACATGAACCAAGCAGTCAGAGCTCGTCTGCTTCAGCCAATCAGAGCTCAGCTGTATCAACCAATCAGGGCTCAGCTGTATCACCAATCAGAACTCAGCTGTGTCAGCCAATCAGAACTAAGCAAGTTTGACCCGCCCCCTTCATTTGCATAATCAAACCTGATTGGGGACATGGGCCAGAAATTTTGCTATAAAAACCTAGATTCTGCCATGCCTGTAATCCCAGCACTTTGGGAGGCTGAGGCGGGTAGATCACTTGAGGTCAGGAGTTCGAGACAAGCCTGGCCAGCATGGTAAAACCCCGTCTCTGCTAAAAATACAAAAATTAGTAGGGTGTGTGGGCGTGGTGGCAAGTGCCTGTAGTCCCAGCTACTCGGGATGCTGAAGCAGGAGAATCGCTTGAACCCGGAGGCAGAGGTTGCAATAAGCCAAGATCACGCCACTCCACTGCACTCCAGCCTGGGAAACAGAGCAAGACTCCATCTCAAAATTTAAAAAACAAAACAACAACAACAACAAAAAACTAGATTCTCTCTTTGCTCTCTGGAATGCACCTTCATTTTACACCAACGCAGCATCTCCCAGTTTGCGATCTGTTCACTAGAATAAACTCTCTTTCCTCCAAATTCTTCTCTAGAAAACTTTTGTTCATAGCTCTTTTTACCCTGCATGGCTTTGTGGCCTTATGCATTGGTTATTTGGAAAATATCAGTTCACTGAGATTTGCATACATGAGGGAATGAGAGTGAAAGGACAAATAGTTTACTATTATTATAAAAATACTTTGACCTCACAGACCTCACAGATCCCTAAAAGGATCTCAGGAATCCCCAAGAGTCCCAGGACCACTCTTTGAGAACCATGGGTCTAGACTAAGGTCCAAGAACTTCCCACCCACTTAAGTATTCATTCATTCATTCCACAAATATTTACTGGGTACTCACTACATGCCAGACACTGTCCTGGGTGCTGGGAATTCATGAGTGAACAAAACAATGTCCTGACCTCATGCAGCTCACATTCTCATAGGAGAGGCAGACCATACACAAATAGACAAGTAAACTTACACTATAATGTCAGGTAGTAGTAAGTACTAGTGGAAAAAAATGAAGCACTGTGTCACCAGACATTTGCACATGTGGGATGTGGTTTGCCTGGGAAGCCTTATTCAGCAAGCCTGAGATTTGCTAATTTAAGTGTTTCACAATAAAATAAGAGCTTTTTAGAAAAATAATATTTTTTATTTGAGACAGAGTTTCACTCTTGTTGCCCAGGCTGGAGTGCAATGACATGATGTCAGCTCACTGCAACCTTCGCCTCCCGGGTTCAAGCGATTCTCCAGCCTCAGCCTCCCAAGTAGCTGGCTGGGATTACAGGCGCACACCACCACGCTCAGCTAATTTTTTATTTTTAGTAGAGATATGGTTTCACCATGTTGGTCAGGCTGGTCTCGAACTCCTGATCTCAGGTGATCCACCCACCTCGGCCTCCAAAAGTGCTGGGATTACAGGCGTGAGCCACCGCACCCAGCCTTAGAAAAACAACTTAATACCAAAATGCTTGCAGACACAGGGTGGTGGAAGAGGGACCTGCCCTAGAAGAGCTGAGAGCTTACCACTGAGGCTGAATTGCTTTCCAACTACTCTAGGAAGAGTAAACCTCAGAGGTCATCTCACTTAGGGCCTCCACCCCTCCAATGAGCCAACCACACCATCTGTTTACACACATTATCACTTCTGCAACCCCTTGCACCCATACAGCACATTCACATACACTATGTATACATGAGCCTTGTACAACTCCTGGAGGGTAGATACTATTCACCTATTTTACACATGAGGAAACTGAGCCTGGGAGAAGTTAACAAGTGTCACCCCTATTATGTAATACATGGTTTATTGCACCGCATGAATTTTTACCAAGTCTTTAACCTCTGATATTCCACCATGTAAAGAGCAACTGGGCCAGGCACAGTGGCACACACCTGAAGCCAGGAGTTCCAGAACAGCCTGGGCAACAAAGCAAGATTACTACATCGCCATTAAAAAAAAAAAAATAGCAATATCAGGCTGGACAACATAATGAGACCCTGTCTCTACAAAAAAAAAATAAATAAATAAAAAATTAAGGAGGCTCAAAGGGTGAGGCAGGAGAATGGCTTAAGCCCAGGAGACAGAGGCTGCAGCGAGCCATGACTACACCACTGCACTCCAGCCTGGACAACGGAGCAAGACTCTGCCTCTCCAAAAAAAAAAAAAAAAAAAATTTGCCAGGTATGGTGGTGTAAGCCTGTGGTCCCAGCTACTCAGGAGGCTAAAGCAGGAGGATCACTTGAGGCCAGGTGTTTTGAGGCTGCAGTGAGCTATAATTGTGCCACTGCACTTCAGCCTCCAGCCTGGACAACAAAGTAAGACCATGTCTCCAAATAAGTAAAAAGAAGAGAAACTGGATGAAACGTTGAAAACAGAGGTAAAGTTTCTTCCTCCAAAAATGCCCTGCTCCTCATATCGCCTCTTCTCAAACAGCAAGTTAAACCTGTGAAGAAGACAAAAGAGAGATGGGACTGACGCTTAGTAGGTGCCAATATTTGGAGATATTGGCCCCATAAACATTTATGGAGACTACTCTGCACCCAGCCCAGTTCTAAACAGTGGGGATACAGAGAGGAAGAAGAAAGACCAAGCCCTTGCCCTCTGGGACCTTCTGTTCTAGTGGGCCACCATCAACACAATACCAAGAGACTATTCACCACATCTACCCTGAAAGAGTTAACTACAAACTTCGAGCTTCCTGAGACTTCATCAGTAGCATCAGCCCAACAACAGAGCCCTGTGTTCAATCTTGACATGGGCCTTAAAACATCCCTTTCAGGAGAAGAAAGAAGCTTTATGATGCTGCCCCTTCCCCCCACCCATTTTACAGATGGAAAAGTAAACCCAGGGCCCAGAAGCCACTCCCTCTGAATCTTACAATGAGTCCGTGGTGGGACAGGAGAAAAGGCAGCTCTCCTGTCTTCCTACACAGCCCTGGCCGCAGCCTGGCCCCATTCTCTCTTTTTATATCCCAGGAGGCCTCCTTGAACAACAGCCACACATTTGTGGCGACCGACCAACACAAAAGCCAGCCGGGGAAGTGACTATTTCAGGACGAAAGGGGCATATTTAGCAATGGTCCTCGGCGGCCACCCAAAGTCCGGCCAGCCCCAAGTCGTCCGCCAAGCCCAAGCCCCACATGGAGCTTCCTCTCCTCCCTGTTTGCCTTGCCAGCACAGTTTCCACCAAGGTTTTAAAAAAGAAGTGGAAGTTCCCTTCTGCCTGACTGGCCAGCACATTCCACTGACTCAGACTGTTCTGGGCACCACGGAGAAGACACTGTTCATTTTCCCTGGGCTGAGAACTGGCCCACATCCGGACCTGTCGCCGGCAGGAGGGGGCACTTGGCGGCTCGGCACAAGCAAATGAATGGCGTGCTATTTTTAATGCTTAGTTCCTGTCTTTATTCCAGAAGGCTGGGCACCTGTGCCAGGGTTGCTGCAAGTGTGGTTTGCAGACCACCCGCATCAGAAACACCTGGGCGCTTCCGGGAAATTCAGATTCTGGGGTCCCACCCCAAACCTAGGAGTCAATCACCAGGAGTAGGGCTCAGGAGTTTTGATCTTTAACCAGCTTTTCAAGTGATTCTTTTGTAAAATAAGGTTTGAGAATCATTGACAATCTGGGTCTGTATTCATTCATTCTTTTATTCGCTCAGCAATTCCTGAGTGCCCCCAATATGCACTGGGCTATAGAAGTAGGAATACAAAAATAAATGGCACATGCTCTTGGCCTTAGGGCCCAAGGGGAGGCATGACACAGTGTGAAGTGCTAAAGACAGAGCTAAGGTACTCTGGGAGCTTAAAGGTGGAGGAATTCAATCCTGCCGGGGTGTCAGGGGCAGTTTTACAGAGGAGGGGAGCGTGGAGCTGAGGCCAAGAACAATCATTCCCTATCTTTGCCGATCTTTGGCATTCTGTTTGGCTCGGCCAAAGCCAAGATGGTATACAATCTGTCCTCACCAACCCAACACCCTTCTGACTTCTTGCAGGTACTCAGTGCACATCTGATGAATGAACAGAAACCGAGAATGGATTGGACACTGGAAACAGGAGCTAGGAAGCCACTCAGAACAGTTTTATGTGCCCCTATTGGCTAAGAACATTGGCTCTGGAGTCAGTCTCAGATGGACTCTGATCCAATTTCCCTCTTGAGTTACCCGATCACAGGCAAGTTGGCCTTTCTAAGCCTCACTCTTCACACTTGCAAAAGAGAGACAATAGCTACTTCCCATAGTTGTAGTGAAGATTAAACCTGCAGATAAAGCATCTACATCCAGCACATAGCCGGGCACATGGTATGCACTTGAAAAAGTTAAGATTTGTTCCATAGTAATAATAAAAGACCTGAAATTAAATCCAAGTTCCAGTACCAACCGGCTTTGATAAATCCATCCATCTTGGGCCTTGGGTGGTTTCTCATCTGCAAAATGAGAGGCTTAGACCAGAACCTCTCTAAAATATTTTCTACCAATAAGACTTAATTTCTCTAAAGGTGAGAAGAGGCTTTTGTCCCCAGGAACTGTCCTGGACTGATGGGCATCTGCCCTCAGACTCACAGCATCTGAGATGCCCATCCTGCACCTGCAAGCCAGGTGAAAATCATGCCTCTTCTCTGATGGGGGATATGCTTCGGGATGTTCTGCTGTCCTCTGGGGTCTCCCTTTTCACTCTGTGCTTCCTCTTTGTATCTTTTAACATTTAGAGAGTTCAGTGGGCAGCACTCTCCCCAGCCCCAACCCAGAAGCAGGCACGGGACTGTAGGGAAGTTGACCTCCTGGCCCTCTCTTTACGCTAAAGCAGTCATCAGCTTCCCCTAAAGGCAAGCGGGGGAAAGCCTGAACACAGCCAGAAACAAAGAGCTCCAACACCTTAGGTCAGACGCAAACACACCCTTGAGAAGCTGCAGCTGGGTAGAAGGCATTCTCCCAGGGGCCGCTCCTCCTCTTCCTCTGCCCTCCTACCTTCTCTGCACAACACAGTTGCCCCCAAGAGCCTCAGAGTTAGGTGTGGGCCTTTGACTTCACTACCCAGTCTTGTCCAGCTTCATCAGCAGGCAGCAAGCTGTCCCTCCATAAAAACTGCACTGAACTCGCTACCATCCAGTGTCTGCATTTACTCTAAGACTAGCTCAGCATCACTCACACACACAAACACACACACACACACGAGCGTCATGAAGGCACAACCCTTTCACCCTTCCACGCACACTCCCCTGCCTAAAGATGCCTACATCTAGAACACCGCCACCAAGACATGGAGTTACATCAGAAGAGAAGGGAAAACTCTCCCGTACTGCATCCGCCTCTAAACCAAGCTTGGCCAACCCATGGCCCGCATGCAGCCCACCATGGCTTTGAATGCAGACCAACACAAATTCATAAACTTTCTTAAAACATTTTGAGATTTTTTGTGATTTTTTTTTTTTTAGCTCATCAGCTATTGTTAGTGTTGGTGTATTTTATGTGGGGCCCAAGACAATTCTTCTTCCAGTGTGGCCCAGGGAAACCAAAAGATTGGACACCCCTGCTCTAAACTGTCCCTTGATCCTGCCCGTCTTTGCATTTCCAGTCATACACTCATTCACCCTGGTTGGTCTACACCTGGGGTCTGCTGATTTTTTCTGGAAAGAGCCAGATAGTACATAAGTACATATTTTAGTCTTTGCAGGCCATATGGTCTCTGCAGCAACTACTCAGGGCTGGCATGATTGTGTGAAAGCAACCACAAACAATGCATAAATGAAAAGTATGGCTGTGTTCCACAAAAAAAAAAAAAAAAAAAAAAAACTATTTACAGACACTGACATTTGAATTTCACAGAATTTCCACATATCACAGCATATATTCTTTTGATTTTTTCAACCATTTAATAAGGTACAAACCATTCTTAGCTCTCTGGGTATACAGAAGCAGATGGCAAGCCATTGCTTTGTGATCCCTGGTCTACACCCCTGCCACCTCCCTCCTAGACTGTAGCAATGCTCTCCTACCCAGCCTTCCTGATGCCTCTCACTCCGCCTTTTAAATCCATCCCGCTCACTCCTACTCTTCCTAAAAGTTCCACTTTAATCATCTCATTCCTCTTCTAAAAATGGTCAAACACCTTGGCTGGCACTTGAAGCCCATCTCTGTAGGGCTCCAGGACACCTTTCCACCCTTGTCTCCTAACAACCTGAACTGCCGAAACCCATCCTCTTAAATTTTGCACATAAACTGAATCCATCAGGCCGGGCACGGTGGCTCATGCCTGTAATCTCAGCCCTTTGGGAGGCCATGGTGGGTGGATCACCTGAGGTCAGGAGTTCAAGACCAGCCTGGCCAACATGGTGAAAACCTGTCTCTACTAAAAACACAAAATTAGCCAAGCGTGGTGGTGGGCTCCTGTCATCCCAGCTACCTGGGAGGCTGAGGCAGGAAAATTGCTTGAATCTGGGCGGCAGAGGTTGCAGTGAGCCAAGATCGCACCATTGCACTCCAGCCTGGGAAACAGAGCAAGACTCCGCCTCAAAAAAAAAAAAAGAAAAAGAAAAAAAAAACACTGAATCCATCTTTAGCTATTTGTCCCAGATCTCTTCCTTAAAACCTTCCCTGATCACCCAGCTCCAACTTAGTCTCAATTCCTATAGCATCTGTTTATGCCATTCACTTAGCCATTGAAGGGCAGGATACAATTTGCAGGGAGATAAGTGTAAATAGATCATTCCAGTAGAATAAAATGAGTAGAATATTTGTTCACAAGGTTACAAATCGCTGGAGAACAAAGCAACCAGCTGGGGAAAAATCAGGAGAAGTCTCCTTAAAGGATTTAACCCTTGAACCAGGTCTTGAAGGTTGAATAGGGATTCATGAGCCATTATGAGGTCAGGATTTCGGAGCAGGGAAAAAGACCCATCTCAGGCTGCTCAGGCTGGAAAGATTCGTGCAAAGGCATGGGGTAGGGCCGAGGGTGAATGAGTGGGCAGGTGGCAGGATATTGGATCAGGAAGACTGTAGCACGCTCCGTAAGGCTGTCGGGGGGAGTCCTGGAATGGTGCTGAGACACAGAGTAGGCCTTCAGGAAATATGTCCTGGGACGACCATCAAAACTGGGAGGGATTCCATTTCTCATTCCTGGAAGAGTCGGTCACTCCAAGCCTCAAAAAGTCAACAAACAAGAGCATCAAAGGGTCCATGGAGGGAAATCACTGGTCTTTAATCTCCCTGTCTTCTCTTTCAGCCCACACCCACAGCTCCAAGAAGAACTGGGTGTGAGGTCTCAACAGGCCCAAGCCTCTGTTTTCTGCTATGTAACCTGCAACTCCACTTAGCCATCTTGGAAAATGTTACATACAAGTTAAGGCTTTATTTCTGTCCTAAGATCTTGTAACTAGGACAAAACAGTAAAAGTAACCTTTTTTTTTTTAAAGAAAAAAGACTTGGCCAGGCACAGTGGTTCATGCCTATAATCCTACCACTTTGGGAGGCCAAGCCAGGTGGATCACCTGAGGTCGGGAGTTCAAGACCAGCCTGACCAACATGGAGAAACCCCGTCTCTACTAAAATACAAAATTAGCCGGGCATAGTGGCCCGTGCCTGTAATCCCAGCTACTCGGGAGGCTGAGGCAGGAGAATCACTTGAACTGGGGAGGTGGAGGTTGCAGTGAGCTGAGATGGCGCCATTGCACTCCAGCCTGTACAACAAGAGCGAAACTCCATCTCAAAAACAAAAAAAGAAAAAGAAAAAGAAAAAAGAGTTGTTCTTTTCTACCAATTGTAAAATCCTTTTCATTTCTCTAAGACATCTTTTTTTTTTTTTTTGGAACTTCACTGGCTTATGTTTGATATCTTAAAGGCGCAGATATTTTGTAACCCTCCCCCTTTACCATTTAAAAGAATTATAAAAATAGAAGTCCCAAAAAAAATCTTAAATGCAACCGCCACAGGGTCTTCCATTGATGCCAATTCCTACAGGCTTCAGTGGCAAGTATGTCTGAGCTGGTGGGAGCTTTGAAGTCAACTCTTTGAAGTGAGCCTGGTACTTTCTCAATACTAAAGGAAGTAAAAATGGAAGCTAAAAAATGAGGAGAAAGAACCAAAAAAGGGAAGAAGGCCCCTTTGAACACAAGAGCTCCCTGATTTCATCCCTTATCCAGAGTAACTCCAGACCAACTTGATTCTACGTATATCAGCAAAACACTTTTTATATATGAAACAAAGAAAAGACAGTGTCATCTCCCATAAGATTATAATTTATTAAAACAAGGTAAGACAAAAAAACAAACTCTAATACAACAATGAATGTGCAAAACACCATTAGAGAAACAGAAGAGGTAAGACACCAATGCTTGGAGAGAAGCTACTACAGTCAGGCCCTGTGTAAGGTACCCCAGCCACACCAGCTCCTGGGGGTTAGGTATCCTCTGCCCCATTTTGTAAGGCACTGAGAACATAAATTGACCCACTCAAGATCACTCCCCAGGTAAACAGATGGGTGAGACTGGAACCCAGGTCAAGCCACCATGTTCTTCCTATAGGGTAATTCCAAGAGGAGAGAAAGTATACCTGGCTGGGGTAGGGGGAAGGACCATGAGAGGCTTCATGAACAAGGGGGCCTTTCAGATGGAAATGGGATGACCAGGACTTTAGCTGGGAAGGAAGAACACTCCATGCAGGAGGCTCAAACACCCAGTTCCAGGAGAGAAAACAACGGGCAGGTTGGCTGAACTGGAACTCCGGCTACATCTCAGGGAATGAGGCTGGAAAAGGAGACATGGTAGAAGGTGCGGAAAGGCAAGGTAAAATGTGGCAGAAAGCAGCAGCCACCAAGGGAAGGGACATAACATCTGGGAAGGACGTTAAGAGCCTAGCACAGGACAGGTGTGGTGGCCCACGCCTGTAATCGCAGCACTCTGGGAGGCCAAGATGGGAAGATCGCTTAAGCCCAAGAGTTCAAGACCAGCCTGAGCAACACAGTGAGAACCCATCTCCACCACACACACACACACAAAAAAAATTTAAATTAGCCAGGCATGGTGGCACTATAGTCCTAGCTACTGGGGAGGCTAAGGAAGAAGAATCACTTCAGCCCAAGAGTTCCAAGCTGCAGTGAGCTATGACTGCACCACTGCACTCCAGCCTGGGTGATAGAGTGAGACCCTGTCTCAAAAATAAATAAATAAGGCCAGGCACAGTGGCTCACACCTGTAATCCCAGCACTTTGGGAGGCCGAGGCAGGGGGATCACAAGGTCAGGAGTTCAAGACCAGCCTGGCCAACATGCTCAAAATACAAAAATTAGCTGGGCGTGGTAGCGGGCCCCTGTAATCCCAGCTACTCAGGAGGCTGAAGCAGGAAAATCACCTGAACCCAGGAGGCAGAGGTTGTAGTGAGCTGAGATCATGCCACTGCACTCCAGCGTGGGTGACAGAGTGAGACTCCATCTCAAGAACTAACTAACTAACTAACTAAATAAATAAATAATGCTAGCATGTAACTGCTAGTTGTTAACAAAGACAGAAAAATCTTGGAGGTTCAATAGTTTCCAACTATTCTTCATGTTCTCCTCCTTCAGCTGTCTCAGCTGGTATACACCCACTAGCTCCCCTGTATGCAAAGGAACCTGGCCAAACGACTGACAGCCATCACTTCCCCTTCACTGCACCTCACCTATGCTTGCTTAATGTGTAAAACCCACATAAAATTTTTGGAGGTGAGATTCTTCCATGCTGAGAGCACTGACTCCTGGCCCTAATTTGCTGAAATCTCATATTCTCATTAATTATTCCAGCAAGGGCCTTAGAATTCTCAGAATTACCTAAAAACTAGGGCACACTGCACTTTAGACAACGTTCAACATGAGAGTCAAAAAAAACTTTGAATCCCTGGCCTAAGGATTAAGGTTCAGTGTCTCCACAACCATCATGTGAACACTGAACTTCACAGTTTCACCCAAATTGCATCAGTACAATAATTGACTTTTTTCACACCAACTTTACTAACACCCCCTCTGGGTTACAGGAGAAAGGGTCTAATTAGATTAAGGCTCAGAAAGATTACACACCTTGCCCAAGTTCACAGAACTGGTGGGGAGAGAGTCTTTGCCACTCCCTAAATGATGCTGGTTTATATAATGCATCGTTGCCTAGAATCTAAATACTGTCTATTAATTTGGGTCTCATGCTGGGAAATTACAAATTCAGTCATGATATACATGATTCTTGTCAAGTAAAAGGCTCTAAATATATCCATGCACAAATTAATCCGAGGTTCCAACATGTCAATACTAAAGACAGCTGAAATAATTACTGCTGCAAAAATAAATTAGGAACACAGAATATGTAAAGATATTTAAGTTTCTCAATTTAAAGTCCTGTAAACACTTTTTTTTCTTTTTTTAGTTTTTAAAAATTACAGCCTGAGCAACGTGGTGAAACCCCATCTCTACAAAAAATATAAAAATTAGCTGGGCATGGTGGCATGTGCCTGTAGTCCCAACTACTTGGGAGGCTGAGGCAGGAGGATTACTTGAGCCCAGGAGGTCAAGGCTGCAGTGAGCCATGATCGAGCCACTGCACTCCAGCCTGGGTGACAGAGTAAGATCCTGTCTCAAAAATAGAAATATGCTACATGGCTTATAAATTATAAACTATGGTTTTTTAAAGTTTAATATGTTTTAAATATAATTTTGTCATGTAAAATATATATAAGAAAACAGCTGCAAGCTGTCTTAAATATAATACTCTAAAGATTTGCAAAGTGAATGGGTCAACTGAAAATGCAAGAAAAACCTATGAGACATTTTCAGCTACGTGGGTTTACTTTTAAATCACATATACATAGAAATTTTTTAAATAATAAACCATCACCCAGAAAAAAAGGAGAAGAGAAACTGAACTTGAAAGTGAAAAGATGTCAAATATCTTTTTTTTTTTTAAAGGAAAAACCGATCAAGGGAATTGGGAAAGGATCCTTTCACTATGAGTCCAAAAGTCCTAAGTCTGGAAATTTTCAAGTTACAGTTGATCAGTTCATACTGAAGAAGCCATAAACAGAAAATGACCTATTGGCAGCAAAGGAAAAGTGACTTGACAGTAATAGCAGTAGTCTGTGCTAGTAAACACTGTGCTAAGCACTTACAGTTATCTCTCCATCTTACAGATGAGAAAACTGAGGTAAGCAGTTCATGGGAAATGGATCAAAGGGCAGGACGATGGGTGGGAGTTTGGACTGCAGGGAGCATCTGCTAAACAAGGTCACCATCACAGCAGCTGCACCTCCGGGGATCTCAGGAGAAGCTGGACCTCATGTGGGATGCCCACATTTTAGAATAGAGACTGCCAGTAAAGGCCAGGACAGGAATGGCCAAGGCCCGCAGGGAACAGATCAGATAGCTGGGGACATTTAACCCAGAGAACATACCAAAGGAAATGAGAGAGACATACGTAGCTCCCTGTGTGTGAGCCCAGAGGAACCAAACAGAGCCAGTGGGCACAAGGTGAAGCCTGGAGACCACCCCCATCGTAAGACTGTTCTGACCAGCAGAACCACGTTAAAATGAAATGGTATCTATGAACACATATATCACTTAAATTAATTTGGACATTCAAGTACCATCATCATTTTTACTGTAGCCACAAGCCATTTATACTATTATCTATTTTTTTATTTAAATTGACCTGCATATTTTTTACTGAAATAAAATTAGCTTCACCCTATGTAATACTATCCAAGAAACCATGGGGTTTTAATGGGCTTCATTGTTTTATGGGCTTTTTCCTAATACATATTAAAATAGATGACTATTAATGTTCATCTGTGCAACATTTAAAATCATCCTGCACACCAGTAGCGCAGTATATCAACACATTCAGAAACACAGATCAAAAAGAGTCAAGAAAAACAGATCACTGGCGTTGGGAATGGACAAAAGCCAATGATCTTCTGTTTCTATGTGAACACTCCTGAATCTCTGTGCATTTCCAAATGGGTAAGATATATATTGCTATCTCTATTCAAATGATTTTTAGGATTGTTGGAAAAAATACACCCCAGTACAAAGCACAATCCCAAGGATCTAGTAGTTTGATACTTCTTGCCACCTGCCATGGTTTGAATGTCTGTCCCCTCCAAAACTCATGTTGAAATTTAATTGCCATTGTAACAGTATTAACAGATGGGATCTCAGAGAGCTGATTAGGCCATTAGGACTCCACCCTCATGGGTGGGGTTGGTGCCATTATAAAAGGGCAAGTTCAGCCCTCTTTCTTTGCCCTTCTGTACTTCTGCCATGGGATAGCACAGCAAGAAGGCCCTGGCCAGATGCTGGCACCTTGATACGAGACTTCCCAGCCTCCAGAACTGTGAACCAGTGAATTTCTGCTCACCCCTTACTCAGTCTTGGGGCTGGGCACAGTGGCTTACACCTGTAATCCCAGCAGTTTGGGAGGATGAGGTGAGTGGATCACCTGAGGTCAGGAGCTCAAGACCAGCCTGGCCAACATGGTGAAACCCCGTCTGTACAAAAATACAAAAATTAGCCAGGCATGATGGCAGGTGCCTGTAATCCCAAGTACTCAAAAGGCTGAAGCAGAAGAACCGCTTGAACCCGGGAGACGGAGGTTGCAGTGAGCCAAGATCATGCCACTGCACTCCAGCCTGGGTGACAGAGTGAGACTCTGTCTCAAAAAAAAAAAAAAAAAAAAATGGCCAGGCGTGGTAGCTCACACCTGTAATCCCAGCACTTTGGGAGGCTGAGGCAGGTAGATCATGAGGTCAAGAGATCGAGACCATCCTGGACAACATGGTGAAACCCCGTCTCTACTGAAAATACAAAAATTAGCTGGGCGTGATGCATCTGTAGTCCCAGCTACTGGAGAGGCTGAGGCAGGAGAATTGCTTGAACCCGGGAGGTGGAGGTTGCAGTGAGCCAAGATGGCGCCACTGCACTCCAGCCTGCACAACAGAGCGAGACTCCATCTCAAAAAAAAAAAAAAAAAAAGGCTGGGTGCGGTGGCTCACACCTGTAATCCCAGCACTTTGGGAGGCCGAGGCGGGAGGATCACGAGGTCGAGACCATCCTGGCTAACACGGTGAAACCCCGTCTCTACTAAAAATACAAAAAATTAGCCGGGCGTGGTGGCAGGAGCCTGTAGTCCCAGCTACTCGGGAGGCTGACACAGGAGAATGGCGTGAACCCGGGAGGCGGAGGGTGCAGTGAGCCAAGATAGCGCCACTGCACTCCAGCCTGGGCAGAAGAGTGAGACTCCATCTCAAAAAAAAAAAATTACTCAGTCTCAGGTATTCTGTTACAGCAGCAAAAGCAGACTAAGATATCACCTCTACTAATGTTTTTCACATTGTTTGATAGAAAGAGTTCAATCAATGGCCACTGTTATTATGAGCTTATTATATCTGTTCGGAACCCCATAGAATGTTCCCTGCACTGGAAGAAAAGTGAACTAGAGAGTATCTAACCCTTCTTTTCACTCATCTGTAGTTCTAGTGAACCAATAATTATGCAATCCCAGGATAACCAAGTCCCTCTACCTCTCAGAAAATAAGTAATAATATACTTTAACAGCAATTTGTACAATTATGTGACATTCAGACCAACTAAAGGTCCTATCATACAGCACTAAATTATCAACTTCCCTCTGAATTTGAAAATGTCAAAGCCATTTTTAATTAAAGAATATAAAAATAGTTCTGTCCTCCAAACAATAATGAATGATATTTGCTGTTGTTGATAAATTGCCAGAAGATAAATAATGAAGTATACTTCAATAATCCCATTTAAGAAATTTTCCACACAGAATAATACATAGAACAAAAACTCTTAGCAATGGCACGTTCACATTTAAAATCAGATCACCAGCAGGAGCAAAAACAAAAGGCCCATGGAGAAATCCCCTCGCATAAGCGTATTACTCAGGTGAATTAAACTATACTTGCTGAGGGGATTCAGGTAGTGAAATAAAAATAATTTAAATAGTGTGAGTACTACTCCACCCACACTATGGAGATGAGACTAAGCTGGGAGATCTAAATCTACTGATCTACTGAGTCCCAACCCAATTCCTGTGTGCCTTTTTTTTTTTTTTTTTTTGGAGACAGAGTCTTGCCTGTCACCCAGGCTGGAATGCAGTGGTGCAATCTCAGCTCACTGCAACCTCCGCCTCCTGCGTTCCAGCAGTTCTCCTGCCCAGCCTCCCTAGTAGCTGGGATTACAGGCGCCCACCACCACACCTGGCTAATTTTTATATTTTTAGTAGACATGGGCTTTCACCATGTTGGCCAGGCTGGTCTCGAACTCGTGACCTCAAGTGATCCACCCACCTCAGCCTCCCCAAAATGCTGGGATTACAGGCATGAGCCACCGCGCCCAGCCCCTTGTGCCATTTCTCAACATCCTCCTGGTGAGCTAACCTTTAAGGATATGGATTTTCCATACAGGTAGCCCCTAAATACCATATTTTATTGGATGCCCAACCAAAGATATGGCACTTTTTTCAACCACAAAAGGACCAACTGGCTGAGGAGAGCTTATTGAGATATGGTGAATGTTTCTCAATGTGGCAGATAAATATCACTTTTGTTCATTATATTTTGGGATGATCCAAGCAATGATTTTCACTGATGATTTTGACTAAGTATCATTTCTCCCACACCACTGACTTTTCAGGGAGAACCAACTACAAATGAGATGCAAGTCCACGACATTAGCTGTTTCCTTGAACAAGAACTTGGCATATTTAATGGTGACTTTGGTCCAAAACCAAAATAAGTATTATACAGTCAAGTTGCATTTGTTCACCATCATTGGATAACTGGCTTTCCATAAACAAATTAATTGTCAATGCAAGGCCAGGCGCAGAGGCCTGTAATCCCAGCACTTTGGGAGGCTGAGGTGGGCGGATCACGAGGTCAGGAGATCAAGACCATCCTGGCTAACATGGTGAAACCCCGTCTCTACTAAAAATACAAAAAAAATTAGCCGGGGGTGGTGGCAGGCGCCTGTAGCCCCATCTACTCGGGAGGCTGAGGCAGGAGAATGGCGTGAACCCAGGAGGCGGAGCTTGCAGTGAGCCAAGATTGCGCCATTGCACTTCAGCCTGGGCACCAGAGCGAGACTCCATCTCCAAAAAAAAAAAAAAAAAAAAATTATCAATGTAGTTTTTATCACAGCCATTTAGAACTGAGAAGATTTGGGCCAGGTGCAGTGCCTCATGCCTGTAATCTCAGCACTTTGGGAGGCCAAGGCAGGTGGATTCTTGAGGTCAGGAGTTCAAGACCAGTCTGGCCAACATGGTGAAATCCCATCTCTACTAAAAACACAAAAATTAGCTGGGCATGGTGGCAGGCGCCTGTAATCCCAGCTACTCGGGAGGCTGAGGCAGGAGAATCGCTTTATCCCGGGAGGCGGAGGTTGCAATTAGCCGAGATCACCCCACTGCACTCCAGCCTAGGCATCAGAGCGAGACTCCATCTGAAAAAAAAAAAAAAGAACATTTGAAAATGGGTACACATCTTATTCTTAACTGGTGTCACCTTCTTTGCATCTCCTAGGGTGATTTCAAGGTTGGATTCAAAGATCACTTCCTCTCCAGAGCTGTCCTGGAATTCTCCCTGGGGCAGATTTGGAATGTCAAGGAACATAAAAATAAGAGTATCAGCAGACATCAGGATATACCAGGCTGTGTGCAAAGGCAGTTTCCATGCCTTTTCTCATTTAATCTTCACAAGAGACCTCTGAGTGTAGAACTTACTTGATCTACATTTCACACATGAGCAAAGTGAGGATTAGGGAGGAGAGGGACCCAGCCCATGCTCCTGGAGAAAGTAAGGGCAGGGCCAGATTCCGTGCATGGACCATCCTGGCTCTGTGTTCCTCTGCCTGAGCTCGCTCTTCTATCTTAAAATGGATCACGTGAGCTCTTGCCGTCACTACAGTGCAAACTCCCTACAGCCAAGGTCCATGTCTGTATTAGTCTGTTCTCATGCTGCAAATGAAGACATACCTGAGACTGGGTAATTTATAAAGGAAAGAGGCTTAATTGACTCACAGTTCCACATGGCTGGCGAGGCCTCACAATCACGGTGGAAGGGGAAGGAGGCGCAAAGTCACATCTTACATGGTGGCAGGCAAGAGGGCTTGTGCAGGGGAACTCCCATTTATAAAACCATCAGCTCTCGTGAGACTTATTCACTACCACCAGAATAGTATGGGAGAAACCACCCCCCCATTCAATTATCTCCACCTGGTCCCACCCTTGAAACATGGGGATTACAATTCAAGGTGAAATTTAGGTGGGGACACAGCCAAACCATAGCAATGTCTTTTCATCTACCCATTCCCAGCAACCTGCACAGTTCCTGACCTATACCAGCTGATTTTAAAATGTTCATTCAGTGTTCCCGCTGCCTAAAGCAGGCCATTCATTCAGTCAATAAATCAATCAATCTAGCCATCGCTAACATGTCTATCTCAGCCCTGTTGCCTCTCCAAATGAGGAATAAAAGAAATGATGGAAATCTGTATGTATTACACTGTGTCATCTTCCTAAACTGAGTACTCTGAATGTAATATTGCCCTGATCTCCTAAGCAGGCCCAGTCATATAATTAGCAGACTGTTCATATTGGGCTGGATTAATATTTTTCGGGGCCTATTGAGACATGGGCCTTCTGTATTCTCATTAGAAACTAAGCCCGTCCCCAAGGGCTATGGAGGTGTTGGAGCGCACGCCTCCCCTTTTTTCAGTTTCTCCTATCCTATTTCCACCCTATCATAGCTTTTTGCAGGCCTCTCCTATTCCTTCTAATATCCTGCTTATCTAGATAGGAGACTAGAAGAACTGCACTTGTTGGACCAATCTGTAAAACATGAATGAAAAGACTGTCCTCTGAGAAAAACAAGAAGGCATGCTTTGGGGAACTTCTATTCTCCTTGCTTGTTCGGGTTTCTTTTTCCTGTGGTTTGCCTCTTGGTGCAGAGCAGTGGTTTGGATAATTGCTGTTGCCTGGCCTGTCAAATCCAGGGGGAAAGAAAAAGAACACTTCCTAGGATAAGACTCTCTTCTCTTTCAAATTTCCAAATAAATTCACAGTCAGAGGGCCCTTCCCTGCCTAAGAAAGTCTGAAACTTTCTTTCCTGGACAATAGTCTGTAAAGAGTGAAAGCACATCCTATCTCCAGGTCCTACCAGGGGACCTCCGAGGAGGGACTTTGAAAGTGCAAGCAAGTCTGGCATTGAGGAAGTCATCCGCACCATTGGCAGCGGCATTGCTTTCCTTTCCTTCCCCCCATTGTCCGCAGAATGGTGTCTCCTCCAGGCCGGTGAGGAAGGTTCCAGGCCGGAGGCTCTGTAATTGCTCTGGTGGAGGGAAGGGGTGAGTTTGATCACAGGAAAGGGACTCCTTTCCAGGAGGCCTCCTAATCCCTTCTCTCTCCAGAGGAGAGAAAAAAGGAAGGGGCGGGGTTGGGGACAGACTCCTTCTACTTCCTTCTTTTCTGTATTCCCCACTGCAGGTTTCAGATTTTCTAAACCAAAACTGAAGATTTGCATTATTCTGTCTGTGTCCAAAGTTAATTCCCTTTTTCATTGAAACTCTGGGAGGTACCCACAATCATTATTTAATCGTGACTCATTTAACCATTTAATTGTGACCCTGGAAGGTGTCCACAACTTCATGGAAAACCATTTGTCAAGAATACGACTGGAAGGCTGGGGGCGGTGGCTCACGCCTGTAATCCCAGCACTTTGGGAGGCCGAGGCAGGCGGATCACCTGAGGTCAGGAGTTCCAGATGAGCCTGGCCAACATGGTGAAACACCATCTCTACTACAAATAAAAAAATTAGTTGGACATAGTGGCTCAAGCCTGTAATCCTAGCTACTTGGGAGGCTGAGGCAGGAGAATTGCTTGAACCTGGGAGGCGGAGGTTGCAGTGAGCCAAGATGGCACCACCGCACTCCAGCCTGGGCGACACAGCGAGACTCAGTCTCAATAATAATAATAATAATAATAATAATAATAATAATAATAATAATAATACGACTGGATAATTCCTATAAAACCAGCCCCTGACTAGTTTCCCAGGAAACAGTCACAGTGGAGAGGGGAGATCTGGATTCGACTCAGGCTCTTCTGTTGCACCACCCTGTGCCCTGGGGCTGACTTAACTCCTGAACCTCAGCCCACTGCCTGCAGAGCAATGGCGGGGACCCATTAGGGTAACTACATATTTATGATACTTAATGTATAAAATACACAAGCTTTCCAAGTGGAAAGTCTTCGAGGACATCCCTTGTGTTTACACTCATCCCTGAAGAGTTACTTCAGTCTATCTCAGAGCACTGGAGGAGGAGTGGGGATTCTCACTTTTTGCTTTTATGCATCTACATTATTTAAGTACTTGCTGCAATACGCATTACTTTGGTTTTTTTTGTTATTGCTTTGTTTTGACAGGGTCTCACTCTGCCACCCAGGCTAGAGTGCAGTGGCATGACTATAGAGCTCACTGCAGTCTCAAATTTCTGGACTCAAACTATCCTCTTCCCCAGCCTCCTAAGTAGCTGGGACTACAGGTGCACACCACCGTGCCCAGCTATGTATTACTTTTGAATTTAAGAGAAGGGTTTTCATGTTTCAAAAACAAGTCAAGAGTGACAATTCCTTATCCTGCTCAATAACATGAAGGCCAGCATGGTATAGTGGTTAAACACCAGGATTCTGAAGTTCAGCTGCCTGGGTTCAAATCCCAGACCTCACTTGGCAAATGCCTAGCCTCAGGAGTGTCATTCCACTTCTCTCTGCCTTCTTCTCTCCACCCTGTAACAGGGGTGACAATAACACAATGGATGGTTGGGGTGGGTTAGTAAGGTAATGTGTATAACATTCTTAGAACAGACCTGGCATAGTAAGCACCCCATAGGGTCTACCTCGGTATCATCTATAAACATTACTTATAAGTAAAACAATGCATGAAAAGGGCTTTGTAACCTATACTATGCCACACAAATAGGTCACCACAGAGAAAGACACTTACTTTTAAAAGTTTTTTAATCTAACAGAGGATATACAATTTACAAACAGGAAAAAGACTTACAGATGTTTCTAGAACATGTAAACGTGAATCTGTGTAATGGGAAAACACTGAGGGGTACCCCAGGTGGGGGAATGAAGACAAGAAGAAGGCAGATTTCGGCATGGGGTCCTGGGAGAGCCACCGCCTCCCAGGAATGACACACACTGAGCGGGCTTAGAGGAGGGAGGACTCAGAAACCAAAGCAGTTGGCCAGGCGCAGTGACTCACATCTGTAATCCCATCACTTTGGGAGGCAGAGGCAGGCAGATCACCTGAGGTCGGGAGTTCGAGACCAGCCTGACCAACATGGAGAAACCGCTTTTCCACTAAAAATACAAAATTAGCCAGGCATGGTGGTGCATGCCTGTAGTCCCAGCTACTCGGGAGGCTGAGGCAGGAGAATCGTTTGAACCTGGGAAGAAGAGGTTGCAGTAAGATGAGATCGCACCATTGCACTCCAGCCTGGGCAACAAGAGTGAAGCTCTGTCTCAAAAAAAAAAAAAAAAAAAAAAAAAAAGGTAGTTGAGGAAAACAGGTCTCAGCCCCACTGGTGCTGTGGAGAACCTCTTCCTTCAGTTTCCCTATTAAATTTGCAGCTCAGAGCCGGGCGCAGTGGCTCACGCCTGTAATCCTAGCACTTTGGAAGGTCAAGGTGGGTGAATCACCTGAGGTCAGGAGTTCGAGACCATCCTGACCAACATGGCAAAACCCTGTCTCTACTAAAAATACAAAAATTAGATGGGCGAGACTCAGTTCTCGGGCCCGTGGTGGGCGCCTGTAATCCCAGCTACTCAGGAGGCTGAGGCAGGAGAATTGCTTGAACCCAGGAGGCGGTGGTTGCAGTGAACTGAGATCTCACCACTGCACTCTAGCCTGGGCGACAGAGTAAGACTCTGTCTCTAAATAAATAAATAAATAAATACATTTGCAGCTCGGGCTTCGTAGTGGGCTTCATTCCTCACTCCTTGCTCAGCAGGAAAACATGCTGAGGATTCTCAGGGAGCAGGAAAGGCTCGGGCAGACTCTGCCTAAACAGGCAATGCCCAAGTTCAGCCCATGGTGAGCTGACCCTGCAGCTCCGACTGCTGCTGGGCTGCTGCCCGGTGTCAGCCCAGCTGTTCGGACCCTGCTGTATCCTCTCCCCACAAAAGGTCCAGCCCTTCTCACTTTCTGAACCAACCTAGCCCTTAGGAGAAGAGACCTTCAGGTCCTTAAGGAAGGGCCATGACAAAGCCAGGGTTCAAGGGCCTTCACCACCTTCCCTGACTCACAAAATTATACATGAAGAAGAAACAGGACCCATTTGATGCACAGTTAAAATGAGGGTAGAGGGGTGGGGAAAAGAGCCCGTGTACTTTGGAGACCCTGCCCCACATAAAAACTAAAAACAGAAGGAAACACAAGCTGGGAGCAGCACTTAAAGGCCTAAAAAATGATTAAGTCACCTCTAAAACGAAACAACTTTAGGCACCCACTTGAGAGCTGGACTTTGAAGAAGCAGAAAATCAACTCTCAGGCAGAAAAAAAAAATCACTGAGAATCAAAACTAAAGCCAAAATATGAGCTCTTTTTAAAAACACACACACACACACACACACACACATAAGCTGAGAACTTTCTACAACAAATGCCAGATTTTAGCTTGGGAGAAAAACAGAAGCCTTTGGATAAAATAAACAGAAGGGCGAAAAAGTTCCCCTCACATAAACCAAGGGGAACCTCCTTCCCCAGATCAAGTTCTGACCTTTATGTGAACTCAAAATAACTAGCTCATGATTTCACAAAGCAAAAGGAATGGCAAGCATTTTGAATGATGCTAAAAATCTTAGTTCTTCTCTGGCTTTTTGTTAGGCAGCCAAGTGTATCAGTCAGAGCAAAAGTAGCCTAAAAATGTGCACTTCCCTCTCTGGGAAAGACTGGTGAGGCCATCACAAACGGCCACCCCCCAGCAGCCTGTTGGGACACTGCCCATATATGTGAAAACCAGAATTTTTAATGAGAACTGAGCAGGGAAGGCCAATTACCTTTCATTCATTCATTCATTCAACAAATATTTACTGACTACCTACTATGTGCCAGTCACTATTTTAGAGCAGTGCGAGAAAGAGACCAAAACCCTCCTTTTCAGGAGATAACCTCTCCAAAGTTAGGGGTTTTTTCTTTTGTTCTTGTTGTTCTTGTTGTTGTTGTTTTTGAGATGGAGTCTTGCTCTGTTGCCCAGCCTGGAGTGCATTGGTGCAATCTCAGCTCACTGCAACCTCCACCTCCCAAATTCAAGCGATTCTCCTGCCTCAGCCTCCCAAGTAGCTGGGATTACAGACGTGTGCCACCACGCCCAGCTAATTTTTATATTTTTAATAGAGACAAGGTTTCACCACATTGGCCAGGCTGGTCTCAAACTCCCGACCTCAGGTGATCCACCCACCTCGGCCTCCCAAAGTGCTGGGATTACAGGCATGAGCCACTGCATCCAGATCAAAGTTGGGTTTTGAAATATAGGCATCAGTTCTCTTTTTTAACAACTAAATGGACATCTAAGATATTCCCTGACACCCTCATTCATACAAATCTGCTCTTACCTTGCTCCTGCTTCTGCATAGCTAGTAGTCTGGAATGCATGACAACTCTACTGCCCCTGCCTCTATCCAGGCAGAGACAAAGATAACCTGCCCAGGAACAAATCTTAGCCCCAGGCTGATAAAGAATAGCTCTACCTAAGTATGCACCTGTTGGAAAAGTTGGCAGGGAGGGGATGATTAAATGGGAGAATATGAGAAAGTGCTTCAGAAACAAAGCTGTCCAAGGGCAAAGCAGTCTTCTTGTTCGATCTCTCTTCCTTGACGCTGCTCCAGCACCTTGTCCAACCTCGTAGGCAATTTTCTATCTCCACATTGACAAGGAGACAAACAGTTGCTCAATTACCTGCCAATGTTGTTGATAATGAGATAATGATCCTTTAACAATAACAACAAAAGAACAACAAGCACTGTTTTTTTTGGTTTTTTTTTTGAGATGGAGTCTCGCTCTGTCGCCCAGGCTGGAGTGCAGTGGCATGATCTCAGCTCACTGCAAGCTCCGCCTCCTGGGTTCACGCCATTCTCCTGCCTCAGCCTCCCAAGTAGCTGGTACTACAGGCGCCCGCCACTACGCCCAGCTAATTATTTGTATTTTTAGTAGAGACGGGGTTTCACCGTTTTAGCCAGGATGGTCTCGATCTCCTGACCTCATGATCCGCCCGCCTCGGCCTCCCAAAGTGCTGGGATTACAGGCATGAGCCACCGCGCCTGGCCTGCCAGGCACTTTTTTAAGAAACCTAGAAGTTTGGCCGGGCATGGTAGTTCATGCCTGTAGTCCCAGCACTTTGTGAGGCCGAGGCAGGCAGATCACTTGAGTCCAGGAGTTAGAAACCAGCCTGGGAAACATAGCAAAACCCACCAAAAAAAAAAAAAATTAGCCAGGCATGGTGGTGTATGTCTGTAGTCCTAGCTACTCAGGAGGCTGAGGTGGGGGGATCGTTTGAGCCCAAGGGCTGAGCCAAGATCACACCACTGCACTCCAGTCTGGGCAACAGGGTGAGATCCTGACTCAAAAGAAAAAAAAAAAAAAAAAAAACTATAAGTTGGTGCCATTATGATCCCAATTTTACAGAGATGAGAAGACCAAGATAAAGAAAGTTAAGGAACATGTCCAAAGTCACACAACATGGAGTTGTTGTGTGAACATAAAGCATTCGGCCCTTAGTAATAAGTAGGGGGGGTATTTTTCCCCAATAATAAGTCCTCCTGAAGCAGGCAGCCCACCCAGGACACTTGCAGCCTCTCAAGGCCCCTCTGGGGTGGGACTCGCACCTGTGTGAGAGGTACATAACAGAGAGGTGGTGAGAGCAAATGCTGGTGCCAGGATCCCAGCTCTGTACTTAGTGTGTGGCCTGAACAGGTCAGGTGCCTTTCCTCAGACTGTTTCCTCATCCACCGAACAGAGATCATGATAGTATCTCCCTTACAGGATTACTGTGCATGACACAGCACTGCCTGTGTTACTATCAGCAGCAGCAGAACCATTACTGCAGCACCTCTGAGCACAGCATCCACACCCCAGTCATGCCAGAGTCAATCCCCCATAGAGGGCTTTTCCAGGAGCCCCACCGGTGACAACAGCCTGCAATCATTTGCCAACACAGGGTCAGGTGGCCACTCCTATGTGTGCGTGAAACTGAGAAGCAGGCTTGTGTTAGAAAGGAGAAGAGGGCCAGGCACAGTGGCTCATGCCTGTAATCCCAGCATTTTGGGAGGCCGAGGTAGGCGGATCACCTGAGGTCAGGAGTTCGAGATCAGACTGGCCAACATAGTGAAATCCTGTCTCTACTAAAAATACAAAATTAGCCAGGTGTGGTGGTACATGCCTGTAATCCCAGCTACTTGGGAGGCTGAGGCAGAAGAATCGCTTGAACGATTGATAGCGCCATTGCACTCCAGCCTGGGCAACAAGAGCAAAACTCCGTCTCCAAAAAAAAGAAAGAAAGGAGAAGAAGAGATTGAGATTAAGAGGAAGCCAGTAGTGTCCGCCATGGTGGCAGAGCCAGGACTGGTCCCCAAGCAGCACACTGCACACAAGAGCAATTTGGGGGCAGCCTGAGCAGGTAGCAGCCTCTGCACCCTCAAAGGAACAAAGTCTCAGCCCCAGGAACAAATCTCAGCCCCTTCAGAGGCCCGCTAAGAAGCCACCTATCACACAGGACTTGAAAGCCATGCATTATTCTGAAAGAGTAGAGATGAGGAAGAAAAGCAGGCTAGAAGCTGGAGCTGGGGGATCCTGGCTGCTCAAAGGAAGCAGATCCCCTAATCAATCTCTACAATAACAAATTCGTTGAGGTGATGGTTCTAATAGAAACACTAAACAACCTAGAAGCTTCTTCCAAGCTTACTAAAATTAACAGGAGCCCCTAAAAGAATCTGCCATTACCTCACTGGCTTCCGACTTCTTCAATCAAACCTGCATCTTTCCAACTGTGCGTGTGGGTAGAGCAAATGCTTGTTTTTGGAACACACTGGTTTATTTTGTTGTTTGTGTGGCAACATGAGTTTGGATCTTTAGAAAAAAAAAACAGCTTCTGTTTCTATAAGTTATAGAAACGTGGCAGCTCAAGAGAGCTAGTCTTTGTTTACAGTACACCATCCACACTTTAATGGAAAAGAGAGTTTTCCTGGAGTTTGCTTCCTGGCTAAAAACAGGACATCTCGAAAACATTTTTCAAAAAATAAAATTGCATTCAAATATTATTTCGTCAATCTACCTCTTGAATTCTCAGTAACCATAGCCCCCAATCACTTTAAATTTTACTAATGGCAAAAATCTACTTTATAGACCTAGAGGGGAAAAAATAGGCATATCTTCACTTTCGAAAGTGTGATGTATTACAGTTAATCCGAACAGCAAGCTAATTGGGGGCCAATCACTCCGTTTACCAGGGGAGTTCACTTAACAAAACCTCCCTTCCACAGAGGCTTCCCAGAACCCCTTTTCCATAGAGCGCCCCATTCACCATGCTCAAAGTTCCCTTATAGCTTCAATCAAACAGGTTATGATGATTCCTTAATGCAATTCGGGTTTGAATCCGGCAGCAGCAGGTATGGTGGGTAAGAGCACAGATTCTTGAAGCCAAGACCCATGGCTCAGCTTCACCACCTGCTAGGTGTGACCTTGGGTCAATTACTTATCCTTTCTTTGCCTCACCTGTAAATCAGACTTGATAACTAACAGTAGCTACCTCATCAGGCGGCTGGGAGGAAGCATTTGGCACAGTACTTGTCCCAGAGTAAGACCTATGGAAGTGTGCACTACCTTGTCACCTAGGAGACCATAACCCTGTGAGGGCAGGAATGATGTGTCTTGCTCCTGCTCTATCCCAGGTGCACAGAGCACAACCTTCAGTATTTGTTACAGGACCATATTCTGTTCCTACTCTGTGCCAGACACTGTCTTAAGTGCTGAAGATGCATCAGTCAACTAACAGACCAGCATCCCCCTGTAGCCTCCATTCTAATTCAGGGAGGGGCAGTGTCATATATTAGAGCCAGAGCTATGGGTAAAAAGCAGAGCAGCCAGGCGCAGTGGCTCACGCCTGTAATCCCAGCACTTTGGGAGGCCAAGGCAGGTGGATCACCTGAGGTCAGGAGTTCCAGACCAGCCTGGCCAACATGATGAAACCCCACCTCTACTAAAAATACAAAAAATTAGCCGGATGTGGTGGCGGGCACCTGTGTTCTAGCTACTCGGGAGGCTGAGGCAGGAGAATTGCTTGAACCCGGGAGGCAGAGGTTGCAGTGAGCTGAGATCACGCCATTGCTCTACAGCCTGGGCAATGGACAGAGTGAGACTCTGCCTCAAAAAAAAAAAAAAAAAAAAAAAAAAGGCACAGCACAGTAGGGAGCGATCAGGAGTACTGATCGGGAGGAGCTATTATAAAACAGCTGATCAGGGCCGGCCTCTCTGTAGGGTGGAAGAAGTGGGGAGAGCCCCACGTTGTGCCTGGGAAGAAGGCCCATGCAAAGCCCAGAGGCAGGCATGAACGTGACGTGTTCTAGAAACTACCAGGGCCAGTGTGGCTCTGCAGAGGGGGCAGAGGAGGCACAAAATGAAGAGGCCAGGGAGCTGCCGGGGGCAGATCGTACAGGCCTTTGGGAGGATCTTGCCTTTTCCCCTCGGCGTGCCAGGGAATCACTGCGGGGCTTTGAGCAGAGGAGCAACATGATCTGACTTCAGTTTTTAAAAAAGATAATTCTGGTGGCCTCATAGAAATAGACTGAAGAGGGACAAGGGCAGAAGTGGGGAGACCAGGAAGAGAGCCCCGCACTAATCCAGGTGAGAGACGATGGTGGCTTGGACCAGAGCGGTGGCTGGGGAGAGGTGAGAAGTAGTAAGGTTCTGGGTTTGCTTTGAAGATTGAACCCACAGACTGGCAGATGGACTGAATATGAGGTTTGAGAGTCAGGAGTCAAGGAAGACCCAAGGCTGGGTAAAGTGGCTCACACCCGTAATCCTAGCACTTTAGCAGGCCAAGGCAGGAGGATCGCTTGAGGCCAGGAGTTCTCAAGACCAACCTGGGCAACATAGCGAGATCCCATCTCTACCAAAAAAAAAATTGTTTTAATTAGATGAGTGTGATGGTACACATCTGTAGTCCCAGCTATTCAGGAGGTGGAGGCAGGAGGATTGCTTGAGCCCAAGAGGTCAAGGTGCAGTGAGCTATGATCACACCACTGCACACCAGAGACCCTGTCTCTTTTGGTTTTGGTTTTGTTTTAAAAAAAGGCTGGGTGTGGTAGCTCATGCCTGTAATCCTAGCACTTTGGGAGTCAGAGGCAGGTGGGTCACTTGAGGCCAGTAGTTGAAGACCAGCCTGGTCAACATGGTGAAAGCCTATCTCTACTAAAAATACAAAAATTAGCCAGGCATGGTGGCACATGCCTGTAATCCCAGCTACTCGGGAGGCTGAGGCAGGAGAATCACTTGAACCCGGGAGGCGGAGGCTGCAGCGAGCCGAGATCGTGCCATTGCACTCCAGCCTGGGTGACAGAGCAAGACTTGGTCTCAAAAGAAAAAAAAAAAAAGGCAGGAAGACCCAAAAGTTTTGGGTGTGATCACCTAAAAGGATGAAGCAGTCATGAACTGTGGTGAAGAAAACTGGCTAGAACCATTGGCAGAAGTAGTTTCTTGTTTTGTGGGTGTTTTGCTGGGGTGTTGGGGAGCTTTCTTTAATAGTCATTGTGATCAATATGCTTCTTCCCTACGTCTGGCTTCCAAAAGGAAAGTTTTTTTTCCCTCAAAACTCCAGGCTCCCATCTGCCCCTCCACACAGTTCTCCCCCAGGGCTCAGGAGTGATTTCTCTCACTCAGGTGGTCTGTTCTTCCACCTAGAAGTATTATGGGGGCTACCGCTGCCACCACCTCCACCACCTGCCTCGACCCACGTGAGAAGGCCTCTGGGTACCCAAGGCTGCCCGTGACTGGCCTGGTACATCCACCTAATCTCAGCTTCATATCAGAAAGCTAATGCTGCCCCACAACTAAGCTGCATTCTCCAAGACTGTATCAGGAGTAAAGGTGATATTCTCATCTCCACCTTCTTTACACTGTGCCTCTCTTAAGTGGTTCCGAAATCTGAAAAACAGGTGTGCTGTTTAAACTCCAATCATAAGCACCTCAGGACATTTAAAAGAACAACTAACGTTTACCCAGAGCTTTTATTAGCCCACTGGAACTTCCTAATAACCTAACACAGTCAGTTAATTAGCAAATGATGCCTAAGCACCTATTATTAAGCACTCACAGCCGCGCACCACACCAGGCAATGGGGGGCGGTCTGTATCATTAGCACCATTTTACAGTTGGGAAGGCAATCAGAGTCAGTCACTCTGCGGTAGGCCACACCACCAGGACACGGCATGCAAGCGTGCCACCCAGGTCTTCTGACTCTAAAGTCCCTGCTCTTTTCATATTTATGAGCTGGGTTACCTTGGGCAAGTTACTTAACCTCTCTGTGCCTGAGTTTTGTTTTGTTTTGTTTTGAGACAGAGTTTCGCTCTTGTCGCCCAGAATGGAGTGCTATAGCACAATCTCGGCTCACTGCAACCTCCTCCTCCCGGAGTCAAGCGATTCTCCTGCCTCTGTCTCCTGAGTAGCTGGGATTATAGGCATGCACCACTACACCCAGCTAATTCTTTTGTATTTTAGTAGAGACGGGGTTTCACCATTTTGGCCAGGCTAGTCTCGAACTCCTGACCTCAGATGATCCGCCTACCTCGGCCTCCCAAAGTGCTGGGATTACGGGCATGAGCCACCACACCTGGCTGCCGAGTTTTAGCATCTGTAAAACAGAGATTAGAACAGCACCTACCTTATCGCTTTATTGTGAGGGTTAAATGAGCTAAGTGATGCAAAGTACTTGGAAGAATAGCTGAGGTAGTAAGCACTCAGTGAAACTGTCACCATCATCATTATTAGTGCCACGCCAAACTGCCGCTCTAATAGTTAAGATAATAGCTGCCATTACTAAACATTGTGACAAGAACTGTATACTAAATGCTTTACACGCAACAACTCACTGAAACCTTACAACAATCTGAGTTTTTGTACCTATTTTACACTCAGGAATCTGACGCTCAGAGAGTGAGGTCAAGTAAACTGGTGAGAGCTCACACAACTAAGAGGGATCAAAGTCAGGATCTGAACTAGGGTCTTATGGATTATCTGGCTGAAACGTATTTACTGCATCAAGTAAAGCAATTATGTGTGCGTCTAACTTCTATTCAGATGTTAAAAATGCATACAGAATCAAGGGCACCTCCTTGATAAACAAAGCTGCTTTTGAGGCACCTTCGCCCAAAAGTACAAAAGAGGAAAAAAGCTCCACAATGCGTGTTAACTTTATCCACAGTGTGTGATACTAATCATCCCAGACCACATCCTACACGCACCACAACCTGAAAACCCACTTCCTCCCCAGAACACACCCCAGGGAGCACAAAAGTCAACATTCAGCTCCGGCTTCTCTGAGAACACCTTGTATATTGACCTATGCATGCCAGCAAGTAACCGAGCTGGAAAAAACATTCTCCCAAAGCCTGGAAAGGGATCAGAGTGCTTTGGGTTGAAATGCATCGCGTTTTCAGCACTGCTTATTGCTCCCAGCACTCGCAGAGCTGAGCCAAGCAAGCTAGCAGCGTCCTGCTGGATCCTGAGGTCAGTGACCAGAACGAGAGACAGGCTAGCCCAGTGGCCTTTTCTGGACCCAACTTCAGGGATCTACCTTCCTCACCTGACCCTGAAGCCCCAGGGTGGAATGGGACCCTCGTGCCCCCAGGACTGCACAGGGATGTCTGTCAGTATGCCTTGGAAGCTAGCCTGCCTTAAAGTATGGAACCTAGAGACGCTTCTGAGAATGTGGAGTAGAGGGTGGCACTGCTCTTCACTTGTCAGTCATAAGACCAGCCCTCAAGGCCAGAACTTACCAGAAACATAGAGAGGATATGACTGTCACACTGGTGGAGGTGAGGAGGAAAGAGGCCAAGAATGAAAAGCAAAAGGTTGACTGGATGTTAACCTCAGAGATCTGGCGGGAGATTTGGGGCCTTTCAGACCCCAAGGATTACTGTTGCATCAAAAGTTCCCATGCTTGCAGGCATTCAGCCAGGCAAAAATGCAGCCTGCTGCCACCAAAAGAATCCATATTCCCTGAATGCATGGTGAGTCCTGGCCACTTTGGAGGGTCATCTTTTGAGGGCCTACCATGTGCCAGGCACCATGCTAGGGGCTTTATTTATTTTTTTTTTATTTAGAGATGGGATCTCACTGCATCACCCAAACTGGAGTGCAGTGGCGCAATCACAGCTCATTGCAGTCTCAACCTCCCTGGCTCAAGTAATCCTCTCACCTTAGCCACCCAAGTAGCTGGGATTACAAGCATGCACCACTATGCCTGGCTAATTTTTGCATGTTTTATAGAGACAGGGTTTCACCATGTTTGCCCAGGCTGGTCTTGAACTCCTAGACTCAAGCAATCTGCCTGCCTCAGGCTCCCAAAGTGCTGGGATTACAGGCGTGAGCCACCATGCCTGGCTGCCAGCGGCTTTATATACCCCCCTTCAGTTACTCCTTCCAAACACCCTGTGAGAATGGGGACTGGCCCTTTAAAAAAAAAAAAAAGAAAGAAAGGAAAAAAATGAGGAAATTAACACTCAGAGGAGTTAAATAACTTGTTCTCATATAAAACAGACTCCGTGGTAGGACAGAATTAAAACCTACTCTAACTTACAGCTCATGCTCAACTTTTTTTCATAAAAGGGAATCCCGGGGGCCACACTGTGAGAGGCCTGGCGTACATCAGGGACTACAAGTCCGTGGGCAAGACCACAGAGAGGGCAAACAAGCGGTGAAATGAAATGAGACAGGAATCAGAAGATGATGTGCTTCTAACTAGGTGGGCAAGTCACTTCACCTTTCCAAGTCTGTTTCCTCACCTGAGAGATGGAGCCAATCTAAGAAGATAACGCAGACAAACTACTTGGCACATAAGAGGAGCTAAGATGTCATTTCTCTCAATGTGACTTCTTACAAACATAGACAAGATGACCTCTCCTTCATAGAGTTTCTGTGAGAGCAGAGGGCCTGAAGGGCAGAAACTTCCTGGTAAACTCTAATTTGCTATATAAGAGGTTGCACAATGGGGCCCCCTGTCCAAGTCTAGCCCCAGACATGTTTTGTTTGGCCATATATATTTTGTGAACTAGGGCCGGGCGCCATGGCTCACGCCTGTAATCCCAGCACTTTGGGAGGCCAAGGCGGGCAAATCACCTGAGGTCAGGTGTTCAAGACCAGCCTGGCCAACATGGTGAAACCCCCATCTCAACTAAATATACAAAAATTAGCCAGGCGTGGTGGCAGGCACCTGTAATCCCAGCTACTCGGGAGGCTGAGCCAGGAGAACTACTTGAACCTAGAAGGCAGAGGCTGCAGTGAGCTGAGATCATGCCACTGCACTCCAGACTGGGCGACAAGAGTGAAACTTCGTCTCAAAAAAAAAAAAAAAAAAAGAACGAGGTGCCAGAATTTAAACAACAGAATATTTCTCATAAAAATATAATTTCCTGGCCAGGCACGGTGGCTCATGCCTGTAATCCCAGCCCTTTGGGAGGTCAAGGTGGGCGGATCATGAGGTCAGGAGTTCGACACCAGCCTGGCCAACATGGTGAAACCCTGCCTCTACTAAAAGTACAAAAATTATCCAGGCATGGTGGCACACACCTGTAATCCCAGCTGCTTGGGAGGCTGAGGCAGGAGAAGCGCTTGAACCTGGGAGGCAGAGGTTGCAATGAGCCAAGATCACACCACTGCACTCCAGCCTGGGCAACACAGCAAGACTGTCTCTCAAAAATATATATATATAGTTTTATATATATATAAATTATATATATAAAATATATAATATTATATTTGACCTCTCCTTCAGAGTTTCCGTGAAGTTATATATATATTTTATATATATTTTTTATATATTATATATAATATATAGTATATAATATATAATATATATTTTATACATATATATTTATATATATTATATATCATATATTTTTATATATATTTTATATATATTATATTTTTATATATTTATATATAATATATAATATATTAATATATAATATATATTATATATTTATATATTTTATATATTTTTATATATTTATATATTTATATAATATATTATATATATTATATAAATATATTATATATAATATATTTAATATATTATATATAATATATTTATATATTTTTATATATATTTATATATTTTTATATATATAATATATATTTATTTTTATATATTTATATATTTATATATAATATATTTTATATATATTATATAAATTTTTTATATTTCCTGCTTCTGTTGGAGGGGAAAAAAAAAAACAATATCTGGAAACACAGAGCCACATTCTCACATGACAGTAAGGGCTGGCGATGAGTGGTGGCCACCTTTCAGAGGACATGACCCCTCCAACTCCACACCAGGGTCCTCAGCATGCTTCCCTCATCTCTGTGGCTGCCAGGCCCCTAGCGGCTGGTGGCCCACGTACTGCATAGTGAGGTGGTGGAGAGGGCACAGCTGCTCAGCCATTACTAGTTTCTCCATTTCTGCCAAGTGTTTATTGCACTGTAAGATTTTTGGTACTACTTCCCTGTTACCCAGGGATGCATGAAGGACATGTATTAATGGCGGTAAGGTAGGGTCAGCCCTTTTGGGCAAATAAGCTTGACACTCCCCCAAGCTCTTCTCTGTACCCTGCGTTTATCTGTCCCATCCTTTGAGATCTGGTTTCCCACTGATTAAGTTGCTCCCCTTAAAAGTATCAATGAAGAAACACAAACCCATGAGATCTCTGGTCTCGCCTGGCTTCAGAGGCACCCCCAACCACCCAGAGAGCAAAAGCCTTTGTCAAGCAAGGTGGAAATGCCTGCCCTGCTTTCACAGCTCTGGCACTAACCCAAGGCTGGAATGTTGAGGGCCTGCATTCCAGGCTAAAGCAAGGAGCGGGTGAGGCCACCCCTGGGCTCCAGAGGATGTCCAGGATCTCCTGAAGTCCTGGCAAGGAAAAGATCTTGATTAACGAGGGAGAGGCAATGCCTGCTGCAAGGGAACCACACTTGCACATTTCAAGAGCCTGAAAAGCATCCATCTATGCTCCCAGCACAAACTCACAGTTGAATCATGCCTCTACTATGTTCACAGACCAAACATACACACTGAGCTGGATGTCACTGTAGACGGGCTAGCTCACATCTTTCCAAAAATTCTAAATTTAGCCCCATCCTGACGGGATCCAGGGGTAAACCTACAGGCAATTCTAGACACTAGAAAGAAAGTGCAGAAGAAGACAAAACTCTGCCCTCAAGAAGCTTAGACACTTCACCTTCATACTGGGTTAAGCACCATCGCCATCATCATCATCATCGATCTTTATTGTCACTATCATCACTGTTACCAAGGCACTAACGTTCACCAAGTGTTCACTGTGTCCCAGGTTGCATTTGATTCTCGTTACATTCAGATATGACTATCATCTGCCTATGCAACACGAGAAACCTGAGGCTTAGCAAAGTTAAAGTAATTTGCTCAAAGTCATAGAAGAAGCTAGAATTCAAACCCAGGAAGTCTGACTCCTGAACTCATGCTCAAAATGCCAGAGAAGTATCATTTTCTGATTTTCAGATGAGGGAGCTGAGCCCCAAAAAGTTTATGTAATTTGTTTAAAAACTAGGTAGAGGTCTCACTCCCAAGCCCACAGGGCTGATGTGAAGAGTAAAGGAAGCCAGTTATGCAATGCCCTGAGGTCAGTGGCTGGCTTATAGTAAGCAGTCAACTGCTCTTAGTTATCATTAACATAATGATTCTGATGTCCAGATGAGACCCACCCCACTGTGACCTGGAAAACCTCTCTGAACACCAGGAGTAGGTTTTTCCACATCACATTTAATCAGCACAATCAGCAAAAGAATCATTTTCCTATGCCATGGGTGGGGGGAAAAGCATGATCAAGTGACTTCCTCTAAATAAAAAACAGAAAACACGGCCAGGTGCAATGGCTCACGCCTGTAATGCCAGCACTTCGGCAGGCCGAGGTGAGCAGATCACTTGGGCCCAGGAGTTCGACACCAGCCTGAGCAGCATGGCAAAACCCTGACTTTACCAAAAATACAAAAATTAGCCAGGCGTGGTGGTGCGCACCTGTAATCCCAGCTACTCAGGAGGCAAGGCAGGAGAATCGCTTGAATCCGGGAGGCAGAGGTTGCAGTAAGCCAAGATCGCATCATTGCACTCCAGCCTGGGTGGCAGAGCGAGATTCCATCTCAAAAAAAAAAAAAAAAAAAAAAAAAAAAAGTCATCAGTTAACTGGCTATCACCTCTGAAAAGTACTATATTAGTCCTGACTGGAAGACAGAAATATTCACCAGACGCCTTGGCAAAACAGCTCTGTTAGGGTTACCAAAACTGGCAAGTGAGCTATTTCCTAGAAACCAGCCACTCCCATGAGATGTATAAAACATAAGACCACTAGGACACCCCCTAAAAGCTGCCTGCTACAGAAAGAGGCACAGTGCACCTCGGCTCAGACATGTGTTGCTGAAAAAGTATGCCTAAAGGGGTGTTGTAAATTGAACCCAATTCATGGCGTAACAGGAGGGAGCTGTGTTTTACAGAATCCATGCAACAGAGTTATCTAATTTTATCATCAGAAAAAAAAAATTCCCTAAATTTACTGTTCTATTTGAGGTTTTTTATAAATTGGATTTTCTAAGTACAAGACATCTCAGCAAACTGCATGCTCTAATGTTCAATGAACTCTCCAAATAAAGGCTCAGGGGCTTCAAATACAGCCTGGAATACAGCAGGCATTTGAGCACTGAGGAACAAATGTGTGAAGAAATGTGTGAACAGGAACTATACATATTGAATTGAGGAAATCACAGTTACATGTCATCATACCTTGTCCAAACCCACAGAATGTAGAATGCTATGCATGAATTCTAACAGAAACTATGGACTTTGTGTGATAGTGATATGTCAATGTACGTTCATTGATTGTTCCACTCTGGTGGGGGTGTTGCTAACGGGGGAGGCCGTGCATATGTGGGGGCCAGGGGTATATGGGATATCTCTGCACCTTCTGCTCAATTTTGCTGTGAACCTAGAACTACTCTAAAAATAAAATCTATTTTAATAAAGAAAGAAAATCACATTTGACAAAATGTGACAGGTTTACTAGTCATGTGTAAAAAAACAAACTCATACAGTCTGTGTGCATACACCACAAAACACGCATTCTCAAACCATCTGACTGAAGAGGCTACGAAACCTGAAAGGCAGGTTCATCCACAGCTTTACGGAAAGCACAGGAATGTTCCGCTGACTATATATTCTCCACGTGTCTGTCAGCAGACTCAAAAGAGGCCCTTCTAGTTTTCACCTGGTTCTTTTTAATAAAAAGTGCTTTTATCCACAAAACTTCAATAAATCTAAGACTATGATTTTTCCCCCAAGCTTCCATTGCAAAAAGAAAATATTTTAAGAGGGTTTCATATAGGAGGGCTACAAAAGGCCTGCAGTGTAATTTAATTTTCATGATGAAAGGTTACCCCACATTAAGCCCACTGTCAATCTGTCTGCCCACACAGAGGGCTGCAGTTAAAGCAGCAGGGTGCTCCAGGTTTTCTAAGATAGTACCAATTCTTTTTTTTTTTTTTTTTTTTGAGACAGAGTTTCACTATTGTCGCCCAGGCTGGAGTGCAATGGCGCGATCTCGGCTCACTGCAATCTCCACCTCCCAGGTTCAAGCGATTCTCCTGCCTCAGCCTCCCGAGTACATGGAATTACAAAAGTGCGCCACCACACCCGACTTGTTTTGTTTTGTTTTGTTTTGTTTTGTTTTGTTTTGTTTTGTTTTGTTTTAGTAGAGACGGGGTTTCACCGCATTGGCCAGGCTGGTCTCGAACTCCTGACCTCAGGTGATCTGCCCGTCTTGGCCTCCCAAAGTGCTGGGATTACAGGTGTGAGCCACCGTGCCCAGCCAACAGTACCAATTCTAAATGTTGTACCTTTCTCCATCTCCACGTACATCCTGGCTTAGGGTTTGAAATGGTTGCCATGACTCGGTGGTTCTCAATTAGGCAAGATTTTGTCCCCCAGGGGACATCTGGCAATGTCTGCAGACATTTTGGCTGTCACAACTGGGCAGAGTTGGGAGGGGGGTGCTACTGGCATCTAGTGGATAGAGGCCAAGTATGCTCCTAACATCCTGCAATGCACAGGACAGCGCTCACAACAAAGACTCATCAGACTCCAAACGTCAGTAGTGCCGAGGCTGAGAAACTGTACCAGAACCTGGAAGCTTACTAGTGGGAAAGCTAAGGGAGCTTTAGAACCACCCTGCTCCGGACTATAAGTGAAGGTTTATTCCAAGCAGCAACTGTGCTCTCTGGGTGCCACACAGCCCTCCAGCATTGGCTGTGTGAGCCTGGACAGTGACTGACTTTTATACAAGCCTTAGATAGGCGTCAGCTGTAAAATGAGGATAACAGAAATATCTGCCTTCCAAGACTGTGAAAGTGATGTGAGATTGTGTACATAAAGTGTTTATTTTTATGTTTATTTTTGTTTTTATTTTTATTCTTGAGATGGAGTCTCGCTCTGTCACCCAGGCTGGAGTGCAGTGGCACAATCTTGGCTCACTGCAGTCCCTGCCTCCCAGGTTCAGGAGATTCTCCTGCCTCAGCCTCCCTAGTAGCTGGGAATACAGGCACGCGCCATCACACCCGGTTAATTTTTGTATTTTTAGTAGAGACGGGGTTTCGCCGTGTTGGCCAGGCTGGTGTCGAACTCCTGGGCTCAAGTGATCTGCCCGCCTCAGCCTCCCAAAGTGCTGAGATTACAGGCCGGAGCCACTGCGCCCGGCCCATAATGTGTTTAGAGTGCTCCCGTGGCCAGCACACTACAAACACAAAATGCATGAAAAACAAACAGCCAACTGAAATGCCTTCTGCACTGCAGCAGTCATCATGGCCGTAAGCTGTGCAGCAGCAGGCCTGAAGAAGCATCCAGCAGAGAGAGGAGTCTTCCCAGCAGCGGGGCACTGCCACTTAGGAGGCAAGGAGAGCTGAGGCAGATCAGGTTCTGTGAGAAGGGGTATCAACAACTGAGCAGAGCTGCTTGGGATTACCTGTATGCCCAAAGATGTCCTGGATGAAGGCACTGACCTCCCAAGCAAAGGCAAGGGAAGGAGGGACCCAGGTACCAGAGACTCTCAGTGCAGCATTTGGTGGGAGGAAGGCAAACACTATCAAAGAAAAGGATTCGAAACAGCAGCAGACTAAACTGCAACCCCCTCCAACATATCCTTTTAATAACATGGACAACGACAACTGAAAAATGCATGTTCAGGGGCCTCAAACAGGCCCCCAAAACGCCCCCAAAAGCCGTTAATGACCAGAACCAAATAAAGTTACTAATAACCAAACTGGGAAGTACACAGCCCCCACAAAAGCCCCCACAAGACGTGAAGGCTGCATGTGCAGTGGAACTTCTGTTTCCAAACAGAACCACCCGGCATCTGCCCCAGGCCACGTCAGCCCCACCCCACCCCCAATCCCATGCCATACTCATGCTCACAAGTCACCAGTGGCTCAACTTGGAATTTCCAGACTTATGTTTTCTAAAACTTTGAGCAGAGTTTAAAAATTACCAGAGATTAGCCTGGGTGACATGGCAAAACCCTGTCTCTACCAAAAAAGTGCAAAAATTAGCCAGGCATGGTGGCACGCGCCTGTCGTCCCAGCTACTTGGGGGGCTGAGGCAGGAAGATCGCTTGAACCGGGAGGCAGAGGTTGCAGTGAGCTGAGATCCCACCACTGCACTCCAGCCTGGGCAACAGAGTAAGACCCTGTCTCAAAAAAAAGAAAAAAAAAAAAAATTACCATAGGTTAATGTTGACAACAAATTTGAGAGGTTTATTTTAAAAAGCTTTTCACCCTAACCCTAACCGGGAGACCCCTGCAGCAGGCAGAGACCCTCACTCTGACCTTTAGACCAAGACAACTCACACTCCTCAGTCCAAATTACAACAGGCACAGGACTTCACTTTACTTGTTAGCAACTCTCAACTTTTTAAAAAATGTGTTCAAGAGTTCACCAAAATGTTAACAAAAGGATTGATAATTCTTCTGCAAACTGCTTTTTAAACAATTTTTATGTAAGGCCTGGCACTGTGGCTCATGCCTGTAATCCCAGTGCTTTGGGAGGCCGAGGCAGGTGGATCACCTGAGGTCAGGAGTTCAAGACCAGCCTGGCCAACATGGTGAAACCCCATCTCTAGTAAAAATACAAAAATTAGCCAGGCGTGGTGGTGCGCACCTGTAATCCCAGCTACTCAGGAGGCTGAGGCAAGAGAATCACTTAAACCCAGGAGGCAGAGGTTGCAGTGAGCTGAGATCACACCATTGCGCTCCAGCCTGGGTGACAGAACAAGACTCTATCTCAAAAAAAAAAAAAAAAAAAAATATATATATATATATATATATATGTAAACATATTATTCATAGAAAGGCAGCATAGAAGGACAGAATTCAACCTACGGTCTGCTCAAATTCAGGTCCTCTTTTGTGCAAGCTGGGATAAGTTACCCAGCCTCTCTGAGCCTAAGTTTACACACAAGTAAACTGTAATAATCCACATAGGGTAGGGGGGAAGCACAGGGGAAAATGTAGTAACATGGTGCAATATAAAGCATTTGAGTAAAATGAGCTAAAATCCTAATTCTCTCTCCAGTACCCAAACCCTAATCATCACCCTCTCCCCACAACACCACAAAAGAAACCATAATAAGGGATCTTTATCCCCAGACTCTCAGCTCTGTGAGAACAGAGAACTTGTCAGTCTCATCCACCAAAGCCAAGTTCAGGCCAGGGCCCAGCACAGAGTAGATACCTAATAACTACCTGTTGATGAATAAATGGATGACAGCAACCCTTGGCAAAGAGCTCTTAGTCTCCATTTCCTTACCTATAAGACAGAGATATTAGCCCATTGTACCACTGTGAAGATTAAATGAACTAACTTGGCTGGGCATGGTGGCTCATACCTGTAATCCCAGCACTTCTGCGAAGCGATTTGGAGACAAGAGGATCTCTTGAGGCCGGGAGTTCAAGACCAGCATGGGCAACATGGCAAAACCCCATCTCTACTAAAAATACAAAAAATTAGCCAGACATAGTGGTACACAGCTGTAGTCCCAGCTACTCGGGAGGCTCAGGTGGGAGAATCACCTGAGCCTGGGAAGTCAAGGCTACAGTGATCTGTGATTGCACCACTGCACTCCACCCTGGGCCACAGAAGTGAGATCCTGTCTCAAAATAAATAAATGAGCTAACGTATGGAACTGTGCTCAACCCGGGCCTCAACCTAGGTGCTCCATAAGGTAGCAAGTCACCCCTTATAAGGCACAGATGACATCACAAACAGAAGAAAACTCTGAAATGGTTGCAATAACCATTTCAAATGGTTGTTCAACTAATGGTTGAACACGATCAGGAGGTATTTTCATTTTGTCCTCCACTCACGGGAACACATGTAGAACCAAACTTGTTAAGTACCAGGTGGCCAGGCCCTCACCCCACTGGCAGGCAGCAGGGCAGGGGTGCAGCCTGCAGAAGGCCAAACAACTGGGCCACAACCACCTGCCCTGACCCAACAAGGGTCTGGGAAACTTGCCCCACACTCACTGCAGCAGAACTTCTCTACTCGAATACTGCACCAGCTCCCTTCCACCCATCACTGCCCAGATAGCCATGAGGGGCTCAAAACCACAGGCGGGCAGAGAAAAGGGAGGCGGAGAGAAGGGAAGAAAACCAAACTCTGGAAAGACAAGCCCTTGATATCTGCAAAAGTCGGGAGCAAACGGTTTCCATTTATTACTTGGACAAAGAGACACTCCCACCATCCTGAATTGAGACATTCTCCCACTCAGTTCCATGTGGCAGGAACCAAAGCAGCTTCAATCTTGAAGGATGTCTCTGATCACTCTCAGGGCCCACTCATAATCCATATTCATAGTCCAGGGTCACCCAATGGGATCAGGGCAGAGAAAGCACTGCAATGAAGGAGGAGATTCAAGCCCAACTCTGCCTCTGCTCGCTTGGGGACACCAGGTGGTTCCCAAAACCTGTCTGGGATCTACTCTCCCAGTGAGGAGATAAAATAAAGAGGTTCTAAGTAAGGACTCCCTTCCAAGGTCTATCTGCATCAGAAGGAAGTTCAAAATCCAGGCCTCAAATTAACATACAGAACCTAAAGTTACCTAATTCTCCCAAAGGGCAATCCCAAATCCCATAATTACGGGGGAAAAGAGGAACTGAATGGGTACCCCAAAGGTGCTACTCAAAACCTGATCCTACTCCTGCAATAAGAGGTGTTACCCAGGGAGGAGAAAAAAGGGAGTGGCAAAGAGAAGAACAAAATTCTGGAAGGTGCTGAGCAAGTGAAAAAGAGATCATCCCCAACACCAATATTCTTTCATTCACTCAGCAAACACTTATTACGAACCTGCGATAGCCAGATGCTGTCAGCAGCTTGGCACACAGCAGTGAACAAGGCCAACGCCAACCGTGAAGGCTTCAACTCTGTCTGTGGTCACTGCTAAGTCCAGCCAGCCCTTCCTTCCCCTTTAGCTTTGGTCACTTGACTTGGCCTGCATCCTCTCTCTGGCTTTAACAGAGTAGAGGAACGAATACCAGTCTTGGAAGAGTAGCTGCGGTCCAACTACCTTACGATCTGAAACAAGTCTCCATTTTCTCATGTATGAAATGGGGTATACAGAACCACCTGAGCCTGCCTGCCTACCTTGTCTCTTGTGAAACCCAAAACCCAGTTGTTACATATGAAAAGTTAAGCAAATGAGTTATTCCCTCGCCCAACCTCGCTAGCCAGCCAACCAGCTTTGGAGATCCCTTAGAGTCCTGCTGAAAATCACATGCAACAACCATCCTAGCCCCAGCTAGGTTCCAGGGTGATCCAATTCCTCTTAGGCCCTCGCCACCTGCCAGGCCTGACCTCAGAGCAGCTGTGAATCTGCCCAACCATACAGTGGCCCTCATGAGGTTACATTTCCCACCCCCGAGGTGGGACCCACTGAGGCAGTCAACTCTATGTCCAGCTGGGCGAGGAATGAGTTCAACCATATGAAGCACATACGCCTCAAAACAAACACAAGTGAAAAACCCAAAAGGAGACCTCACTATACCAGAGAAGGCTGTGCGGGCCAAGGCCAAAGCCCCCACAGCCCTGAGCATCAGAGCTTCCTCATGTCTTTCGCATGTGCGCAGTCCCTCCTGCAGGAGGAAAAATGCCCAGAGCCTTCTGAGTAAGCTGACCACCTAGTTTTGGAACATCCTAGAGTGTCAAAGCAACAGTGAAGGAGTATGCCTCCCTTCAGAGGGAGGGGAGAGGGCTGCACACTGAGGATGTCAAAGGTTCCTCCAGCAGCAGCCTGTGTGGTTTCAAAGCCAATTAGAAGCTGTAAGATAGAGAGTCGCTGGCTGCTGGCTCCCTTTAAACCCCCGCTTCCTCCACCTGTAGGATGGTTTCGAGAAAGAAGCACAATGCCAGGCATAGGGCATGCACTCGGTAAACAGAGCCATTAGCCCACCATGGCTTAGCCCCTTCAGAGACCCCCACCCCACAGACCCCTCCTCAAGGATCCCACCGTCCATTTCACTGGACCTTGACATTTTGAGATATCTCTTTGGGGGTGGGGGAGACTCAGGGCAGAGAAGGAACAAAAGGAAAAAAAGAATTATTCAACCATTTCCTTCCCTCTTCTGCTTTGACCGTCTGCTGTCTTATACAGGTGGCACTTGTTCTGGTTAACTGAGCGCTGAACTTCTTCTCAAGACAAAAAACCACTGCTTTCCCCTCACTCACTGATGCTCAGCTCCCACAGCCCTCTAGCCAAGAGGTTGCTGGTCTTGCTCTACCTAGGTCTTCCTGGCCTGAGGAGTATGGTTCTGTTCTTCCAGAAACAAAAAAACCCAACTAGAAGCCAGGAAATGTGGCTCCTGCCTGTAATCCCAGCTACTCAGGAAGCTGAAATGGGAGGATGGCTTGTGCCCTGTTCGAAGCTGCAGTGAGCTATGATCATGGCACTGCACTCCAGCCTGGGCAACACAGCAAGATCCTGCCTCTCTTTAAAAATAAAAATAAAAATAAAATATCTGGCTAAATATGACCCCATTTATAAATATGGAGCTAAAAGAGAAAGTTCAACACAAAAGGAAAGTGATCAAAGATTGTGAAAACCATGGTCTGCACTTGCACCAGGCTCCAGATCTCCCAGGTCAATGCCCACTCTGTGGGAGTTTATTTTCTTTCTCATAAAGCAGCCTACCAGCTACAATTCTATACTTTTGTAAGACTTTTCATATTATCAGAATCACAAATCAAAAGAAAACCTTTTATCAGACTTGAGTCTGATTCCAGGACTGGAAAATATGGCTATCTATGTTTCTTTGGGTCTTACATTTCAGGAAGTCCTGTTCTACTCTGCACAACAGCTTCCTAATCAATCATTCTTCCTTCCCAGCCCCAAACCCAGCTCGCTCTCTCTTACTCTCTTTCTCTCTCTCTCTCTCTCACACACACACACACACACACACACACCCCTACACACACACACAGGCAAAAGAAAGTCAGAACCCAGGGCCATAGATTTATCCTTGTAAATGTCTCCAATGTTCTAAACCGCTGTACTCCAATACTGAATACTCACCCCTCTAGCTTCAGGACACAGCACTGTTTTGGTTTAGAAGAGTGGAGGGGAGGAAGGGATTTCCAATCATTGGCAGAACATCAATTTCTAGTAAATTTGCTAAAATTACTCATGTAATTAGTCATGTAACTCAAAATATAATTTTCCAAACTCAAAAGACAGAAGGGAAAGAGAGAGAAAATACAAGACATGCTTTCCCTGTCACACAGGAGCACCAGAAAATCTTTACCTTGATTGCCCCAAAATGAAAAAGCCCATTGGTTCAAACATTAGAAAAATACACCACGTGCTGGCCCCAGTGGAGCAACAATTCAGGACACAGAGTGTTCTATTCATGAGCAGAACATAAGAGAGATGTTTTCTTTGACTATTCAGAGCCTCATCAGTCATGTTCTACTGGGCAAATAAAATTCATATGACCAAAAAGACACTGAAGAGACCCCTTATAACATAACTCCTCATTGCTGCAACACCCTATCCAGCAGTCCTGTGTCCTTCACAAAAGGTGAACTCAGTCTAACAGGGATATCAGATTCTGAACTATTCAAAGAGATTGTATCTTTATTGATTCAATAAACAAGTACACCGTGGCCTTCGTGTAAATGCAAACTATTTGAGAAGGAAAAGCCTTCCTCTCTCTCTCTCTCTCCACCCCCCACCCACCCCCCACCTCAAGAGTTGGACAACTGGGAACCTTCCAGGGCCCAAGCACCTAAAATTCTGTTTAAAAAATTGTCAGGCTGGGTGCGGTAGCTCATACCTGTAATCCCAACACTTTGGGAGGCTGAGTCAGGCCAATTGCTTGAGCTCAGGAATTTGAGACCACAGCAAAACCCCATCTCTACAAAAAGTACAAAAATTAGCCAGGCATGGTGGCACGTGCCTGTGGTCCCATCTACTCAGGAGGCTAAGGTGGGAGGATCGCTAGAACCCAGGAGGTTGAGGCTGCAGCGAGCCATGATTGCACCACTGCACTCCAGCCTGGGTGACAAAGCAAGACGCTGACTCAAAAAATATTAATTAAAACAAAATAAAAGATTGTCATATTTCCCTGAGTCTCAGGGATAAAGCCTTTCAGCTTTAAATCCTACATGTGCCTCATAATGCTCAGAAGCCACAGTCAACTCTGGTGAGACTTCTCATCTGAGAAACAAAGAGAAACAGGGCCCTGGTTTCTTTATTTTTGTGATGAAGTTTGTAGTAACGCTATGTGTCTGGGAATTCTACGTGGGTTAACAATAAATAAACTGTATAGCACACATGGAATGCATGCACACAGTAGGCCTTCAATGAGTAGCAGTGTGTATGAGAGTTATTAGTCAAACCCGGGAATGGTCAAGGAACAGAAACGCTCAGCCTTCCATCTCCCTGCATTTTCACACGAATCCTTCATTCCACACACAGTCTTGAGCCCCTGCTGGGTGCTAAGCATTGAGTTGGGAGGTACAGAAATGAAGAACGCATGATGCCTAACTTCAAGACGTGAATGATCTAGTTGCGAGGGAGACATAGATAAAACCCAGCATAGTGAGCTCAGTGACACAGAAAGAGGATGTACTCAGGGTGGACTGGACTGGCATGAATTTCCAAAAGTGGCCAACAGGAACTAGCCAGGTGGAGGAGGAGCAGGAGGGTGACACAGACGGAGGGTGCAGCCAGCCTAAAAGGTCCATAAAAGAGAGGGCAGTGCACATGTGCAGGACAACCCGGAGCTCTCCACGGCTGTAGTGAACAGAAGAAAAGAATGTAAGAGGGGCATGGTGGCTCACGCCTGTAATCTCAACATTTTGGGAGGCCGAGGCGGGCAGATCACTTGAGGTCAAGAGTTTGAGACCGGCCTGGCCAATATGGTGAAATTCCATCTCTACTAAAATTACAAAAATTAGCCGGGCATGGTGACAGGTGCCTGTAATCCCAGCTACTTAGGAGGCTGAGGCAGCAGAATTGCTTGAACCCAGGAGGCGGAGGTTGCAGTAAGCCGAGACTGCACCATCGCACTCCAGCCTGGAAAGACTCCGTCTCAAAAAAAAAAAAAAAAGAAGAAGAAGAAGAAGAAAGAAAGTAAGAGAAGCTGGAGAGGTGAGCAGTCACCTGTCCTATCACCCTGAAGGCAACAAGGAGCCAAAAAATAATTTTTGACGGTGGAATGGCACAACCAGATCTGCACTTTAGAAACAACTCTGTTTAGTGGCAGTGGTACGGAAAATAAATTTGTGGAGGCTGCAAAAAAGCAAAGATGAGCAAAACATATGGAATCCCTGTCAAAGCTGTGTACATAAGGAGACTAGCCAAATTTGGGCTCTGGGGAAAGAATTTCTTTTACTCCAGGTAAATGTTTACATCTCACTAGGTGCACACGCATGTGCGCGCACACAGCATCCTGCGGTCTCTATGATGGAGTTCCTGGTGCTGTGTTGTTTAGCAAAGCCTGTGCTATCTGGGAACTTCGGTGAGAAGTAACACCTACCTGCAGTTTGTCTCCAAAGAAAACAAATCTGAGACTTAAAACTCAGAGACGCTCGGGGACAGGATGCATTGGCAATGTCAAGAAAAGGCAAAAGCGGCCAGGCGGTGTGGCTCACGCCTGTTATCCCAGCACTCTGGGAAGCTGCAGCGGGCAGATCACTTGAGGTCAGGAGTTCAAGACCAGCCTGCCCAACATGGTGAAACCACGTCTCTAATAAAAATGCAAAAATTAGCTGGGCATGGTGGTGTGCGCCTGTATTCCCAGCTAATGGGGAGGCTGAGGCAGAAGAATCGCTTGAACCCGGGAAGCGGAGGCTGCAGTGAGCCAAGATCACACTACTGCACCCCAGCCTGGATGACAATAGCAAAACTCTGTCTCAAAAAAAAAAAAAGAAAGGGCAAAAGGGAGACTGGGGGGACACTTACCTATTACTGTCAAACTTAACAGTGGGAGCCCTAAAGCCTCAACCAGTGCCTCAATAAAACTTCAAAAATAAGAGGGGTGAGGGGTGAAACCCACAGAGACCATGTCCAGTAGAGAAAAAGAAATGATGTTATTCAGAAAGAGAAAAGAGACAGGAAAGGAGTAGGGAAGATTCAGGATCAATTCAATAAGTCAATAAAGGCCACACACGTGCATACACACACACCACAGTGTTCAATAAAGGCCACACATGTGCATACACACACACACACACACACACACACACACACACACACCATAGTGTTGTATTTGGCAAAGTTATATGGTATATGGACTGCAGAACAAGACAGACCTAAATTTAATCTCCAGCACTGCCATTTACTATATGACTTTGTTTGAGGCAGTTTGTTGTTTTTTTTTTTTAACCTCTCTAAGCCGCAGGTTTTGCCACTGCCTGAATAACAAAACCCTATCTCATGGGTAGATATAAGGATTAAAGAAATAGTGTTAAGGATTAAAGAAATAGTGTGCATAAAGCAGTTAGCAGCATAGCAAGTGCTCAAAAAAATGAGGGTTGTTACCAATAGTCTTTTTCTTTTTTTTTTTTTTTTGAGACAGACTCTCGCTCTGTCACCCAGGCTGGAGTGCAGTGGTATGATCTCAGCTCACTGCAACCTCTGCCTCCCAGGTTCAGGTGATTCTCCTGCCTCAGCCTCCCAAGTAGCTGGGACTACAGGCACCCGCCACCACACCCAGCTAATTTTTGTATTTTTAGTAGAGACGGGGGTTTCACCATGTTGGCCAGGCTGGTCTCGAACTCCTGACCTCAAGTGATCCACTTGCCTCAGCCTCCCAAAGTGCTGGGATTACAGGCATGAGTCACCACACCTGGTCAGTCTTTTTTTTTTTTTTTTTAGAGTAAAGTGATAGCAAGTTTATTAGGAAAGTAAAGGGATAAAGAATGGCTACTCCACCGGGCACCATGGCTTATGTCTGTAATCCCAGCACTTTGGGAGGCCAAGGTGGGTGGATCACGAGGTCAGGAGTTCAAGAACAGCCTGGCTAATATGGTGAAACCCCGTCTCTACTAAAAATACAAAAATTAGCCAGGCATGGTGGCGTGCGCCTGTAGACCCAGCTACTCAGGAAGCTGAGGCAGAAGATTCACTTGAATCCGGGAGGCGGAGGTTGCAGTGAGCTGAGATCATGCCACTGCACTCCAGCCTGGGTGACAGAGCGAGACTCCATCTCAAAAAAAAAAGAATGGCTACTCCATAGGCAGAGCTGCCTGTTATCAGTAGTCTTAAAGATGAAACCATCATGTAACTGATCAGAAAAAAAACTCCAAAGTAAGGCTGTCCTCCCCAGTGATGCTGAAGGGAGGGAAACGCAGATTCTGTGTCTCATGCAGTAACCCGAGATCAGCATAGAAATTGCCAAGGGGAACAACTTCACTGCCAACACTCTTGACAGGAACTCTCACCACTGGAAGTATTAAGTTACGCCATGAACACTTGTTCACCAAGCATTTACTGAGCACTTACTACGTGCAAGGCAATGTGAGAGCCTACACTGCAGGAATGGCAGCCCAAGACCAGCTCTTGTCTTCAAGTAGATGAATCAAAAGACATGCACACAAATAACCGTAATACCAGATAGAAAAGCGCTCCATACAACAGACACAGAGAGCAGCAGACCAAGAGGCCAAACCATACACAGTATGTAAAATGATAAAGCAAAGAAGGATGATCTGAACTGAGCCTTGAAAAATGGACGGAATTTAGCAACGTGGAGGAAAGAGAAAGGCACAGCAAGCAGAGACAAGGGCACACGTGGACTCACGGAGGCCAGAAAGAACAGGAAGTGAAAAGGAGATGGCAGGTATGGGGTCAGCCTGTATAGGGCTGAAAAACTAGGTGTGTGGAATATATTTTTTTCTTTTTTTTTGAGGCAGAGTTTTGCTCTTGTTGCCCAGGCTGGAGTGCAATGGCACAATCCTGGCTCACTGCAACCTCTGCCTCCTGGGTTCAAGCGATTCTCCTGCCTCAGCCTCCTGAGTAGCTGGGATTACAGATGCCCATCACCACGCCCACCTAATTTTATGTATTTTTATTAGAGATGAGGTTTCACCATGTTGGCCAGGCTGGTCTCGAACTCCTGGACTCAAGTGATCCGCCCACCTCGGCCTCCCAAAATGCTGGGATTACAAGCGTGAGCCACCGCGCCTGGCCGTGTGTGGACTTTAATTCTAGCTCAGCAACATTCCATATGCTGCTTATTCCACAGGATTATCAGTAGGTATTCTGTGGGACTTACTGGCTTCCAGACAGACTCAAACAAGCTTCCTGACCACGGCATCTCTCTGAGCCTTCAAATGCTGTAAGCGCTTTGGCAATCTCATTATGAGGCTTTTCCCCAGTTTGACCAAGGACCACCCCCCACCCACCTCCTATTAAATCCTGGTTCTGAGAGAATACAGAATTTGGAAAAGACTCTTGAGTCAATCAGGGTTCTGCTTCAGAAAGTCTCTTTGATATATCATAAATATAGAAAATATGTTACTCTACTGACTAAAACTGCTAACTGATATTTCCAAATAGGAACTCCGAGGCACTCTACAAAAGTTCTGAATCGGGTGGATTAAGTTACACTCAATATGGCATCCAAACTATATTTTACGCTTTCCAGTGTAATTTTCTTCAACAATGTGATATTGTTTAACATATGATATCTGCATGTGCAAATATATGACAACGTGTGCTCATGTCAGGTAAAGCAGATGACTCTGATACAAGCTGACTTACCTGGTGCTGCTCCAGGGAATGGTTAACCACTGCCAAGTTAAAAAAAGAAAAAGCAGAAATACAATTCTGGAGCAAACCACCCTAGACTACCCAGGTGAGAAGCAGCTCACCGGTGTGGAGCAGTATCTGCCTGGTTTCTCTGGGAGAGTTCTAGAATTCTGATAGGTAAAAAAGACAGGAGAACTCACATCAGTATAAAGAGCGCTGGATTTGAAGGCAGACAGATCTGGCTTTAAATCCTCACTTTCTCTTAAGCTCATATTCTCAGTGAACTCATTTCTAGGAATCTCTCCTAGGCTAATTGCCAATATACATGACTTACAACAGCAAAAGAAGAAAAAACCAGGATTCGACCTAAACATCCCAAAATGGTGGAGTAATAATATGTAGATATGATAAGGCCACCACTAAAAATCACTTTTCAAAAATTTTTAAATAATATTAACAATTACATTTACAACCCACGTAACATTGAAAGGGATTTAAAAAATACGACTTTAAACCTGATACCAGTGACATGAAATTTACAGAAAAAGAAATGAGAGAAAGGAATGCAAGAAGGTGACAATCAGGAGCAATTCAAGAAGAGCAGAGCACTGGAAACTCTGCAGTTAAAACAAAGCTGAGAAGTCAATGGCATGCAACCCGAGAGGGCCTGCCTCAGCTCTGGGACAGACTCCCTTGGAGGCTGTGCTGGGAATGCCAAGAAGGGGCAGAACAGAGATAGACTCTTCTATCTGTTTCAGCCAAGATGTAGGTCAGTGTGTCATTTCTTCAAAGAGGTGAGTCAGGATCAGAAGAGATGAGAATTCAAAGGCAGAAGAGACAAGAGCTAAATTAAAGAGGCCCCTCTAGAGAGTCCAGCATTCCCCTAAGACTTCAATCTTCATGCTATTTTTTACCCAGCTATTGACTGAGAAGAATGCACTATTAAGTAGACCATGTCTCCCCTTCTCCCACTGTCCTATAAATTGGTCCTGTGTTTCCCAACCCCAAATGGGGTAGTAACTCATGGAGAACAAAATGCCAGTAGTACAGATATAGAACATGGGTTAAAAACTATTCTGATCAAACCCCCAGCAAGAATCTTGAAGAGGAAGACAGAGGGGGAAGAAAGCAATAGGCTTACTCTCCCTACAACTTAATTCCATGCTCTAATTCAGAGCAGTATAATTAACCCCGAGTTTCACTGCTAACACTGAAGTTTTTCAGCCTGATGAGAATATCATTTAGTATCCTGCAATCGCCAATAATAGCAATATGACACAATGGTGCCCATTGAGGCTCTAATCAGAGCACATAGTCATTTACATAGAACATTTTCTGTGACTCTCTGTAATACAACGCCACAAAGACTCAATTGAGACACAAGTCTCCCTTTCCCATAAACTAAAAAAAAAAAAAAAAAAAAAAAAAAAGAAGAAGAAAGAAAAAAGAAAAGAAAGAAACCACAATTTCCTTTCCAGGAGAGCACAGATGGTCCCCACCCATCATCCCGGGGGCTCACCAGGCCCAGGCTCTTCACTACAAACAGCTCATCCCGATGCTGACAAGAAACTAGACACTTGCACATTACCGTGTATGTATACATCTGCCTAATCTCTTCTCACAAGAAAAGGAGATCTGCGGTGCTTTAGGAAAGCCCTAGGCTTAAAATGGAGCAAGGGACATGGAGGGGCTCAGGTCGATTAACAGCTTTCAAAGCCAAGCTCTGACTCTGCTGGCCTCCCTGGGGTGGCTCATGTGGCCTCACAGTCAGGCCCGGAGAAATGGGAGCCACTGTCCTGTCATGACACAACTGGGTGCCATGGGCCACAAAGTGAGTCTAAAAGGAGGTAGCCAGGTGCCGTGAATCACCAGGGAAGGAACATGTGACAGCCTTGGAGGACGGCCACTGTGCTGAGGAAATAGCAGGATTCGGAAGCCAGACAAACTCGAGTTTGAATTCTGGCTCCACTCCTCAGCTTTGGACTTCAAGCAAGTTACTCAATTCTCTGAGCCTTCATTTCCTCCTCTGTAAAACGGGCTCTTAATATCTTGCGGGGATGAAGATTCTCATTCGTGCATCTGAAATACACAACACAGTGCACAGCATATAAAGCACAACAATTACCAGTATGGCCATCGCCATTGTTCTTCAGTAGAGATTGATGGGAAAACCGACAGGCCTTGGAGTATAATGGTGAAGAACCTAGAACATGGAGCCAGGCTCCCCCAGTTCAAATCCTAGCTCTACTGCTTGTTAGTTGGGTGACCTTATTTAACTGTCTGTGCCTGTTTTCTTGCCTGCAAAATGAGCAAAATAATAGTACCTACCTCCTAGGGCTGCTGTGAGGACTAAACAAGTAATATGTACAAAGCTTTATACAGTATATGCAAGTGAGTGCAATAGAGCACCAGGCACTATTCTAATGATTTATTATACAAATAAAAATAAGATGAATCAATAAAGGACCTGGGGAATAGAGGTATCCTTTAACACAATCAAAGCAACAGTTCCTAGTATCTATAGTATGCTTTCATAGCCACTATGTTATTTAATCTTCTAATGGAAACCCAAGAAAAACAGAATCCCATGATGTAAAACTGAGACCTAAATTCTAAGAAAGGCCTGAGAGCCCTCCTTTCTTAAAGGTTTCCTTTAAAATAAAAGAAAAAAAAAGGCCCTGGTTAAAGGGAAGCACCAAATGAATAACCACTTGTTCTTTTTCTAGCTCAAGTCTTTGCCTATCCAGCCAAGTTCTTCTCAACACAGCACATCCTCCCCACGTGCCATCTCGAGGAGATGGTCAGTGCAAAGGCCAGAGCCAACATCTAGCACCAGAACAGCATGGGCCAAAGGACAGGAAAAGGGAGACTTGGGCCAAGTTTACAGGTTACTTTCCACCCAAGTGAGAAGGACTCCACTCAGCAACTGTTAACAGTGTCAGCACCTGGAGTTCAGACTAGAAGCTCTTGTAAGTTCCTGTTCCTCACATGCCCCAGTTTGCCTTGGAAAGAAGAAGCCTTTTAGGAAGTGAAGCGTTTGCTGAACAGTCAGCTGGTTACTATAGGTCAAACGCTCTGTATCTGCTAATCCAATCCAATCCCAAAAGATCCACAAAGACTTCCGGTAGGTGTCTTCCTAGTTCCCGCCTTGGATCACAGGTGGTCCAAACAGCTCCTCTTGGTCCTCCTTCACAATCTTCAAATCCCCTGAAGGGCCATCATTGTGGGTACCACCTACCATCACAACTATCCAGGCCAGATCTCAAGTACAGGCTCACCGATCAATGATCGACTGTCTTCCTCTCCACTGCTCCCTGTCTCATCATTCTGAGGGATTTCCACACCCACACAGTTAATCCATCCCATAGCACACGTTTGGAGCAGCTCAGTGGCTTATCCTTGGTCACTATGCGCAGATACAGATTAGATGTCAACAAGATGAACAGGTACTTGTATCCCAGGAACATCCGCTGAGCCTGGACACATGCACCACCTGGCCAGTCCCATCCTCTCACATGACGGTGATCTTACCCCGTCCCACAGCTTCAAAAAGCTGATTTCTCTCAAACTTACAATTCCAGCCTTCATGTCCTCCCTCAGCTCCGGGCTCCTGGTTCCTGCAGACTGCTCAGCATCTCCAAGCAGGTATCTCAAGCTCAGACTCCAAAATCCACCCCACCCCACTCCACCCCCAGCTCATTCCACTTCCCACCAAGCTGATCCTTGCTATTCCAGAAAGATGCCAGTGAGTCTTCCAGGCCTTTGCACCAGCTGTTTCCTATGGCCCCCCACCAGGAGGGGCTTTCCTTGGAAAATAGCACCCATCCCCTCAACACGCTGTATTCCCTTACCCTATGTCACTTCTTTCACAGCCCTGAAGTCTACCTGATGTTAGACTTGTTTTTTTTTTTTTAATAGAGACGGAGTCTCACTATGTTGCCCAAGCCGATCTTGAACTTCTGGGCTCAAGTGATCTCCCCACCTCGGCTTCCCAAAGTGCTAAGATTACAGGCGTGAGCCACTGCACCCAGCCTACACTTTTGTTTCTATATTTGTCTCTCTTCCACCAAACGTAAGCTCCATGAAACAGGGAACTTGGTCTGTTTGGGGCATATCCCCAGTGTTTGGAACAAACTGTGTTGAATAAATTGTGCACGCTGAATGAATGAATTAGATTTGGGGTTTTTTGTTGTTTTTGTTTTGTTTTTTGAGATGGAGTTTTGCTCTTGTTGCCCAGGATGGAGTGCAATGGCATGATCTTGGCTCACTGCAACCTCCGCCTCCCAGATTCAAGCAATTCTCCTGCTTCAGCCTCCCGAGTAGCTGGGATTACAGGCATGTGCCACCACGCCCGACTAATTCTGTATTTTTAGTAGAGATGGGGTTTCTCCTTGTTGGTCAGGCTGGTCTTGAACTCCTGACCTCAGGCGATCCACCCACCTCTGCCTCCACCTCCCAAAGTGCTGGGATTATAGGCGTGAGCCACCGCACCCGGCCTAGATTTGTTAACTAAATAGAAGCCAAGGTAGCAAAGAGAAAGTCAGCAAACAAAATCACATCTGAGGCCTAACTTGAAAGTTCTTAAGAAGTATTGAAGCCCAACTGAGAAGTCCTCTGTAGCCGCTCAGCTGTCAGAGTTGGGTTAGGCTTCTCAGCTTCTCTCTTCTCCCTTCCCCCATTGATGTTGTGTTTCATAAGGTTTTGAAACCAACAGTACATTGAAGTCCAGAGCTGAGGGATGAGCATTTCACAAAAAAAGGGAACTAGGCTAGGGGAAGCAACCTGGCAGGGGGCAGGAAAAGACACACTGAGAACTGAGTCACCCTCTGCCACCAGCCCCATGTAGCCAGCTGGACGCAGTAGCAGCAGCAGCAGCAAAGGTCACTCACTGAGCCTGGACAGAGCACTGGGCACTGGGCTGGACACTGCCTGCAGTTACTTCATTTCATCCTCATCAACCCTATGATACAGTCACAGGGACACTGCCTTTCATATGATGCTAAGCTCTAACGTTGACGGGGGTGGGGAGGGTGCATAAGCAAAATAACCCTTGAAATGTACCAACATAAGCATTCACTGGCAAAGGACACACCATCCCCCAAGCCCCAACACTGGAACTTACTAAGTAAAATAATGGGTTAGTGGCTTGCATTCAGGAGCCACGCTATATGCAAATTACATGCTTAAGTCACACTCTCCGTAGCAGAATAAGAATAAGCACACCATGAGAGGCACCAGGAGACCACAAGAAAGACTAGATGCATGTTGCCAATCCTGCATTCCCTCTGAGCCAAATCTGTACATACAGCAGTAAGGAGCGCAGCCAGGATCCGACCCTGTGTGTTGAGCCAGACTCAGGCTGGACCACACAGGCCTTTGCATCCAAGTGCTTCATCCCGCGATGTGATCCCACCCCATTTTGCATGACCCCAATCTTACATGGATGCTTCCCACGTGCCTGCTGGAAGCACCTCAGCCACATAAAGTATTCATCATCTGTATCATGCTTTGGAATCCAGTAGGGCCTTCCACAGCACCAACTTGGCTAAGCCTCACTGCAGTCCCATAAGGGTTGTCATTCCCCATCTTACTGATGTGGAAAGCTCAGAGAGCCAAGAGACTTTACTGAGTCCCAGGAGAGGACAGACCAGAACTGACCCAGGTCTTCTGACACCAGGGTCTGGGCTCATTCTATAAGCCAACAGAATTTACCTTCTGCTCCTGTGCTAGTTGAACTTTGACTCTGCTTTTCCAAGTTTCCTGCATCCTCATTCTACCATTTATTAAAAAAATAAAAATAACAAAAGATGAGGCTAGGAATCTATTCACCAAGAATCTAACAGGCAATGGTCACCATGCAGAACAATTAGGTGGCTCTTTGGTTAGAGGTGAGCAGAGGAGTAGAAAGGCAGCCAGTTTACAAAGTTCTACAATCTGTTTCAGTACTTTGAAAACACTGCTTGCTGCCCATATCCATAACATCCAGTCTCTTCCTCCTCCTTAGTAAAAGGACCCTTGTTCTGAATTTTATACATATTGTATCTGGGACTAAGAGACTATACTTCTCAGCCTCCCTTGCAGCTCAGTGTGTGCATCTGACTGAGTTATGACCAATGAGATAAGCAGAAGTGTTCCATGGAACTTCCCAGGAACGCTGCTCAGAGAGAGCTGATGCAGCAGGAAAGGCCTCCTCTTTATTATTTTATTTATTTATTTATTTATTTTTGAGACAGAGTCTCGCTCTGTTGCCCAGGCTGCAGTGCAGTGGCACAATCTCGGCTCACTGCAACCTCCACCTCCCAGGTTCAAGCGATCCTCCTGCCTCAGCTCCCCTAGTAGCTGGGATTACAGGCACACACCACCATGCCCGGCTAAATTTTGTATTTCTAGTAGAGATGGTGTTTCGCCATGCTGGCCAGGCTGGTCTCGAACTCCTGACCTCAGGTGACCCACCGCGCCCAGCTGAAAGGCCTCCTCTTGATCTGTGCCTTTCCTCCTTCTGCCAACATATGACTCAGACAAGGGGGATGGAGCCCCAGCAGCCATCATGGACTGTGAGGTGACCTAGATCCTGAAAGCCATGTGTAAGCAGGTAGAATATGACAGCCTGGGGCCTCTAAGAGCCCTAAACTACTACCTCTAACTAATTTCTATGTGAGAGAGAAATAAAACTTTACATCACTTAAGCCTCCGTTAACTGACTATAAATCTGATTTGTTGCTGTTGTTATACACAGCTAAAGTTAATCCTAAGTAACATAAGCCCAAAGCAAAAATAAAATACCAACATGACCCTGCCCCCACTTCTTAATCCCAACCAACTCCATAAAAGACAAAACATCTGTCCAGATAAAAATCCAACATTCCTACAAATTAATCTGTTTTACATTTGAATGTCCAGAATTTCTTATACTATCTCTATCACTGGCTCCAGAGAACATACAATCAAGATACTAAGCCTTTTTCTAATTAAGATAAAAATTTCCCCCTGTCTTACCGGAGGCACTCATCAGGGGCCTTTGTGAGTCCAGTGGTGGGAGGGTGTGGAAAGCAAGCTAAGGTTCCTACATGGAAGGGAGTGGGGGCCAACTAGAACTTCAAGTAGAAAACAGTACTGTTCATCTTTACTATTTTCCTTCTTTCTCTTACGCAGCTAAAGATATGTTTAGCAAACACAAACTGTGCCGACCCACTATAGCCTTGAGGCGGGAAAGGGATTCAGTCTATCCTCCTCAAAAAAAACCCATAAATCTAACCTCAGTGCTTTTACTATAATTACAAAAGACCGCTAAAGAAATCCTGGATATACAAAAAAGAAGAAAAAAGCTCTATGAGCACCCTTTATATATGCATAGGATTTGGAGAATTTCATACCAACTAACTTAATCCACATTAAATAAAAAATAACAATAATATGAGTTAAGTTTTATTACTGTCCTGTAACATATAAGAGATGCGGGTTTGAAGAGGTTAAAGGATTTGCTGTAGATCACATGACTAGTGAGACATTCTTCCTGTTAAAGGAATTGGGAGGGGAAGAGAGAAAAGGGAACAAGTAATTCTCCCTGTTTTCCTTCTGCCTTTCTGTATGATATGAATTTTATGTAACATGTAAATGCATTACCTTGATCATTTCATTTTTTCCCTCTAGCAAAATCATAGTTATTATTCATGGCTCTGAAAAGGGAAAAGTAATTGAACCAATATGCAATGACATCAAAAGAGCTAAGCAATGAACACAGGTGTAAGAGGCTCACCTGACCCAAGAAGATGAGCCCACATCCTCCAGGCATGGGTATCAACGCCGAATGAGGCTGTGCGGGCAGGACCTCATCCACTGCACTCCCGGCAGCATCTGCAGCCCTCAGCAGAGGGCCTGCACCCCACACTGCAGGCCTAGGGCCAATGTTGTGCTCAAAACCACTGCACAACACAGGGACAACCTGTGTCACACAGCACATACTACCAGAAAACGGTCTGAAACCATACAGTGACAATTTACTTCAGATTCACTTCCAAACCATCTTTCATTTTCAGGGGTCCTAACTTGTAGCTTTAACCTCTTTCTCCACTACGGATCTAAACAAAGGCTGCAAACTGGTGGGCTACAGGCTGAATCAGGCTTGCAGACGTGTTTGATTCACCCACACAAGGTTTTTTGTTTGTTTGTTTGCTTTTGAGACGGAGTTTCACTCTTGTTGCCCAGGCTGGAGTGCAGTGGCACAATCTCTGCTTACTGCAACCTCTGCCTCCTGGGTTCAAGCAATTCTCCTGCCTCAGCCTCCTAAGTAGCTGGGATTATGGGTGCCCGCCACCACACCTGGCTAATTTTTGTATTTTTAGTAGAGACGGGGTTTCACCACGTTGGCCAGGCTGGTCTCAAACTCCTGACCTCAGGTGAGCCACCCACCTCAGCCTCCCAAAGTGCTGGGATTACAGGTGTGAGCCACCACGCCCAGCAGCTTAACCTTTTGTTAAGGATTCTGGGCTGGGCTGTGGCCAGTCTACTCTCCTACCACAGAAGAGTAAAATGCCCTGCACCCAGCCCACACAAGGTTTTAAAACAAATCTAAGCCTACTTTAGCAGTGATGAGATTTCCCATGAAATGCCAAGATTTCCAGATTTCATGAAGAACTGCATGATGGGCTACCTTGGGTCCACATTCTCAGGCTGCCCATGAGGAGAGAGGACAGTGTGGATTAGGGGGACAGGTAGTGCTCTGCAAGCCATGTCACTCTTCAGTCCTATATCTCCACTGTCAGAGAAACGTCTTTCAGTGTCCATGCCTCTGTGAAAAGCACAAAACAGAACAACAAACCAAGACGGCCTTATGTTTCAAGAAAGGTGAGACCACTTATGGCTCAGTAGTAGCTAAGATGTTTCCTTTATCTCTAATATGCAAGCCCCATGCAACTGGGAAGAAATACTATTAACACTGGATGCCTTTTTCTTTCACTAGAGGAGCCTCCTTCACTTCCACTCACTGCCTGGACCCTGGAAGCATCTGGACCCTGGAAGCATCTGGACCCTGGATGCAGGCAAACTTGGGACCTAAGAGCTCTCCGAAGCAGTTTTGTGGGGAAAAAGAAACAAACCTGACAATACTGCAGCCTTCCCTGGAGAGCAGACAGGCCCTGCACTGAAGATTTTTTTTTTTTTTTTTTTTTTTTTTTTTTTGGAGACAGAGTCTCACTCTGTTGCCCAGGCCAGAGTGCAGTGGCATGATCTCTGCTCACTGCACCTCCACCTGCCAGGTTCAAACAATTCTCCCGCCTCAGCCTCCTGAGCAGCTGGAACTACAGGCATGTGCCACCATGCCCAGCTAATTTTTTGTATTTTTAGTAGAGACAGGGTTTCATCACACTGGCCGGGCTGGTCTCGAACTCCTGACCTCAGGTGATCCACCTGCCTCAGCCTCCCAAAGTGCTGGGATTACAGGCGTGAGTCACTGCACCCAGACGACACTGAAGTTTTATTGTGTTGGGGAACAGGGAGGGGATTCAGTTCCACCTTATTAGCAACAATACGGAGATTCTAGCCCCATCCATATCAGGACCAAGTTGTTCATCTTGCATGATGGCCCTCCCTTTTATGGGAAGACTCTATATCCTGGGTTCTTACCCATCCTCAGCCCTTTCTGGCTATATTTTAAGGGTATTCCGGGCCGGGCGCGGTGGCTCATGCCTGTAATCCCAGCACTTTGGGAGGCCGAGGCATGCGGATGACAAGGTCAGGAGATCAAGACCATCCTGGCTAACACGGTGAAACCCCATCTCTATTAAAAATACAAAAAAAAATTAGCTGGGCGCGGTGGCAGGTGCTTGCAGTCCCAGCTACCCTGGAGGCTGAGGCAGGAGAATGGCGTGAACCTGGGAGGCAGAGCTTGCAGTGAGCTGAGATCGCGCCACTGCAATCCAGCCTGGGCAACAAAGCGAGACGCCGTCTCAAAAAAAAAAAAAAAAAAAAAAAAAAGGGTATTCCAAGACCCATCCAAATCAGGCCATTGTCATGGAGCCTTATTTCAAACCTTGAAAAGGGCCCTTTAAAAAGCCTTCCCTCTCATGCAAAGGCATTAAGAATGACACAGTGGACTTCGGGGACTCAGAGGGAAAGGGTGGGAAGCAGGTGAGGGATAAAAGGCCACAAATTGGGTTCAGTGTATACTGCTCAGGTGATGGGTGCACCAAAATCTCACAAATCACCACTAAAGAACCTACTCATGGCCAGGCACGGTGGCTCACACCTGTAATCCCAGCACTTTGGGAGGCTAAGGCAGGCGGATCACAAGGTCAGGAGATGGAGACCATCCTGGCTAACACAGTGAAACCCTATGTCTACTAAAAATACAAAAATTAGCTGGGCATGGTGGCGGGCGCCTGTAATCCCAGCTACTTGGGAGGCAGAGGTTGCGGTGAGCCAAGATCGCACCATTGCACTCCAGCCTGGGCAATAAGAGCGAAACTCCGTCTCAAAAAAAAAAAAAAAGTCCTAACATTCAAGTCAAGCCCCAGTGAGGCTCATGGCCACAGCAGGAAGACAGCAGGATACTGCCTTTCCAAGTCAGAGATAGGGTTTTAGGTATTGCCTTGGGCTGAAAGAGAGCTGGATCCAGCTTTACCTGCTCCTCTCACACCCTCTGTTCCAGCCAACTGCCCCTTTCCCAGGCTTACCAAAGACCTTAAGCACCTTCCTCATGAGAATCAGTTTTCCATACTCTACCATCAAGTGTCTAAGTCACTAAGCCTCTGTTGACTGTTGCCCTGAGCCAAATGCTGTGGACACAGTAAGTAAGACTCGAACCTTCCACAATGACCTCATCATCTACCAAGGAAGACAGACCTTTCTCAACAGCTATGTCATAAGGGCTGTGGTGGAGATGCAGGGTGAGTGCTATAGAAGCTGAAAGATGTGATTTATTCCAAATTTACAGAGTCGGGAGGGTAGCCGACTTCAGGGAGAATGTGCCTTTTGTCCAGAGCCTTTTGAAGGATGAGTGGGGAGTGGGATTTCCATAATTGGGGGGATGAGCATTCCAGGAAGAGGAGCAGCATGAGCAAATCAGAGAGGGAAGAAAGTGCAGCATGTCTTGGGAACACCCGGCTGTCTGAGGCAGATGCAGCCTGGGCAGTCTGGAGGGATTCAGGGGGAGGGAACACTGGACTGCTAAGCTGAGGCCACACATAGGAGCTGACGCGCCATTTAGAGCGCCTAAAGGGCACTTGTAAGGAAGGTATGGAAGACCTTGAATGCCAGACAGGGAAATTTGGACTTAAGCTGTAGGGAGCAGTGGAGAGTCCTTGGAGGTGCAGGAAGGGAAGGAGACAAGGAACAGAAGGCTTTCTGGTGGGCAAAGAACTTGACCTTCGCCTCCTTGATACCAACTTTTGGCACCTGCTCTGCCTGCTCTGCATGTCATGTTCATTTCTGTGGCAATTCCGGTATCTGACCATCTGGATGGTGACTAACACCCACCTATTCTGACCCTATGGCAGGTGTTATGTCCCCTGGTGGCCTCCGGCATACACCAGCCCTGCCTACTGCTCAGAGGCCAGCAGGCATGATTTTATAGTTGAATTGGTTGCCAACTTTTAAAAATTAGGGGACATCACTTAACCTGGGTTTTCTGGGGCTGTACTTTCACATCGCAAGAAGCCGACTGGCAGCTGCTCCCTTTGGGTAGAACATGTAACCTCCAGTTTCCAATGGGGGCACCTCTTTTTAATCTCTAGGACTGAGAATAAACAGCAACTGCCCATTTATCATTTCACCAGGCTGCCCGAAAGGCCTCTGAGTTTGCAAGCCACAGCCACATTTAGCTTAGATGTATGCCCCCCCTAGATTCCAGGTCCCTCCAGGCCCAGGTGCTAACCCCTTTCCCAGATCCCATAGCCTGCCCACAAGATCCAGCACCCCACTTATTCCCATATACTCTCAGGCCTGCCAGATGGCACTGCTGAAAGAAATGAGAAGGCCCCTTAGGGGATTAGGCAGCAAGCCTAGAAGAAATTTAATATACCTTTACTTTCCCTTCTATCACCCGAGAGCTCTGTAAACGCGACTGTTCCTGATTCCCTACTGTGTGGCAGGCCTTCTAAGCACAGCTCAAGAAATGCAGCTGAATGAGACAGGATCCCTGCCTTTGCTAGGCCTGGGGAGCTGGAAAAACTCCAGGTAGCCCTGGCGCAGATGCCACTCAGAATGAATGAAATGACAACACAGCTCATGCGTGAAACTCAGCAATCCACATACATTCTACAACCAAATGTTCAACACTCTCCAGCTAGTCAATGAGGCAGCAGGCACAGAGTTTCAAAACAGGGCTGATGTACAGTGCCTGACACTCATTCCCATTAGCAACGGCTGCTTGGGACAGATGCAAGGAAACTGACTCCACTACTTTGATCGTAGAAACAGTGAGAGAGATAGAAAAGAAAAGGTTGATCAGGGTAGAAAAATAGAAAAGAAATATAAGACCAGGCACAGTGGCTCACGCCTGTAATCCCAGCACTTTGGAAGGGCAAGGCAGGTGGATCACTTGAGGTCAGGAGTTCGAGACCAGCCCGACCAATATGGTGAAACCCTGCCTGTAGTAAAAATACAAAAATTAGCCGGCTGTGGTGGCATGCGTCTGTAGTCCCAGCTACTCGGGAGGCTGAGACAGGAGAATTCCTTGAACACAGGAGGCGGAGGTTGAAATAAGCAAAGATCACGCCATTGCACTCCAGCCTGGTCGTCAGAGTGAGACTCCATCTCAAAACAAAAAGAAAGAAAGAAAAAAAATGTAAGTGTGGTGCCTGTCTTCAATGAGCAAACAGTCTATTTGGGGAGCAGAACATGGAACCTTAGAGATTAATGAAGCCACTGACTGTAAGTGTGGGAGGAATGTGAATACAGGTGGGGGTCCAGGTGGGGGGCCTGCTGGATAAGGGGTGCTAACACTAGGTTTTCCTTTTTTTATATATATTTTTATTTTTTCACTTCCATCTCCTTTTCCTGATAAGCGTGGGGTTTTCCAAGAGGATTTTTGGATGGTGAGGTAGCCTAGGATGGCACACATAATCAAAATTCTGGTTTTGACCAAAAAAGTTGTGGATCTAATAAAAACTGGAATTGAAGAAATGATAAGAGATATTAAATTCCAATTTATTTATTTATTTATTTATTTATTTATTTATTTATTTATTTTTGAGTCCGAGTCTCACTCTGTCGCCTAGGCTGGAGTACAATGGTGTGATCTCGGCTCACTGCAATCTTTGCCTTCCAGGTTCAAGTGATTCTCCTACCTCAGCCTCACAAGTAGCTGGGACTACAGGCGCGCACCACCACACCCAGCTAATTTTTGTATTTTTAGTAGAGACGGGGTTTCACCATATTGGCTAGGGTGGTCTCGAACTCCTGACCTCACGATTGGCCTGCCTTGGCCTCCCAAAGTGCTGGGATTACAGGCATGAGCCACCGCACCCGGCCGGTAAATTCCCACTTTAATAAGAATGAAGTTCTAAAACCCAAAGAAAACTCTGATTCAGAAAGCCAAAGATTCATCCTGAGAATGGTTTTTCTACCTGGCAAGGCAGCTCCTCATCTCTAAGTGATCATACAAATGAATGAAGGGGCGTGCATGTCAGGGAAACTCATCGTGATTATTAGAATGGAAAGGAAAAACAAGACAAGAGGAGGAAGAGGTAGCAAGAATATGAACCACTGGCAGGCACCCTCTGGTTTAAGTTCTGGCAAACCTAACAGCTGTTTTGTTCAGGCTGCAGAGACTTCCAGCAAACTAAATTTCTACATCCTTAAGACACTCATTTTTCTCCTTGTTTTCTTACTCTTACTCTCTCGTCTACACTCTGGTTGCCTTATCCAAATAAGGATCTTGACACTTTATAACACGAAGCCATTTGTACCTCCCTAATAAGTAAATCAGCCCATACCATTTGGACAAAATTGTAACGGCTTTTACCCACCGCCCTATCCCACCCTATATTGAGTCCCATCCTGCACCGTGTGACTTGAGCCTTCAAATCCTTCTCCCCAGGCCCCACCAGGCCTATCCCCACCAGCTTCCCCTCAGCTCACCTACTTCCTCCTGCATCTTCCCAGAAAGAGTCCTTGGGTCATCTCATTCAGCCACTTCCACACTTCTTTGTTTATCAGAAACACACACACCGGCAAGAGAACCCTTTCTTCCCACAAACCAAAATCCAAAAATGAAATGAACCCACGCTGCTCTGGCTGAAGCAAGGATGGAGGTCCAGAAGCCTCTTTCACTTGGTCTTGGCACTACCCCCACATCCACCCCTTACCACAGTCTAAGAAAAGCACTGTGCAAGTCAAACTTCTTCATTTTACAGGTGTGAAATCAGCACCCCAGGGGAAAGGGTCTGGCCCAAGGACATACAGTGTTAGAAACAGGCCAGAAGCCAGGTTTCCAAACTCACCAGACCAGGACTCTTCTCATGGCCCCACGCTGCATCTTCATCATCTTAATTTTTTTTTTTTTTCTTGAGATGGAGTTTTGCTCGTGTTACTCAGGCTGGAATGCAATGGCACGATCTCGGCTCGCTGCAACCTCTGCCTCCCAGGTTCAAGCGATTCTCCTGCCTCAGCCTCCTGAGTAACTGGGATTACAGGCATGCACCACCAGGCCTGGCTAATTTTGTATTTTTAGTAGAGACGGGGTTTCTCCATGTTGGCCAGGCTGGTCTCGAACTCCTGACCTCAGGTGATCTGCCTGCCTCGGCCTCCCAAAGTGCTAGGATTTACAGGCATGAGCCACCGCGCCCGGACTTCATCATCTTATATACAACCAACACTTACATAAAATTTACCATGGGCCTGAGGCACCCCTCTTCGTAGACTAACACATTTAATTCCCACAATAATGTAATGACACAGGTTCTATTATTATCTCCATTTTACAGAGTAGGAAATTGAGGCACGGAGATTAAGTAACTTGACCAAGGTCACCCAACTGGTAAGCAGCAGAGCAGGGGTTTGAACTCAGGCAGCCAGGCTCCATGCCCATGTTTCTTAAAGAGTTTGCCAGAAGGAATCACTTGCTGCCTTAGGTCAGGAATGGCAATACCATATTACTAACCATCTGACAAGTGAAATAATGAAGTATATCATCCAGAGTTTCCCTTAAAAGGCAAAGCAAAGTCCAATAAAAATGAAAAAACAAAACAAAACAAAACAAAACCCACAGACAATTGCACTGGAGATGACAATGAAAGGCTCAAAGCGCTAGACTCATATTAAAGCATCTTTGTCAGATTTCTTTCTCAGGTGCTGCATGCTTGGGGGAGGAGGGGCAGGGTGCAGTGCTCCTTAATCTACACAATGGCTGAGGGGCAGGGTGCCGTGCTGGTTAATCTACACAATGGCTGAAATTTTACAACCCATTCTCAATGCATCTGTCCTTTGGACACACCCATTTTTGGCTTCCTTTCCAACCCTGATGCCCCAAAACCTGGGGCTTCCATAACATCTATTAGAAATGGCCTGCGTATAAACCTTAACCTCTTTTTTTATTTATTTTATTTTATTTTATTTATTTATTTATTTATTTATTTATTTATTTATTTATTTATTTTAGGGACGGAGTCTTGCTCTTGCCGCCCAGGCTGGAGTGCAATGGCGTGATCTTGGCTCACTGCAACCTCCGCCTCCTGGGTTCAAGCGATTCTCCTGCCTCAGCCTCCCCAGTAGCTGGGATTACAGGCACATGCCAACACGCCCGGCTAATTTTTGTATTTTTAGTAGAGACAGGGTTTCACCATGTTGGACAGGCTGGTCTCAAACTCCTGACCTCAGGTGATCCACCCATCTCTGCCTCCCAAAGTGCTGAGATTACAGGCGTGAGCCACCATGCCCAGCAGCTTAACCTTTTGTTAAGGGTTCTGGGCTGGGCTGTGGCCAGTCTACTCTCCTACCACAGAAGAGTAAAATGCCCTGCATTCTCTTAAAAAAGTAAGAAAAATAAAAATAAATCACTGGTAGCCAGCCTGCCCTTTTGGGGATCTTTCTCTATCTCCATCTGAGAATCTCTTTCTTCACCCAACTCTGACACATGCCCCTCAAAATAAAGTCAGATACTCTGAGGTGGACTGTCCAAATCCCTTGCTGCTTTTTGGTTTCATTCACTTGCCCACGGGCTGTTCTTAGTGCATTTGCCCATCCAAACGTGGGAGGGGCAGGAGGAAGAGTAGGGACATCCAGCATTGGGACCCAACTCAGTCCGTGATACTTCCAGAAGCTCCATGCTGGAAGCTGGCAACTGTGGAATCGACAGGCAGCTTCGCTTCAGAGGGTTTTGAGACCAGTACCTGCTCAGCTGCTAACCCACCTAGGGTAACTGAGCCATGTCCGGCTGCAGTCTGAGCCTTCACTCTGCCCCCGGACTGCACTGCGTTCATTTACGAGATCTCCAAATGTGAGTTTAATGGAGGCAGATGTACAAGGGTTCTCACAAGCCCAGGGAACTCAACTTCTAGAAGGAAACGGGGCCACACCAAACAAGATGATGGGGCAATCAAGAGATACTCCCATAACAGCAAGAAACAAAGAGCATTCACGCCTCCTATGCCAACGCCCTCCACCACCAACGCCAAAAATTTCCGTATTTCATAACACCAGCTGAGATAACTGACTCAAATCTGTCCACTTCCACATTTGCATACTGGGTTCTGACATTTGCCTACCACTGAACAGTCACCAAGTAAGACGCAAGGTGGAGACGTACCCACAAAGCAATATTTAATGTCTTTGGATCGCCACTAGCTAAAACCTCCTGAAGTTTCACCAAACTCAGCTCTGTAAAACAAAAGAAAAAGAACAACACTATAAATTACAGCCTCGCCAGGATCTCGGGACATGCCTATACTTTGTATTTTATAAGTTCCGTATAAATACTGGAACAGCATAGAAACAGGGATCTCAGAAATAACGCCATTTTGAAGGCCACAGGACGAAACCCAACTATTCATTTCATTTTATTCTACTTCTTATCTCAAATACACAGTTCCTTTTCCTTTAACGAAAATATCGCTCTTTTTAAACAATATGTGATGCAAAGCAAATATAACAGGGTACCAACACAAATCTTTCCTGCCAAATTTATGGTTCCTCGCCTGTCCCCAGTTGCACCCAGAACCACTACCCCAGCCTATCGCTGTGTACACAACACGGACTAGGAATTCTAAAGAACTGCCTTAATCTCTCAGCTGTGTGCAGTGCGATAGGGTACGCTTGGATGCCAGTTTTTAAAAAGCAAATCAACTTTCCTCAAATTATTAAGATAAATAATTAGAAGGGGAAAGCTGCCGGCATTCAGTACAATAGGGGGGAAACCAAAACACTGAATGTTCCTGAGTCTCACACAGGGTGATACCTTGGAACAGTTAACACAGTACCCTGGCAAAATGTCCACCACATTTTTTCACCCCTTAACCTGAGTCATTATATTGTACTTTCTAGACGTGAGCAAATGTGATTGCTGAACAGGCAACACAGGGACTAGGGCCCCTTCCTGGAGGTTTCTCAGTGCACTCTAACACAATTAACTCCTCTCAGGCTCAGAGAAAGGAGGTGGGGTTCGGGGGAAGGTGGGGTGGAGGGGCAGATTCTAGTGAAGTCAGAGGCCTGGAGAGGCTGTCGCAGTGGGGCCAGGTGGAAGACAGGGAACCAGAAGGGCGGGATGCTTCCTCGTCACTGAAAATCCTCTTCTGTTGTTATAAAGGCCAAGTGCCCGCCCAGCCCCTGCCACATCCACGTTCCTAAACAGAGAGAGGGCCTTCCACAGGCAGGAAAAGGGCACAGAGACCGGGAGGCAGCAACTTAAACTCTTGGCAGCCTGGAAGGGCAGGACCCACGGGCTCACTCCACTTACCCCAGCCTTTCCACAGGCCCTCCTGAGAGGGGTTCTCCATCCCCCAAGACACACACACACAACACACACACGCACGTACACGCACACATACACAAGAAGAAAGCGTGGAGAGAGGGTAACTCGACTCCCCTGCCCCCCTCCCCACCAGCCTGCAGAGGCGAGGGGTCGGGGAGAAGGAGGGCCTCTGCTCTATCCTCCCAGGTATCTAACCCTCCCTGGGCAGCTGTCAGCTTCCATTTGCATGAATGAAAACTGTGGTCAACTGGTACCTGGGAGAGAACAAAGCAGGAAATAAAAGGGGCTGTCACTTACTCAAATCCAAAGCTCATCAAGTCTAACTAAAGGGAGTGCCACATTCCGCACCCCCAGTTCGGAGGGAAGGATTTGCTGGCTGGGCCCCGACGCCCCTCCCCCTCGCTGACACTGACAAAGGATCTGGTTCTCACTGAAACTGCTTCTCTTGTGACTGTTTCTAGTCTCCAAAAAGACTGTATTTATATTTTTAATTAGCTGCTTTTTACAGCAATTTTTTAAGTATTATGATGACTTACATGTGGTAAGAAAAAAAGAGCTAATCAAACAATGAAAAGCCTCCCCTCAAACCTCGGTCTCCTGGAATCCCAGTCTCTCAGCCATTCCAGGGTCTTCACTGTGGCCCGGGGCTTCACACCACTCACAGCCATCCACTGCCCCCAGCCCCCAACTTCAGCAGAGCTGGCATGCTCTCATCTGCATTCAGCAGCATCCCGGGTGTGTAGCTTGTGCTTGGCACTGTGCTAAGGCTTTGCAAAATGGACTCTCCACAAATTGGTTGAAAGAAAAAAAAAAGAAGTCATGTTGAACAGTTTCCAGAATGTAAAGGGTTACAAAATCCTTTGCATACACCCAGAATTAAGGAAAAAAAAAAAAACAGGAAGGAAATATACTAAAACATTAAATGATAAAGCTACTTAGAAGGATTATGGATGACTTTTAGTTTCAATTTTATACTTTTCCTCTATTTTCCAAGTTTCACATAAATAAGCATAAAGTATTTTTATCATCAGAAATGAATCCATTCACACATGCATACACATTCATCTCCCAACCCAGCCTGGCAGAGCCATCATTTTTTGTGCATTTTGTTTTTGCAGGAACTAATTTACATTTTTAAGTGCTTTACAGCTGATAAAGTGTTTTGAAAACAGAAAAACTAACCAGGAGTCAATGATGGTCCTGAGACTAATACTGGTGTCACTGCCCAAAGCTCTATGAGAAACTGTGACACTCTAAACTGTCCCTCACCCTTATCTCTGGTCCATCACCCACCAGGCTCTCTGCAGCCAGTGGGCCCTTGCTCTCTGCAAGGTGCTTTCCCTGTCCTACACAGAGCACTTCCACAAACACGGTGCATGCAGGTAGAAGAGCAGAGAGCATTCCCCTCACAGAAGAGGATGCTGAGGTCAGGTGTGTGGCTTGTTCAGTGTGGCTAGCCCTCAGATGCTACTACTCTCAGGTGGGACATAAGCCAGTGCTACCTAGCAGGGGTGAGGTCACCATTCCAACTAATTTACATCTACACTGCATTTTGTGGAATGCCATGTCACTCTTATAACACAGACATTTTTATAGCAATGTATAAGTATCTAGGCATCTCTTATTTTCTTTAATCCCATGAGGCACATTATTATATCATCATCTTACAGGTGAGAAACTAAACCTCAGAGACAAACTCAGTGTGCCAGGCTTGTTATCCAGCCAAGCCCCAGCTTCTATTGCCTCTCCAGGGCCAACCCCTACCCACACCCAACTTCCTGCCCCCAGATGGCCCCTACCTACCAGAATGATGTGCACAGATGTCATCAACCAAACCAAAAAGGTCCTAGACTTCTGCTGTTTCCAATCTGATAGCAGTGATACCACAGTAGGGTCACCTACTTGGGATCAAATCTGGACTCCACTATGTAACATCTCTACAACCTTAAGCAAATTACATAAACTTTTTTGAACCCCCTGTTTCCACTTGTAAAAATGGGAAAATACAGCCAGGTGAGGTAACTCACACCTGTGATCCTGGCACTTTGGGGAACCGAGGTGGGAGGATTGCTTGAGCCCAGGAGCTCAAGACCTGGGCCACAACATGAGACCCTGTCTCTACAAAAAAAAAATTAAAAATAAACAAAAATAAATGGGAAAATAATAGACGGTCCCTGCTCATCTGCTTGTTTTCTGCATTCATTAAGATAATGTATGTAAAGTTTACCATGGTGACTATTATAGGAGGCAGTGTTCCTTAAATGTTCACTATTATTACTATTAATACCATCACCACCATCATTAGCACAATGCAGACAGAACCCAGCACACAGGCACATGTGGTTAATGCCAGACAAAAGGCTTCCATGTTCATCTTCTCATTCAGTTTCTCATGACCATCCTGTGAGGCTGGCAGGGCAGAAATTAGGGCCCACATTTTAAAGATGAGGCGGCTGAGGCTCAGAAAAGTGACTTCCCCATATGCACATAGTAGTGGCCAGGACTCAAGTCCATGGCATCCAACTCCCAAATCCTAGGCTCTTCCTGCTTCCCATGCCACCTTTTCTCCCGCAGAAGGTACCGTGGGTTCACATTGGAACTGTCTGGCCTGAGAAATGCCAGCAAGCCAGAGTTTTTTGTTGGGTTGCAGACTCAGCCATCACCTGGTGGGTGAAGTCATTTCACCTCTGTAGGTCTCCGTTTCTTCATCAATACCACCCACTCATCCTCTCCTTTTCTACCCTGGGCTACTATGAGGATAACGAGTGGGAAGCAGCTGTGAAGAACATAACAGTGCTCATCTGGTCTGACCCCTGCTTGAAACCTGATGCCTCACAAGCAAGAAGCAGAGGTATGGGTTCTCTCCTGGGTGAGGCTGAACAGCCCTCACCAAGAAGGAATCCACAGTCCAGAGCCTTGCTTGAGCCACAGGTGACACTTAGGTCAATCCAAGCCCCTCAACACCTCCAATCCAGCCAGCCCAGCTTCCACTGGAACCCATAACACAATGGCTGCAAAAGCCAAACAGACCTGGCTCCCACTGCAAAGGAACCTTGCAGTGGATCCTAATCCAGAAAGGCACTGAGTATGTTGGAAAGAGGGTGGGGCCAGGAGAGCTGGCTTGGAGCCCGACTTCCCCACAGAGTAGCTGGGGGATCTTATGCAAGTCATCTCATCATTAGTATTATTTCTTTTTTTTTTTTTTTTTTTTTTGAGACAGAGTCTCACTCTGTTGCCCAGGCTGGAGTGCAGTGGCATGATCTTGGCTCACTGCAACCTCCGACCTCCACCAGGTTCAAGGGATTCTCCTGCCTCAGCCTCCCGAGTAGCTGGGATTACAGGTGCACGCTACCATACTCGGCTAATTTCACCATGCTGGCCACACTGGTCTTGAACTCCTGACCTCAAGTGATCCACCTGCCTCAGCCTCCCAAAGTGCTGGGATTACAGGCATAAACCACCACACCTGGCCCTCACCATTATTTTTAAAATTTAACTATACCCAGCTCCATCCCACCAAGTATATGTGGTGGTTTAGAATAATACAAATAACACAAAAGAATAAAACAAACAAGAGAACCAGGCAAGGCAAAAATGAGTATAGAGAAAATAATAAAGCGGGATGGAGGGCGGGAGGTTGGGGTAAGATCAGCACATAGAAATGCATGCCATATGGTCCCATCCTGCAGAAGTGTCAAGATGGGCCACAAATCTAGCTCTCAGGTGCTTAGTAACCAAAGCCAAAGGAAAACATGATGAGCCACACGCTTCTCGGTGCCCATAACACAGAAACAAACCAGTTGTTCCAGAGAAATACCTCTTTCCCGGCCTGATTCAGAGCCTCTTCTCCATCGGGCCTTCATAAACGGACACAGTGATACAGCAGCTAAGGCCTGCAGCATCCCCACCGCAGACTCCAATTTCTGTTGCAGAAATTCCTTATTTCACCACCTCCCCTTGCAATTTGATGACATAATCCAAAAACGACAATGCAGCTGCCAAAGTGGCCAAGTCTCTTGACCCCTAGAGCTCAGTTACCTAATCTTTAAAATGGTCCATCTGGCCTGGGACAGTGGCTCACACCTGTAATCCCACCACTTTGGGAGGCCAAGGCAGGCAGATCACCTGAGGTCAGGAGCTCGAGACCAGCCTAGCCAACATGGTGAAACCCCATTTGTACTAAAAACTACAAAAAAATTAGCCGGGCATGGTGGCGCATGCCTGTAATCCCAGCTACTCGAGAGGCTGAGGCAGGAGAATCGCTTGAACCTGGTGGAGGCTGGAGGTTGCAGTGAGCCGAGATTGCGCCACTGTACTCCAGCCTGGGTAACAAGAGTGAAACACTGTCATAAAATAAAATAAAATAAAATAGTCCATCTACCTCACCAGGCTGTTGTGAGGGGTAAAGCAGATAATGTGTGATAACTCACATGCCTAATACACAGTAGGTGCTCCATAAAAATGAGTTCATCACTTCTGCTAGAATGGAAGTTCTTGAAAGCGGGATCTTGGTTGGAGGTGGTCACTGCTGTATCCCAAGCACCTGGAGCAGTCACTAGCACATAACAGATGCTCAACAAATATTTTTTGAATAAATGAATTTCCTACAGCAGGTTCCTAAAAACATTAGTCTCATGAGATGCTTCTAAAAAGAGACAGCTATAGAGTAAAACAAAAATCTAGGGAAAACAAGGGTTTTATATCCCCTTCCCTCTTAAAGAGTTACCAACAGATTTAAGTTTCTTCTAAGTCCTGCAAGAAAGACATCTGTTTGATTTTGTTCAGGCCAGAGTTCTCCAAACTTGCTTAACCACAATACCTCCCCTTTTCCTCACACAGAAGGAAGGATAGACCCACATTCATTCTCATGATCCCAGGGGGTTCTAAATGATCCTAACAAGGAAAGGGGCCACTACCCCATAGAGAGATAGTCCCAAAACAGCAAAGGAACGAAGAGCATCCACACTCTTCACGCCAATACCCTCCATCACCACCACCTACTAACTCTGGAACACATCATGTTTCTAAAAATCAAACAGATCCTTCAGACCTAAACAGCTGGCTTCACCCAAACAGATGGACACTCTGGTTGCCCCTGCACATTCCAGAACCCACCTGCTCTGCCCAACTTCAGCAAAGCCAACCCCCAGGGCCACATGAATACCCAAGTAAAGGCCAGATCCCAGAGGCTGGGGCCAGCGGAAGGTCTTCATCACCACTGGGAGGGCAGCACTTTCTTTGAAGTGGGTAGGGGAGGAGGGATCTGGGTGCATGTCCTGAGTCCCCAGGTGGCCGCCCACAGGGTGCATCACATGGTTCTGCTTGGCTCACTAAGCCAAGAGGCTCCTGGCAACAGCTCCCTCACTGTGCTCACTGCTTACTTACCCACACAGCCGTGAGCTGCCCCACTGCCCCGCCTCTGCAGGTTGATGCCACCACCCCAACTCCCAGAGAGCCAGCAAGCAGGCTGGCAGTCAGGCCACCCAAATGACAACCACCCATTCCCCCATGAGAAGCAAGATTCTCCTGAGCATACCACAGAGCTTCCCTAGGCAGGAAATGATTAACAAATGTTTACTGAGCACTTCCGGGAGGCCAGGCCTCATCTCCCCCACTGGCCTTCAGATCCCGAGGACCATTCAGTCATCTGAGTCTACCTAGTACCGGCACTGGCTCCTGCAGGAACTGGGTTCTGATAGACCACTGGCCTTGACCTCTGACCCCTGTATGCTGCTGCGCTCCAAGCCTGTGGTCCATACCTGGTATGGCATCTACACAGCCACCAGATTCATGATCTTCCTAGTTCTAAATGCCCATTCCATGTGTTTGAAAGAAAATAAGGGGCCTGGGGGTGAACATGAGCCCAAATGGAATTTAACATCACCTGTCTGTTACCCTCATGTTACCCTCAGTCCCGTGGGGCTTGACATCTTGAATGGAACCTTTTTTTTTTTTTTTTTTTTGACACAGAGTCTCACTCTGTTGCCCAGGCTGGAGTGCAGTGGCACAATCTCAGCCCACTGCAACTTCCCCCACCCGGTTCAAGAAATTCTCCTGTCTCCACCTCCCAAGTAGCTACGATTACAGGCACACACCACCACACCCGGTTAATTTTTGTATTTTTAGTAGAGATGGGGTTTCACGATGTTGGCCAGGTTGGTCTCAAGCTCCTGACCTCAGGTGATCCACCTGCCTCAGCCTCCCAAAGTGCTGGGATTACAGGCATGAGCTACCGTGCCTAACCTTGAACTGTATACTTTTTAAATGGGTGAATTTTACTGTATGTGAATTATATCTCAGTAAAGCTAGTATTTTTTTAATTGCCATCAAAAATATGCAAATTTTAGTGCCTGGGCTAAGTGCCAGGATATGAAGATGGATGAGAGCTCTGAAACCTCTCTCAAGGGGCTCACCCTGGAGGACTCTTCTCCCAAGGCCCCTCCAGAAGCATCTTTCCCTTCCCAGCTCCACCAGTCCGCCAGGGTTGCTCTTGCCTCCTGGAACATCATTCTTCAGAGGTTACACTTGCTGTGTAAAAGACAGAGTAGGTACCCCTCTCCTCCCCGACTAGATCACGAGTTCCTGGACTCTGGGGACACTGCCCTCCATATTTACTCCCTTGGTGCTTAGCATAGGGCTTGGCACAGAGCAGGTGCTCAGGGAAATCCTGCTGAACGAACAGGCATGGCGGGCAGCACTTTGGGTGACTGGAATATGGTATAAGACCTTCTGACAAGGCCTCCCAAATGCCAACCTTGAAAACATGACCTTGGGGCTGTGGCTCAATTCAATGAGCACCACTTAGAGGGAGGATGTGGGTCAAAACTAGCTGATCTGCAAGGCTGCCACTAGCCAAGCACTCACAAAAAAAGAAATGAGAAGAAAACTGGGACAGTGACTAGCATCGCACTCACCCCAGAACACCCACTTCACAGGTCCCCCACACCATGCCCCCAAGTGTGAACTCACAGGACTCCCCACAAGAAGCCATCCGAACTACAAAATACGCATAAATGGAAACCACCGTACTCTGTCACTTCAACAGAGCAGATCTAAATCTTCCTTCAGTGCTCTCTCCTTAAGCAAGTATTTTTAAAAACTGAGGCGGGGCACAGTGGCTCACACCTATAATGTCAGCACTTTGGGAGGCCAAGACAGGAGGATCACCTGAGCCCAGGAGTTCACGATCAGCCTGGGCGACCTGGTAAGACCTCATTTCTACAAAAAAATGTTTTTAATTAGCCAGGTGTGGTGACATGTGCCTGTGGTCCCAGATACTTGGAAGGCTGAGGTGGGAGGATCACTTAAAGCCAGGGAGTTTGAGGCTGCAGTAAGTGAGGTGTGTTTGTGCTACTGCACTCCAGCCTGGGCAACAGAGCAAGACTCTGCCCCAAAAAGAAAAAGAAAAAAGGGTGCCAGACACTTAGTGAGCATCATATGTGTGAATTTTAAAAGGAGGAAGAGGAGGCAGCATTCTCCTTCAAACAGGGCAGGTTCTCATGGTCTGCCAGAGTACCCCCAACTCTCTACTGCCTTATTAACACCAATCACATAAGACTGGCCCATCATATTCTGAGCTGTACTTCTGTTTAATGAGAATAAGGCAAGAGAAAACACTTGGGACACTCTGAGCCCCTGATCGGCATTACTTTCTTAAGTGACTCCACTCAAGAGTACCCGTCTAGTAAGTGGTAAGTCCAGAAACAGAACCCAGGCCACCTCCTGCCTCCAAGTCCAGCTCCTATCTTACCATCAGCACAACACAAGAGGCCTTGTGCACATACATTATTGCTGCACAGGCTTGATCTGGATGGATCTCTCTTACAAACAGGCATACACAGCCCCAAGCTATGAAAGGTAGCAAAACTAATCAAGTCTTATAGATTAAATGTCTTACAAAGCATGGTGACTCCCGCATGACAATGAAAGCTGAAAGGCAGATTGTGCCAATGTTATCTCTGCCTTTGCCCAGGGGCCCTGGTCCCTGAATAGGCAGTAGGGACCACCACTGACCTCTGTCCTGCCCACCTCCTAGAACAGTGCACCCACCCTGCTCACCAAACCCCACTCTTTATTTAAAGACCCAACTTGCTGGGAGGGACAGTGCACCTGTAATCCCAGCTACTCAATTGGCTGAAGCGGAAGGATGACTTGGGCTCAGGAATTCAAGTCCAGCCTGAGCCACACAGAAAAACCCTATCTCCAAAATAATAATAATAATAATAATAATAGGCCAGGCATGGTGGCTCACACCTATATTTCCAGCACTTTAGGAGGCCAAGGCAGGTGGATCACCTGAGGTCAGGAGTTCGAGACCAGCCTGGCCAACATGATGAAACCTCATCTCTACTAAAAATACAAAAATTACCTGGGCGTGGTGGCATGCCTGTAATCCCAGCTACTCAAGAAGCTAAGACAGGAGAATCACTTGAACCCAGGAGGCGGAGGTTGCAGTGCGCCAAGATCACGCCACTGCACTCCCAGACTGGGTGACAGAGTGAGACTCCGTCTCAAAAAATAATAATAATAATAAAAGCCTAACTCAAGTCCCATGTCTTCAATTCATTCAACAAATTACTGAGCACCTAATGGGCCGCGCAGTGGTTCACCCTGTAATCCCAGCACTTTGGGAGGCTGAGACGGGCGGATCACTTGAGGTCAGGAGTTTGAGACCAGCCTGGCCAACATGGCGAAACCCTATCTCTACTAAAAATATAAAAAATAAGCCGGGCGTGGTGGCACCCGCCTGTAATCCCAGCTACTCAGGAGGCTGAGGCAGGAGGACTGCTTGAAGCTGGGAGTGGGAGGTTGCAGTGAGCCGTGATAACGCCACTCTACTCCAGCCTGGGCGACAGAGCTAGACTCTGTCTCAAAAAAAATAAATAAATAAATAAATTACTGAGCACCTACTGGGTTACCAGGCCCTGTGGCACGATGTCCTTGGAGAACCCCGTCTATTTAGGGAGACAGAGGTACAAGAGTTACTCCATCACATGCAAGGACCTAGTGGCAAGAAAGCGTGTGGCACACTGGAGAGACTGTAAGAAATTTGGGATGGGGAGTCCCCAGAGTATGTATGTCCAGAAACGCTGCACTACATGCCAACCCAAATAACTCAACAGTATCCAACAGGCATGGGGGGCCTTGATGGCTTAGAGCAGTAGATAACTTGTTTGGTCTGATCAGAGCCACGGCACATGAAGCCCTTTCTCTGAAAGCCCAGATAGCTCATTTAATTCTCACAACAACCCAAAGAGATAAGGTACTAGTCCCACTTAACAGCTGAGAAGCCTGAACTGGGAAAGATCCAGTGACTTGCCCAGGGGCACATAGCAGTTACGTGGCAGAGCCCAGACTTGGCCCAGGTCTGCCTAAGTTGCTTTTTAAGCACCACATTATAGTGCACCACATATCCATATAAAGCACGGCTTCAAGTCTAACGTTTGTTTCTTTAACCAATATTTTTTTTTTGAGACAGAGTCTCGCTCTATTGCCCAGGCTGGAGTGCAGTGGCACAATCTCGGCTCGCTACACCCTCCGCCTCCCAGGTTCAAGTGATCCTTCTGCCTCAGACCCCTGAGTAGCTGGGATTACAGGCATGAGCCACCATACCCAGCTAGTTTTTGTATTTTTAGTAGAGATGGGGTCTCGCCATACTGGCCAGGATGGTCTCGAACTCCTGACCTCCAACGACCCACCTGCCTCGGCCTCCCAAAGTGCTAGGATTACAGTCGTGAGCCACTGCGCCCAGCCTGTTTGACCAAATTAGGTTTATACTTTACTTTGAAGCTCGCGTCTTTAAATTTCTTATAGCATAAACATCCTGCCATATCATGGAACATTTTTTCAGTGCGTTGGTAATGACTGCATAGTAGTCCACAATTTCAGCAATCCTCCACCGCTCAATACTTAGGTTGTTTCCAACACATGGCTTCTTGTTTTTCTTTAACAGACCATCCCACACACGGTTCATCCCATTGTGTCCTCACAGGGGGAAACCCTGCAACCCTGATACCACTCATTGTGTGACTTATCTTATACAAGGATGAGTAAGACAATGACTTTCAACGAAATATCAGCAAGTTTTATTATAGAAGGAACTACTTTCCTTTCCCAACCCACCCCCCAGTTTTGCTAACAATAATTCATTTGTTTACTGGGTTGATTTCTCTATTAGAAGCAAATGCAATAAACCGGGGTGTGGCCAGGCATGGTGGCTCACGACTGTAATCCTAGCACTTTGGGAAGCTGAGGTGGGTGGATCACCTGAGATCAGGAGTTCTAGATCAGCCTGGCCAACATGGTGAAACCCCACCTCTATGAAAAATACAAAAATTAGCCGGGCGTGGTGGCGCATGCCTGTAATCTCAGCTACTTGGGAGACTGAGGCAGGAGAATCGCTTGAACCTGGGAGGCGGAGGTTGCAGTGAGCCAAGACCACACCATTGCACTCCAGCCTGGGCAACAAGAGCAAAACTTCAACTCAAAAAAATAAAAAATAAATAAATAGGCCAGGCATGGTGGCTCACGCCTGTAATCCCAGCACTTTGGGAGGCCGAGGCAGTTGGATCACGAGGTCAGAAGTTCAAGACCAGCCTGGCCAAGATGGTGAAACCCCGTCTCTACTAAAAATACAAAAATTAGCTGGGCGTGGTGGCACATGCCTGTAATCCCTGCTACTCGGGAGGATGAGGCAGAGAATTGCTTAAACCCAGGAGGCGGAGGTTGCAGTGAGCCAAGATCACGCCACTGCACTCCAGCCTGGGCCACAGAGCGAGACTCCGTCTCAAAAAATAAATAAATAAATAAATTGTGGTGAAAGGTGTGGAACATCTGAAGCAGGCATGGGCTCAGCCTAAGGGTCCACGCATGGGCTCAGCCTCCCCTCAAAACAGATTCCAGAGTTCAGAAGACACCTTCAACTCTTCCCCAGAAGTAACAGATTTCCCTCCAGCAGATCACCTGGCACGTGTCAGAACTCAACCCTAAAAGCCCAATTCAGCCTCCATTAAAAACAGGTCAAAAATAGATACGTTACTGAATACCCTGTGTGCTCACCACTGTATCTTTAGTGTCGGGAAGAAGGGGGCAGAAAGAACCAGGAACTGGAGCCAGGAACCTGGGCTCACAGTGATATTAGCTGTGTGGTCTTGGGCAAGTCACTTCCCCTCTCTGCGCCTTGGTTTCAACATCTCTAAAGTAAACGGTTTGCATTAGATGACCCTCAATGACCCTTCCTGCTCTGGGCCTGCCCAGTTTTATAAGTGACCAGTGACTGTACATCATGATGTCAACTCACAAGTACAGCTCCTACCAGCTTGCTGCTGCCTGGAGGGAAGACAGCAGGAACGCACAGAAGAAAAAGGCCTCAGCCGGGTGCAGTGGCTCACACCTGTAATCCCAGCATTCTGGGAGGCGGGCAGATCACTTGAGGTCTGGAGTTCAAGATCACCCTGGCCAGCATGGCAAAACCCCATCTCTGCTAAAAATAGAAAAATTAGCCAGGTGTGGTGGCACATGCTTGTAATCCCAGCTACTCAGGAGGCTGAGGCACAAGAATCGCTTGAACCTGGGAGACGGAGGTTGCACCAAGATTGTGCCACTGCACTACAGTCTGGGTGACACAGTGAGGAAAAAAAAAAGAAAAGAAAAAGGCCTGGCCCCGTGTGGTGGCTCATGCCTGTAATCCCAGCACTTTGGGAGGCCGAGGTGGGCGGATCACGACGTCAGGAGATCGAGACCAACCTGGCTAACATGGTGAAAACCCATCTCTACTAAAAAAAAAAAAAATACAAAAAATTAGCCGGGCGTGGTGGCAGGCACCTGTAGTCCCAGCTACTCGGGAGGCTGAGGCAGGAGAATGGCGTGAACCCGGGAGGCGGAGCTTGCAGTGAGCAGAGATTGCGCCACTGCACTCCAGCCTGGGAGACAAAGCGAGACTCAGTCTCAAAATAAAAAAAGAAAAAAAAAAGAAACAGGACTCATAACTAGGTCCCCTATGAAGCCACTGGTCACAGTAAAGGGGAACACATCAGACTGCTCTCTAATTTGGGAGTATGGGTAGAATTCTGATTTCATATTTGAAAAATCATCTAACCTTTATCATATATGCCTAGCTTCATATTAAGACAAAGGTATTCATTTCATTAAAAAAAAATGACTGACTCATAACAAGCCAGCAAAATAGAGTCAGAACAAGAGCAAGTCATCACGATACCAATGCCAAAGGGGAGGTTTCTGTCTTTATTTTCTAACTGGCAATGACAAGCTTTTTACAAAACCCAGGCAAGCTGCAAGTCAGTGATAAAGGGGATGGTCCGCCTTGCCACTTGAACAGAGACAGGCCCAGATAGGCAAGGACACTGGGTGACCTTTAAGACCCAGAAAGACCTCACTGGTTTTAAGGTAATGCTCAGTAGGAATGAGGGAGGGGTGTGCCAGGGGATGGAAGGGGGCTGCTGACACTGTGTGAGTCAGTACCAGACTCTTTGCAGAAACAAAGGCTCAGGTCCAAATATGTACTAGGAAAAACTGACAGTCTCTGGATTATAACCAGCTCACTGGCCTCCACGTGGGAGCTTTTGCAGGGTTCAGAGCTTCTCTGAATGGGCAGGGATGTCCATCCAGATGACCAGGCTACTTCCTCCCACACCTGCCTGCACCTGCTGCATGTCCCTCCCCGCCCCTAGATTATGAGCTCTGCAGGTTCTAGCAGATTCTGCCCTCCTTTCCCACTCCACCTCTCTCGCCTCCATCCTCTCCCTCTCTCTCTCTCTCTCCCACTCTTCCTCCCGAATCACCCTTGAGAGAGGCAGGAAGCCACAAGAGCCCCAGGTTCCAGATGAGGAAAGTGATGCTCAAAAGAGACAAGATCAGCCCAAGGTCACATAGGCTGCACCAAGAGTCCAACCCACTCTCCTAACTCGAAGTCTTGTTTCTCCCATCACAGCGGTTCTGTGGGTGCTGCTCTGAAACATCTCCTCTTATCCCACAACCACTCAGCCTTGCCCAACCAGGTCCAGCCTGCTGCCTCTCTCCAGCACCACACAGCCTCTGGGCCCCTCCCAGCCAAGACCACTGCAATCGCCTGGCCCAGCAGGGGCAGGTGGCTGCAAGCTGGCTAAGAGCCGGACAGGGCTGCTATCTGCCATTGTCTAGCCATGCAGCTTATTTAACCTCACTGAGCCTGAGTGCCCTCATCTGCAAAAAGGGGATAATAACCCTGTCTCAGAGAGTCCCTTAAAAGAAAGGAAGCACATGAAGCTTGCCCTAAACCCAGCCCAGTAAGGGCAGACACACACACAGGCTCCTCACAGCCCACCCCACCCAAAGGCTCCAAACACCACTCCCCAGTTCAAAATCCTCCCACATTGAAAACCCGTGGCCACACAAACACTGGTAGACAAACGTTCATAGCAGTGTCACTCACAATAGCCAAAAAGTAGAAATGACCCAAACGACCATCAGCTCATAAAAGGATAAACAAAACATGGTATCTCTCTGTGATGAAATATCATTCAGCCATAAAAAAAGAACAAAGCAGTGATACCTGCTCCAACATGGATGGACCTTGAAAACACTATGCTAGGCGAAATAGCCAGAATCAAAAGGACACACAGTGTATGATTCTACTCACATGAAATACATAGAACAGGTAAATTCACAGAAACAGAAAGCAAATTGGTGGTTGCCAGGAGGTGGGGGAGGGAGAAATCAGGAGTGAGCACTCGTGGGCATGGGGTTTCTTTTGTGAGTAACGAAAATATTCTGGAACTAGACAGCAGTGATGGTTGCACAATTCTGAATATACTAAAAACAACTGAACTGTATGCTTTTTTTTTTTTTAAGATAGAGTCTCACTCTGTCGTCCAGGCTGGAGTGCAGTGGCATGATCTCTGCTCACTGCAACCTCCACCTCCCAGGTTCAAGTGATTCTCCAGCCTCAGCCTCGCAAGCAGGTGGGATTAGAGGCACCCACCACCATGCCTGGCTAATTTTTGTATTTTTAGTAGAGACGGGGTTTCATCATGTTGGCCATGCTGATCTTGAACTCCTGACCTCAAGTGATCCACCCACCTCAGCCTCCCAAAGTGCTGAGATTACAGGCATGAGCCACTGCGCCCAGCTTTGAACTGTATACTTTCTAAATGGATGAATTTTACTGTATGTAAATTATATCTCAACAAAGCTGGTATTTTTATATTGCCATCAAAAATACAAAACAATAAAATGATTAATATTTACAACATGAAAAGAAAATCCTTCCATGATACCTCATTCTCTACAAGATAGAATCTAAATCACGCAGGCATCCTCCAAGTCCAGCCCCAGCCTACCTTGCCGCAAACACCCTGCATTTGCCCAGCAAGACCTCTCACTGTACCCCAAATGAGTCTTCCCCCCTGCAGGCCTGGGCTGCTAACATTCACTGCCACAGCAGCAACAGTTACTCACTTGGCCTGATTCTTGTCTCAAGTCCTGGCTGTTCCTTTGAGGCCTGCACTGCCTATGACTTGAAACTCTGACCAGCCCATCTATCTCCCCAACTAAGCTGGAGCCTCCTTTAAGGAAAGACACCTGGACCAGCCTGTTTTCCTCCTCTCCTGTCCCCACTCCTCAGGACAACAGTAACAACAGCTGTCACCATGACTTCCTGTATGCAAAATCCTTGACAAAACGATGTCCTTAATTCTGACAGCAGCCCACTATCAACCCAATTTACAAGTAAAGAAACTAAGGTGTGAAGTTGAAGAAAGGGTAGGGAGGACGCAGGGGAGGAATCTGATCAAGGTATTGGTGCAAGGGGCAAAACTAGGATTTGAACTCAACATTCTCTTCCCAAGGTGCTAGCACACACTGCCTTCCTAAGATATAACCAGGAATGTGTAGACAGCTGGTAGGTGTCAGTCATATTTCATTCTGCAAGTGTTCACCCAACAATCACGTTAGAGCTAAAATATAGCTCTAAAAATAAAATGAGAGCACCTGATGACCTTTGCAGTCAGGTTGCATACAACTAGGCTCAGCTGGTTTCTGGCTACAGTTAAGAGTTTTTCTGGGTACCATCAGACCAGTGCAGATTTCAGTACAAAACATAAACAATTATTTGACATTTTCCCTGAGCATTAAAAAAATGTAATTATTTTTTAAAAAAGGATCACAGAAAACAGCCTCTATGTGAGTCTCACACACGGACAAAAAGTGGTGTGAGGCAGCCACCATGAAGCCCAATTGGCATGTGTGCAAATGTAAACATTAAATTTAAAATATTGGCTGGGCACGGTGGCTCACGCCTGTAATCCCAACACTTTGAGGAGCCAAGGTGGGTGGATCATCTGTGGTCAGGAGTTCGAGACCAGCCTGGCCATCATGATGAAACCCCATCTTTACTACAAATACAAAAATTAGCTGGGCATGGTGGTGGGTGCCTATAATCCCAGCTATTTGGAAGGCTGAGGCAGGAGAATCGCTTGAACCTGGGAGGCGGACGTTGCAGTGAACCAAGATCGTGCCACAGCACTCCAGCCTGGGAGACAAGCAAAACTCTGTCTCAAGTAAATAACTCAATAAATAAATTTAAAATCTTTTTTTTTTAATGATAATACCCAGTGCTGGGACGGACATAATGAAACAGGCAATCTCATATGTTCTAATAGCAATGTAAACAATGAATTCCTTTTGGAACGTTATTAGGCAAGTGGTATGTGTCTAATACCAGAAAGATATCTGGAAATTAATCCTGAAGAAAGAATTTCTGCTTTACAGAAAATGCTGTATTCATGAAGATATTGGTCCTTGCACCACTTGTAATGGTGAAAAATTGGCTACTGCTTAAATCTCTAAATACGAAAAAGGCTAAATGAATTATAGTACATCCATTTCATGCAGTATTCTGTAGCTATTAAACATCATGGTTAATATCATCCATGTATTAACATGGAAAAAATAAAAAGTTCTCTTTATTTAGCCTTTCAGCATTAAAGGACCTGAAACGGTCCCTGCTCTGTGAATATAATTATCTTAAATAAGAAGCCACTTGGAATACATTGTACTTGTAACTATTTTGAAATTATAATAGTTTTGTGATGGGGGGGATAAAGGGCTTTTTTTTTTCCTTTCTCTAGTTTCTACATTTCTTTTAATGTTGTTATACCACTGTTACCTAACTAGGAAAAAATAAATTTTTTTAAATGACCAAGCTCATTTTGAAGCTGCTCGGTGTCACATAAACACTGAGGCCTGCCTGCCTCAACTAAAGCAGCCACTTGAAATGCAGCTCCAGCTGCTCATTCTTCTGTTTATCAAAACAGGGCAAAGCCGCCCAGGAAACTCGCCTCAGCAAGGTGACCTGACCTCAGGCCCATCACAGTCACAAATCTGCATTTCCAATAAAAAATAATCACAACGAAGAAAAGCACCCAGGTAACCAGTTATGGAAAAGCAAAGGATTGATGAGTTGGGGGTGACAGGACAGTGAATTACTGTTTTTGTTTTTTTGTTTTCTTGGGGTTTTTATACTGATCATAGTCACAATGCCTAGCACAAAGTGCTCAATAAGGATTTGAAGCAGAAAATGTTTCAAATGGGAAAATGCACTCATTTACCCATTTTAAAAATTTAAGGGAGTGAGGCTAGGCATGGTGGCTCATGCCTGTAATCCCAGCATTTTGGGAGGCCGAGGTGGGCAGATCAGTTGAGGTCAGGAGTTCCAGACCATCCTGGCCAACATGGTGAAACCCCATCTCTACTAAAAACACAAAAACTAGCCAGGTGTGGCGGCAGCCTCCTGTAATCCCAGCTACTCGGGAGGCTGAGGCACAAGAATCACTTGAACCCGGGAAGCAGAGGTTGCAGTGAGCTGAGATGGCGCCACCGCACTCCAGCCTGGGTGACAGAGCGAGACTCTGTCTCAAAAAAAAAAAAAAAAAAATTTAAATAGGAAAATGCACTCATTTGCCCATTTAAAAAATTTAAGGGAGTGCCCACACTTCCTGAGCACCAAGGCCCAAAACACCATGCACACCCCCGGCCTGAAAAGTTGTACTCCCTTAGTTCTCATCAACAGAAGCTGTGTTTGGAAGTGAGCAGGCAGGAAATTGGTACTTTTGTCACCAACTTGAACAACAAAACAGTCAGAAAACTTAAATGTCACCAGGAGAGTAAATGTCAAAGTGGGAGGGGTAACTACGGTTTACCAAGTGTCTGCACCACTACCTGTTCCGGGGCCTGTGGGCATGATTTCATAAAGTCCTACCTAACACTCTGACTCTGGCAGCAAGCAGCCTAGGCTTGAACTCTGACTCTCAACTGATTGGCTGTGTGGCCTCAGGCTGGTTGCTTAGCTTCTCTGCATCTCATTTTCCTCTCCTGTAAAATGAAAGCAAGAAGAGAAGAGACCTACCTCATTAGGGTGTCATGAGGATTCACTCAGCCAATACACACAAAGCACTGGGTACAGTGTCTGGCAGAAGCACAGCATCTGTCAGTTACTTATTAGTATTGTGCTTACATTTTGCAGCCAAGAAAAACTGAACCTCACAGAGGTTAGTAATGTCCCAAGATCACACAGCTTAGTAAGAGGAAGTGCTGGGATTCAAACCCAAATCAAAGGATCTGTGCTCTTTTCACCAGAGCTAAACCCCACCTGCAGGATTATTATGATCCCCACCCCAAACACACACACACACACACACACACACACACACACACACACACACTTTGGGGCTGTCACTGCAAAAGGTAAGAATATTATGAGATAATAAGAAGTGATATGGGGCCAGGTACAATGGCTCATGCCTGTAATCTCACCACTTTGGGATGCCAAGGCAGGCAGATCACTTAAGTCCAGGAGTTCAAGACCAGCCTGGCAAACATGGTGAAACCTTGTTTCTACGAAAACACAAAAACTAGCTAGGTGTAATGGCACATGCCTGTAGTCCCAACTACTGGGGAGGCTGAGGACCGAGAATTGCTTGAACCTGGGAGGCAGAGGTTGCAGTAAACCAAGATCACCACTGTACTCGAGCCTGGGCGACAGAGTGAGACTCTGTCTCAAAATTTAAAAAAAAAAAAAAAAAAAAAAAATTATATGGGACTGGAAGAGGAGGTCCAGTCCATTGTAACCTGTGGATAATACCAGCTCCATGTCAGGGTGGTTCTTTCAATTCATTCACCAAGCAAGCATGCTTTTGAGGCACGCTCTGTCCTACACATAAGGAAATCAGACATAGGGGGTCCCACTCCCCTGAACTCATAATCCAAGAGGTGGGGAGACAGACAGAAATGAGTAGGTGATAAGGATGGGAGGAAATGAAGGAGGATGATGGGATAGAGGGGCCTGAGTGATAAGAAGGAGCGAGGAGGATAGTACCAGGCCCTGAGGGAGAGGGGCGGGGTAGGTTCAAGTGTCTGTTGTACTAGAGCCAGGTGACTGTAGTCTGTGAACAGGGAGTGGGTAGCCAGGATGAGGTCGGAGGGTGGAGGGGAGGGAGGGGTCTGATCATCCTGATCTAAGGTTCAGAGTCTTGCAGACCACTGTTTGGGTTTATACTAACAGCGATATGAAGCCATGTAGGCTTTTAAGCAGTGGAATAACACACCTCAATTTACGGGAAAGAAGCAAGCCAGGAGAGGTGGCTTGCACCTATAATCTTAGCACTTTGGGAGGCCAAGACGGGAGGATCGTTTGAGCCCAGGACTTGGAGGCCAGCTGTGGCAACATAGTGAGACCCCCATCTCTACAAAAAAAAAATTTTAAAATTACCCAGGAGAGGTGGCACACATCTGTAGTCCCAGCTACTCAGGCAGGTAAGGTAGGAGGATCGCTTGAGCCCAGGAAGTTGAGGCTGCAATGAGCTGTGATCACACCACTGCACTCCAGCCTGGGCAACAGAACACGACCCTATCTCAAAAAAAAAAAAAAAAAAGGGCCAGGCATACCAGCACTTTGGGAGGCCAAGGCAGGCAGATCAGCTGAGGTGAGGAGGGCAAGACCAGCCTGGCCAACATGGTGAAACCCCATCTCTACTAAAAATACAAAAAATTTAGCCAGCTGTGGTGGCACAAGCCTGTACTCCCAGATACTCAGGAGGCTGAGGCAAGAGAATCACTTGAGCCCAGAAGGCGGAGGTTGCAGTGAGCCGAGATCGCACCACTGCACTCCAGCCTGGGTGACAGAGCGAGACTCTGACTCAAAAAAAAAAAGAAGAATCTCGGCATGAAAGTAAAAGAGACTAGCATATGGGTGGCATTTGATAAAGGCCTTTTCCCCCCTAGTTTTCCTTCTCCTTGTGCCACTAGCCCTACATACCCATAGACAATCATGTTCTCCCTTTCTGGGTCTCTGTTTCCAAAGAGTTTTGGTCTCAGTGGTTCTCAACCCTGGCTACATATTAACAACACATGAGGAGCTTGGAAAATAAAACACCAATGGGGGCAAGAGGTGTCCATACACCCAGATATCCAGAATCCACTGGTCTGGGGAGGGAGCCTCCAACTGGTATTTTCCAAAAGCTTCTCAGGTGCAGCCCCAGTTGAGAAGAGCCCACTTAAAGGGGCTTCTAAGGCCTTTCTACCTCAGTGGTCTAAGTTCTAATTGGGAGAATTGCCAAAAGACAGAATGTGCTCTTTGAAGACAGTTCCTCCTCACTGAAGACTATCAAGCAAAAAATACTTGCTCAAAGGTGCAACTCTTATAATCAGACATTCTTAACAGATTCCTTCCAAAAGAGATTTTTGTGGTTTAATGACTTGGGTGATCGTCCAGTAAGCAAGCAAGTCTTGGGCCTCAGTGTCCTCAGCTGCAGCCAAAGACAGCAAATAAACAGCACATGTGCCACTCCTTGCCTCTCTTGTGGCCATGGCAGACATCACTAATTGATCCCACCTTAGCCTCCTGCTGAGCCAGGACATCCCAAGTGATCTGAGAATCCCTTCTATACAGGGCCCAAGCAGTCACTCACTAGGACATTGTCTTTCCTAGCCTAATGTCCCTAAGGTCTTTTCCAACTCTGACATTCTTTGAGGGGATGATCCTTTTAAACTTCTTACTAGCAATCATTAACTACCAAGTTGCATGGCAATGAGCTCAGCTGGCTTGAGGCTAGTCAGACCATAAGATCACATGTTTCATCCCTGAGGAAGGCTCTTGCTGTATTTCCTGAACTTCAGACTCTGTCCTCTCCAGGTAACATCCCTCCCTTCCCTGGCAGCTGCACCTCCTACATGTATTTACCGAATAGGGCCTGAGACAGATTATTCAAGTAGATCAGGGCAGACCAGTCCATATTCCTGGAAAAGCTCATCAAAGCAGGCATCCTTTATGATCACTGGTAGTTGAAACAATAATAATGACAGCAGCTGGTGCGTACAGAGCACTTTCTGTATGCCAGGCACCTTGCCGGGGGCACTGCATACATTTTTTCACGGAATCTTGATCACAATCCTCTAAGGTATTTATTAGCCCCATTTGGCACACAAGAAAATTGAAGCTTTGAAAGCTACTAAGTTGCTGCTGATCACAAAGCAATAGAAGCGAGATTACAGGAGAGCCACATACCTGGATCTGGGCAAGTCCCTCCACCTCTCTGTGCCTCATCTCTAAAATGGGCGTGATAATTTTTTCAAGAACACAGTTTTGGAGCACATGTGGTAATTTAATACATTCACACAATTTGTAAAGATCAAATCAATGTACTTGGGATATGTATCACCTTAAATATTTGTCTTTTCTTTATGCTAGAACCAAATTGTTCTCTTCTAGCTATTTTGAAATATACAGTAGATTACTGTAAACTGTAGTCACCCTACTGATCTAGCTAACATGAGGTCTTTAAAATGAACATAATAATTGTAAGGATAAAATGAGAGCCCAGCACACGGTATATGACAGTCCAGTGGATGTCTCAGAAAAACCTCATGAAATTCGGGTTAAAAAAAAAAAAAAATCAAGGATTGAAGTTCTGACCAAGTCTGCTCTACACTGTGCTAGGAGCTGTTTTTGGGCCTCACAAAGTGAAGTATTCTTGATAGGTTGTGTGCACATCCCAGTTTTCAGAAAGCAAATCCTACCTCACTCCACTCACCCCTGGCTGGCATCACCCTTCAAGTCAGTTTCTTCTTCTGCCTCTTTCCTGCTATTCTCAATGTCACCGGCTGGAAGGCATTCTCTCTCGCTGGCTGGAAGGCATTCTCTCTCTCGCTTTACACCCTGAGGCCTCTAAACACTCTAAAAGCTGAAAATTGCTCCAGGGAGCTAGTGGGAGGGGGAACTTGGCAGTGAATCTCTTTGCAATGGGATCTCCCTTTGACAGGGCATATCTCTTGTGTGGAAGGAACTTGGTCTCAAAGCTCCTAATAAATGGTAAACCTTTCCCTCAACTTCACATCCCTTGCAGCAGAGCTTAGCACCACACCATCAATCACATTAGCACGGGGTTCCTTTCCCACCCAGACAGGAAAAGTATCAGTTACTCCCATTTTACAGAGGAGGAAGCCGAGGCTGAAAACACTAGGGAAGAACTCGACACCTAGATGCCCAGACGCAGCACAAACTCGGCCAAAGCTCCCGAAAAAGGACTCAGTGAATGAGAAGGGAGTCGATGTGAACCCTCTTTTGAGCCCTGGCAACCTGGATGTTTGTCACATGTGTAAACCTTGTTAGTTTAGACCTACGGTCTCACGGGGAGGAAGTCAGCTACCAGCATGAGGCCAATCCCATGAGAATGAGAGGACAGCCAGTCCCACCTAGTAAGACTGCCAGGGCATAGGCCATCCACACCAGTACTTCAAAGCAAGTATTACCTACAGCAAGGGTAGTTTGCCCTTTAGGGGACATCTGCCAATATCTGGAGACATTTTTGTCTGTGGGGGAGGGGGCGCTACTGGCTCCTAGCAGGCAGAGGCCAGGGAGGCTGCAGGACATCCTACGGGGCACACAGGACAGCCTCCCAAAACAGCGAGTTATCCAGCCCAAAATGTCAATAGGGCTGAGATGGAGAAACCATGTTCTGGAGGAAAAGAAGTTGTCCTCACTCACCCCAACCACATGGTGGGATAGGTGCAAAGCCTAAGCCAGGTTCCAGGGAAGAGCAAAGGCTAAGCATTCCATGTGCATCTTCCAAAAGACATCGAAAGGCTGGTCCCAAACTCTGTGGCCGGATAGAAGCTGAGGGTCTGAGTCTTACCTCACAACAGGTCTTCTGAAATAAGAGCTTCCACCCCTGCACCCCCATCTCCAACGATTTCTCTTCTCACCATAGGATTTGGTGACTGCTCTACGCAACAAAAGTCCCTGACACTGAGGCTGACAAAAGTTGTTTGAACACCTGCAAGACAGGTCTCCCTGCACCCTGGGTGCATGGCAACACTGGCCAGTGCTCTGCATCACTCTGCAGCCCCAAAGTCAGGAGATGTCGTGTTAACAAGGAGGTCACTGAGGTGGGAGCAAATGTGCTCAGGCCTACTAAGTGCCATGATCTGGACTGAGTGCCTTACATGCCTTCCCTCACTTAAACCTAGTAACAAAATGGCCTGGTTGTTGCTACAGATGCAGTGACATTTCCAGATTTCCATTTTCCAGATGCAGTAACAGATTCTGAGAGGCTCAAGTCCCTGTGCAGATAGCAGGGTCACACAGCTATAAGGGAAGAGCATGGAACTGGACACATGCTTCTGCTGACACCAAAGCCCATGCTCTTTCCCAAGTTCCTCTTTTTTTTTTTTTTTTTTTTTTGAGACAGAGTCTCGCTCTGTCCCCCAGGCTGGAGTGCAGTGGTGCGATCTTGGCTCACTGCAAGCTCCGCCTCCCGGGTTCACGCCATTCTCCTGCCTCAGCCTCCCGAGTAGCTGGGACTACATGCACCCACCACCATGCCCAGCTAATTTTTTTTGTATTTTTAGTAGAGATGGGGTTTCACCGTGTTAGCCAGGATGGTCTCGATCTCCTGACCTTGTGATCCACCCGCCTTGGCCTCCCATAGTGCTGGGATTACAGGCGTAAGCCACCGCACCCAGCCTTTTTTTTTTTTGGAGATGGAGTTTCATTCTTGTTGCCCAGGCTGAAGTGCAATGGCACAATCTCAGGTCACCACAACCTGTGCCTCCCGGGCTCAAGCACTTCTCCTGCCTCAGCCTCCCGAGTAGCTGGGATTACAGGCATGTGCCACCACACCCTGTTAATTTTTGTATTTTTAGTAGAGACAGGGTTTCACCATGTTGGTCAGGCTGGTCCTGAACTCCTGACCTCGTGATCCGCCCGCCTCAGCCTCCCAAAGTGCTGGGACTACTGGCGTGAGCCACCACGCCTGACCCCCACGTTCCTCTTCTAATGGGACATCCTGAAGTCATGTCATCCACACATGACTTCGATCTCTATGAAATCCCAAATAATTTACAACAGGAAGGCCCACACCCCAACATGATACCATGACATCACTTAATCTGGGTCAGACAGCCTTCTTACCACCTGATAGCTCCAGGATCTAAAATCCAAGACAAAGATACTCTTGTTTTCTGTGGCTCTGGGAATCATTTCACTCCTGCTGCATCAGGGCTCTGAGGATCAAAGGTCAACAAGTCACCCATCCTCACAGAAAGACAGCCTTCCCACCTGTGAGACTGGCCCAAGTCCAGCTGTCCTTCCTGGACTCAGACACGCCCTGTCCTATGTAGACCCTCCCATTCAGCTCCCCTGTGCCTCAAAGGAAGCCCACAACTAGCTGGCAGAGGTTCTGAGCCTCAGTTTCCTTCCCTATACCTACGTCATAGGATTAAATGAGTTAATATGTACAACGTGCTCACAACAGTTGATGATAAATATTCAACCGATGGTAGCTACTATTGTTACTTTTATTATTCAATTTATCTTAAGGCAATCACCAGATTATATGTTCAGAGCTGATCACAAAGTCAACTGAATAGGGCCTATCGTGACAAAAAAAATTTTGAAAACAAACTATAAGACTAATCACAGGACTTATTAGATAAATTAAGGTACCTCCACATAATGGAATGGATGCAACAGCTAACAGTTATACAAAAGAAGAATATTTACTGGCAGGGGGAAACGTTTGCAATATATTGTCAGTCCTTCACAGATTGCCATACATTGACCCTGAGAATAGCAAGGAGCGCTCTCACACCCCCAGAGGGTCTGCAGGGTAGAGATTTCTTTGTTATGTACTGTACTGGTTGAAAAAAAAATCCTGATGCAAATGTGGTATCCAGTCCATAATATGTCCATGTTTGTGGTTTTCAAAAAACATTACAAAATAATTTCTACTGAGCAACAGAGACCCTCCAGCAAGATGCCTGCTTTTTATCCTGTGGCTTCCTGGGGTACCCCTAGGGAGACATCCACCTCAATTGTTTTTTTATTTTATTTATTTATTTATTTATTTTTTTGAGACAGAATCTCACCCTGCAGCCCAAGCTGAAGTGCAGTGGCGCAATCTTGGCTCACTCCGCCTCCAGGACTCAAGCAACCTCCACCTCCAGGGCTCAAGTGATGCTCATGCCTCAGCCTCCCAAACAGCTGGGACCACAAGCGTGCACCACCACTAATTTTTTGTATTTTAGTAGAGACAGGGTTTCACCATGTTGCTCAGGGTGGTCTCTAACTCCTGAGCTCAGGCAATCCGCCTGCCTTGGCCTCCCAAGGTGCTGAGATTACAGGTATGAGCCACGGTGCCCGGCCCACCTCAACTGTTAAAAATTAAAAGATGTAAGTTACAAAGCACATGTAGGAGGTTATCCTATTGTAGTATAAATAGACAGAACATGCATTTAAAAAGACAAAGAAATCGCATCAAAAAGGTACCAGGAGTTAACCTGGATGAGTGGAGATTACAGGTAATTTTGTTTCCTTTTATCTGTATTTTCAATTTTTTTATATTAAAAAAAAAAAAAGGCCAGGCACAGTGGCTCACAACTGTAATCCCAGCACTTTGGGAGACTGCAGCGGGTGGATTGCCGGAGCTCAAGAGTTCACGACCAGCCTGGAAAACATGGTGAAACCCCGTCTCTACTAAAATACAAAAAACTAGCCGGGTGTGGCGGCCTGCACATATAGTCCCAGCTACTCAGGAGGCTGAGGCAGGAGAACTGCTTGAACCCAGGAGGCAGAGGCAGGAGAACTGCTTGAACCCGGGAGGCAGAGCTTGCAGTGGGCCAAGATCCCACCACCGCACTCCAGCCTGGGCAACAGAGCGAGACTGCCTCTCAAAAAAAAAAAAAAATGAACTGTTTGATGGGAATCAAATTAACCTGGGGATCAGGATCCTTCAGCCAGTTGGGCTAACAATCTCCAGAAGGTTCATTCAGGCCCATGCAAATCAGTGCCGGAGCCTAGAGACAGCACAGCCTAGAGCTAGAGGTCAGGCAGGGCTGAGCTGAGTCACCCACTATTCAGACCTCCCTCTTAGAGCCTCAGCTACTGGATGGTGGTCATTAAGTTATCATTTAAACTACAGACGCAGGCTGGGTACGGTGACTCAGCCCTATAGCCCCAGCACTTTGGGAGGCCAAGATGGGAGGATCACTTGAGGTCGGGAGTTCAACACCAGCCTGGCCAACATGATGAAACCCCGTCTCTACTAAAAATACAAAAACTAGCTGGGTGTGGTGGTGCACATCTGTAATCCCAGCTTCTCAGGAGGCTGAGGCAGGAGGATCACTTAAACCCAGGAGGTGGAGGCTGCAGGGAGCCGAGATCGCAACACTGCACTCCAGCCTGGGTGACAGAGTGAGACTCGTCTCAAAAAGAAAACAAACAAACAAATAAACTACAAATGCAGTAGTGTTAGCTCTCTACCAAATCCATTTACCAAAGGAACACACAACGCTGACCCATAGCTTGTTCACTAGGCTGGTCACCCTGAAGTTTCCAGAAAAGCAGCTACTTAAAGGCAGGCCTCCAAAGCTTTCAGTCGGCCCACTTCCCTTCCTGAAGTGCCTCTCGACAATTTGGTTCTTCCTGCTTACCTGCTGCAGGAATGGTTTCCAGCTACACATAGAGACACTGACAATGCATAATTGGGGACTTTATACTGGTTTTTTTTACTGTGTCTGGAAACAGAATCCACCTCCATCCCCCACCAGGCATCTTCCACCATTCCATTCCCTGGAACAGTGACTTCCAGTGTTTTCTGGCAACAGGTGAACCCATGATAAGAAATTCATTTTATATGCAATTTAGTATACACACATACACACCACACACACGTGCGCACATATATAACTGAAATGGACAATACTCACCAGCAAACTCTGGTATTTTTACAATACTTACCAGCAAACTCTGATATTCTACCATTTTTTTAATGCAGGTCATAACTCACTAAATTGATTTTACATCCCAGTTTCAAATACACCGCCTTACAGTATGTAAGTCTATGATTTGGTTTTCCAAACTTTACTTAAGTGTGTATTTTCTGGAACATATCAGATTGGAACCATATATAAATACTAATATTCACAGGACCAAAAACAGTAACTTTATATGGTTCAACCTAATAATTATGTGTGAACCAAACTGGAGGACTCCACTGATTCGCCTCTTATAAGCTAACTCTGAGTAATTCTTAAAAGTGGCCTATACTTGGGCGCGGTGACTCACACCTGTAATTCCAGCACTTTGGGAGGCCAAGGCAGGCAGATCACAAGGTCAGGAGTTCCAGACCAGCCTGGCCAACATGGTGAAACCCTGTCTCTACTAAAAATACAAAAATTAGCTAGGCATGGTGGGCGGGCTCCTGTAATGCCAGCTACTCAGGAGGCTGAGGCACAAGAATCGCTTGAACCCAGAAGGCGGAGGTTACAGTGAGCTGAGATCGCACCACTGCACTCCAGCCTGGGTGACAGGGCGAGACTATGTCTTAAAAAACAAAAAAAAAAAGAGGTGGCCTATACTATGAACGTACATGATTATTATTCTGCAAAAGACAGATGAAACCTGAATTGGACAAGTCAATTACAGCCACTCTGAGTCATACCTTTTTAAATGGCAATAACAATGACAAACTCAAGGACGCTGTGAGGATTGAACAAGCTCATATATGTGAAAGGGCCTTGTAAACTACAGTATAAGATTAAAAAAATTTAATTTTTGAATTGTAAATTATGCCAGTGTCTCAGCACAATAAGATAATAAAATAGCAGCCAATATCTGTTGAGGGATTTTTTCATGCTAAGCATTTGTCATGCAGATCCATTTAATCCTCCACAGCAATCCTATAAAGTAGGTATTCTTGTTATCCCCATCATACAGATGAGGACAGAAGAGACTCCAAGCATTAGAAGGATAGGCCCAAGGTCACACAGGTAGGAGGTGGAGAAGTTGGCTCTGACTCCAAAGCCCGTGCACTAAGCACTGGCCAGCAATTTCCCTTCACACCCAGAACAATCTCCCCATAGTTCTCCATGTCCTGGTCACAGGAACAAGACCACAAGCACGGTGTGCTCTCATTGAGACAGGAAAACTTCCCCATGACACAACGACATGAAAATTTGCTGGCCCCTCAGCCAGCAGCAGGAAATGCACAATCACCTTGCTGCCGTGGAAACAGGTGGCAAGTCAGCACAGACTCTCAGCCTCCCGTCTCCCGCAATTACAGCCAAGGATTATGTCTTTAAACTTTCCCATTGGTGGCTTAAAATAACTCCTCTTGACCGCCACAGAAAATGTACCGAGAGACAGGAGGCAGCCATAGCCAGAGTTGGCCAGGTCACAAGATAAAGAGAAATGTTCAAACCAATACAAAGAAAGCCCTACGTTTTGTTTTGTTTTTTTTAAGGGACACAGTCAATATCCCTGTGCTCCTTCGGGGCTAGGAATAGACACTGGCCACTCTTCAGTCACACCTGGTGGTCACTTAATTTATTTAACTATGCACGTTTGTCAAAAAGGAAATATTTAAATTGTGCTATCAGGGAAGTTCCACTGCTTCATATTATACATTTTAATACATTTGCGTGTGTCTGTGTGTGTATATATAATACACACAATCCATTGTGGATTTAATCTCAAACCCAATATAAGAGGTTTCATGGGGCCGGGCGCGGTGGCTCACACCTGTAATCCCAACACTTTCCGCCGGTCACGGTGGCTCATGCCTGTAATCCCAGCACTTTGGGAGGCTGAGGCGGGCGGATCATGAGGTCAGGAGATTGAGACCATCCTGGCTAACACAATGAAACCCTGTCTCTACTAAAAATACAAAAAAATTAGCCAGGCATAGTGGCGGGCGCCTATAGTCCCAGCCAGGCTGAGGCAGGAGAACGGCGTGAACCCGGGAGGTGGAGCTTGCAGTGAGCCAAGATTGCGCCACTGAACTCCAGCCTGGGTGACTGGGTGAGACTCCGTCTCCAAAAAAAAAAAAAAAAAAATCCCAACACTTTGGGAGGCCAAGGCAGGCAGATCACTTGAGGTCAGCAGTTCCAGACCAGCCTGGCCAACATGATGAAACCCTGTCACTACTAAAACTACAAAAATTAGCCAGGCATGGTGGCGCATGCTTGTAATCCCAGGCTGAGGCAGAAGAATCACTTGAACCTCAGAGGCAAAGGTTGCAGTGAACCAGGATCACACCACTGCAATCCAGCCTGGGTGACAGAGCAAGACTCCCCCTCAAAAAAAAGAAAAAAAGAGGTTTCATGACATAATTTTGACAATTCATAATTATTGATAATTACAATATTATGGTCTTTGCCCTAACTCTTCAGTAAATGGAATACCTCTCTCTTCTGATACACAAGTATCTATATTCACCTTTTTTTGTCACTTTAAAGGTAACATTATATATACATTGTTCTCTACATAGCCTTTTAATTTATTTAGATATCTTGGAGAGTATTTACCGCCTGCACCTATAGCTGTAACTCATTCTTATAAATGACTGGCTAGTTTTTTGTTTGTTTGTTTTTTGAGATGGAATCTCAGTCTGTCGCCCAGGCTGGAGTGCAGTGGCACAATCAGAAATACTCTTCTGATGTAACTCTTCAGTAAATGGAATACCTCGTGGTATTTTATAAAATGCTGTGTTTATGTTTCCATAGCCATTTACAAGGAATTTTAGCATAATATGATCACACTTAGCTTCTCCAACTACCCTGTGTCAGAGGTACTCCTATTATTAGCATTTTTGGAATATGAAGAGCAAGGATCAGAAAGGTCAAGATACCTGCCCAAGATCACACAGCTAATGAGGTGGTAGAGCCAAGACTCCAACAAAGGAGTCTTGTTCCAAATTCTATGCTCTCTTCACCACCCTAGGGTCTTATTTATCTCTGAGTTCCTAAGGAACAAGTGCTACATCTAAAATAATTGGCATGGGGGAGGGGGAATGTGTTTGCAATACAAATGACAATCGAAGGACTAATTTCCAAAGAGCTTATACAAATTGATAACAAAGATTATATCTATATCTATCTATCTATAGATATAGATTTTTTTTTTTTAATGAACAGGGAGTTAACCAAAAAACAAAAAATGGGGCCTGGCACAGTGGCTCACGCCTGTAATCTCAGCACTTTGGGAGGCCGAGGCAGGTGGGTCACCTGAGATCAGGAGTTCAAGACCAGCCTGGCCAACATGGTTCCTAAGGAACAAGTCCCATCTCTACTAAAAATACAAAAAATTAGCTGGGCGTGGTGGCACACGCCTGTAATCCCAGCTACTCAGAAAGCTGAGGCAGGAGAATCACTTGAACCTGGGAGGTGGAGGTTGCAGTGAGCCAAGATCACGCCATTGCACTCCAGCCTGAACAACAAGAGCAAAACTCTGTCTCAAAAAAAAAAAGAAAACAAAAAAAGAAGAAGAAGCAGAGGCAAATGACCAAAAAACTCAACTAACTCAAAATTAAAGATATAAATAAAAATAACAAGATACGGCCAGGCGCGGTGGCTCACACCTGTAATCCCAGCACTTTGGGAGGCCGAGGCGGGCGGATCACAAGGTCAGGAGATCGAGACCATCCTGGCTAACACGGTGAAACCTCGTCTCTACTAAAAATACAAAAAATTAGCTGGGCTTGGTGGCGGGCGCCTGTAGTCCCAGCTACTCGGGAGGCTGAGGCAGGAGAATGGCATGAACCTGGGAGGCGGAGCTTGCAGTGAGCCCAGCGCCACTGCACTCCAGCCTGGGCAACAGAGCAAGACTCCGTCTCAAAAAAAAAAAAAAAAAAAAAAAAAACAAGATACAATTTTTCACCTTTCAGACTAGCAAACATGTAAAAATTTTCATTTCAGATGAGACGGTATGGAGAAACAGACACTCTCCAAACCTATGGATACAGGTACAAACTGAGGGGACACTTTTGGAGGACAACCTGACAACAGCAATCACACTTTTAAATGCATGCATCTTCCAATCCAGTAATCCTGAAACTAGAAATTTACTCTACAGATAAACTTGTGAAGGTTACAAGAAATATCCACCAGAAACATTACAAAGTATGATTTGTGACGGGACAGGGAGGTGTACTAAAACAACTAAAGTGTCCATTGATAGGAGAATGGTCAAATAAATTGTAGTAAATCCACACATCAAAACACTAGTCATGGTCAGGCATGGTGGCTCACACCTGTAATCCCAGCACTGTGGGAGGCCGAGGTGGGTGGATCACCTGAGGTCAGGAGGCAGAGGCTGCAGTGAGCCGAGATCCAAGATCATGCCACTGCACTCCACGCTGGGGTACAAACTGAGACCGTGTCTCAAAAAAAAAACAATAAAATTAAAAATTTTAAAAAAACCTTCTGAAATTGGATACAATATTGTAAATATGTGCATTCCCTTTTGGGGAAGGATTCTTCCCTTTTACATACTCTCTATACTCTCTAGGGGTCTTGTATCTCTTCTTTTCCCCCCCAAGAAAGATTCAGAACCACTGTGTTATAGGCTCCATGTTGATATGAAGTTTTAATACTCACTCACTCATTCACTCAGAAACCATGAGATAACACTGGGCTACGCCCTGGCACAGGCTCCCAGAAAAATATCACCCAACTCCTGCCCTGGAGACGCAAATCGTTTGTAACACAATAACGACATTGTCCGCCCAAGTTTCAGAAATGGCAACAGGGGACAACTTCCCTCTAACAGGAAGAAGGAAAAGTGGAACTGAAAATTATTTGCATGTTTAAAATTAGACCTTCTGTGGGAGCTGACACTGCCTCGTTTTCAAAATGCCCCCCATCTGCTTACCACCACCCCTTATCCTACCATTTACATGCCAGGGAAATTCTGAGACAATAGGATGACTGCAGCTGTCACTAATAAGGAAGTAATAACAAACTTCCTACAGCCCCTGTCCTCCGAGGGGGCACCAGTAAAGCCACTGGAAAACCAGCCATACAAGGTGGTAAAAAAACTGCTCTGGGCTTCTCTGGTCTAAGATATTCACCACTTTCAGGGATCTCCACTTAGGGACTGGCTGTCCCTCATTATCACCATTCCTTCTCTGGCAAGTGGCAGCCCTTTCTCTGAAGCGGGCAGCAGGGATGTCATTCACAGTCACATCCTACATCACAACTGTGACTGGTTGGTTGGTGCTATCTGAGTCTTGCCCAGTGGCCAGTAAGAGCCATGAAGACAGGCTCCTGTTCCCCACCACGGCCTCTGCTCAGTGCCTGTCCCCCAGACTTAAGAAACTGATCATCTTTACAATTTGGTCATAACCACATCATACTCACATAATTATTTACCCAATGTTTTTCTTTAGACCAACTTTTTATGATATTTAAACAAATTTATTTATCATGATACCACTTTTCACCTCATTCGACCTATAAAATCATGGACTTTTGGGGGTCTTTCTTTACTAAGACCCCCTAAAATAAATTATTTTTTATTTTTTTTCTTTTTGAGACAGGGTCTCACTCTGTTGCCTGGGTTGGAGTGCAGTGGCGCTATCAAGGTTCACCGCAGCTTCAACCTCCCAGGGCTCAAGCCATCCTCCCAACTCAGCCTCTCAAGTAGGTGGGACCACAGGTCCACACCACCATGCCCAGCTAATTTTTTGTATAGACAAGGTCTCACTTTGTCATCCAGGCTGGTCTCAAACTCCTGGGCTCACCTGATCCTCCCACCTCTGCCTTCCAAAGTGCTGAGATTAAAGGAATGAGTCACCCTGCCCAGCCAATAATTCTTAACATTAGGGGAAAAAAAAGTATTGTGACTGAGCTCAGTTCATCTTGCACACACCCAGAGTTATTCCATACTACTCTGTGGAAAACACTTCATAAATATTTGTCATATGGGCCAGGCGTGGTGGCTCAGACTGTAATCCCAGCACTTTGGGAGGCCAAGGCAGGTGGATCACCTGAGGTCAGGAGTTAAAGACCAGCCTGGCCAATGTGGTGAAACCCCGTCTCAACTAAAATACAAAAACTAGCCAGACATGACGGAGCGTGCCTGTAGTCCCAGCTACTCAGGAGACTAAGGCAGTAGAATTGCTTGAACCCGGGAGGCGGAGGTTGCAGTAAGTGGAGATCACGCCACTGCACTCCAGCCTAAGCAACAGAGTGAGACTCCGTCTTAAAAAAAGAAAAAATTGTCATATGAACTAATGATCTGGGGCCTCATTTCTTCTCTCCAAGTAACAGCAGCAGCCACAACTAGCAGTTGGGCCTTGCTTTAGGTGTTACGTAGCAATTCCTTTTCTATCTTATTTGATCCTCTCAACCACCCAGTGAAGCAGGAAGTGTTAGTCCCATTTTCCAGATAAGGAAATGAGAAGTCACAGAGGTTAAGTGACTTGCTGAGTTTATGCAGTGGCAGAGCAAAGACCCAAACCCAGGTCTTTCCATCCCAGACCCCAGTCTATCTCCACAAAGGCAGACTTGCCTTGTAAACTGAGGCCCCAAAGAAATATAAGCAGGAAAGAGGGCACCTGGGTTCTCTGTGTTACAAATGGAGCAGATCATACAGGGTTTAGGACACAAAGAACCCAAAATAAAGGTAGCATGTCCCTGCAGTCCTGGCTACTTGGAAGGATGAAGAGGGATGTCAACTGGACCCAGGAGTTCGAGTCCAGCCTGGGCAACACAGCAAGACTGTCTAAAAAATGTCTGGGCCAGGTGCGGTGGCTCAGGCCTGTAATCCCAGCACTTTGGGAGGCCGAGGTGGGCGGATCACCTGAGGTTGGGAGTTCAAGACCAGCCTGGTCAACATGGCGAAACCTCATCTCTACTAAAAATACAAAAATTAGCTGCGCATGGTAGCGCACGTCTGTAATCCCAGCTACTCAGCAGGCTGAGGCAGGAGAATCGCTTGAACCCGGGAGATGGAGGTTGCAGTGAGCCGAGATCGTGCCACAGCACTCCAGCCCAGGCAACAGAGTGAGACTTCGTCTCAATAAATAAATAAATAAATAAATAAATAAATAAATAAATAAATAAATGTCTGCCACCTCCTCTCTTAGCTGCACACAGAAAACCTTCTCCATGACTTTTTACAGCACAGGATGGTAAATTGGGGCAGTGGAGACATCAGCCCTGGCTCCGCCACGTAGTAGTTAATGAATCTATAGTAAATTATTTTTCTTTTTTTTTATTTCTCTGTGAAGATTCCAGAAGTATACAGTTAAGTTCTGAACCTCAGTTTTCTCTCAGATAAAATAAAAACATGGCTGGGTGCAGTGGTTCATGCCTGTAATCCCAACACTTTGGGGAGCCAAGGTGGGCAGATCACTTGAGCCCAGAGGTTCAAGACCAGACTGGGCAACATAGCGAGACACCATCTCTATTAAAAAAAAAAATTAGCCAGGAATGGTAGCACACGCCTTTAGTCCCAGATACTTGAGAGGCTAAAACGAGAGGAGCCCTTGAGCCCAGGAGGTTGAGATTGCAGTGAATTACGTTTGTACCACTGCACTCCAGCCTGGGTGACAAAGCAAGACCCTGTCTCTTAAAAACAAAAACAGGCCGGGCACGGTGGCTCACGCCTGTAATCCCAACACTTTGGGAGGCCGAGGTGGGCAGATCATGAGGTCAGGAGATCAAGACCATCCTGGCCAACATGCTGAAACCCTGTCTCTAATAAAAATCCAAAAATTAACTGGGCATGGCGGCACGTGCCTGTAATCCCAGGTACTTGGGAGGCTGAGGCAGGAGAATCCCTGGAACCCAGGAGGCGGAGGTTGCAGTGAACCAAGATCACACCACCGTACTCCAGCCTGGCAACAGAGCTAGACTTCATCTCAAAAAAAAAAAAAGGCCGGGCACAGTGGCTCACGCCTATAATCCCTGCACTTTGTGAGGCCAAGGCAGGCAGATCACCTACGGTCAGGAGTTCAAGACCAGCCTGGCCAACATGGTGAAACCCCATCTCTACTAAAAATACAAAAAGTAGCCAGGTATGGCGGCATACGCCTGTAATCCCAGCTACTCGGGAGGCTGAGGTAAGAGAATCACTTGAACCCAGGAGGTGGAGGTTGCGGTGAGCCAAGATTGCACCATTGCACTCCAGCCTGGGTGACAGAGTGGGACTCCCTATCAAAAAAAAAAACAAACAAATAAACAAGAACAGCACCTACCTCTTGGTATTTCTGAAATGGCCAAATGAAATAATGCATTAAAACCCTTAGCACACAGTGCCTGTCATGCATAATGTTACCTATTAATTATAATATCATCAGTGGCATTATATTAGAAGGGAAACACACAGAAAATTGCCTCTTATCCTGCACTCAAAATAATTCCCTAGCCCAAGAAGTGAATGAACTGAGAAGTAATTACTGATGATCCTCTGGCTACACCCAGGCCTACGGTTGTTCAGCCACTCTGCCTCAGCCCCAACCTCAAGCAAAAATTACTTTTAGGAGCTAAATAACCCCTTTGCTGACCAAAATTGCTCATTTGGAAGCCAGGATCCTCTCTGCTTAGGAAAGCTTGGGTATTCCATGGTTATCTTTATCGTGGGGCCCAACTTGAAGTCAGCTCAAAGTCACGGTCTAACCATAAACCAATTTGCTGTTTTCGTAAACTGTCTGCAAACAAAACATAATCGTTTGGTTTTCCCGTTGTCCTGAAGCAAAACAAAAATATTTAAAGTCACTCATATGAGAATCTAACAAGCAGTTTAAAGAGGAGTCAAAATATACTTTGTACTCTGGATGGAACAGGTAAGGAATCAGGCTTAAGGATTAGCCATGAGAGATAATAAACCCAGTTATTATTCACCAGGAAACAAGAAAGTGAAGATAAAACAAAACCAAAACACTACAAGACCAATAAAACAGCTATCAGTCACCAGCTTTTTTTTTTCATTTATTCTTTTAAAATCAGCCCACATCAAGCTGATTTCTTAAAGAACCTGTCAGGATTAAATTTCTCAAGGAGGCAGGAGGAAAACTGCTTTGTCACATTGCCTAAAACATACACACAAACCAAAACTACTGTGCAAAACTGCTATGAGAATGGGAGGAGTCAGACACTGCAACTAGCAAAGTCCTCATGTTGGAATCATCTCTGACCGTCCTTCCTGTCTTAGAAAAGGGGAATGAGATGCCAGTTCAAAAATTGCTTTTCCGGGCCTACTAAGCACTGAGCCTTCCGGCATCTCAGCTTTCCAGCTTCCACACCCGCCCTTATTAATGTCCAAACAGAGCTGTGTCTTTTCCATGACTTGTCCATTTGTTTAACCTGGTATAGTTGATTCCATTTTATAACACACACATAAGCACATACACACACAATCCAGGCCTCAAAAAACCAGTCAGCTCTTAGGAAGGTAGTCACATACTTGTTTCCTAAACAAACTTCAGAAATATCTCAAATTGATTCAACTTTGAAAAATTCCATTCACACCCACCATTTTGAGAAGACACAGTGATACGTCCCTATCATTAAAAGTAAGATCAAAGTGAAAACACGGGAAAAAAAAAAATAGCACTTTGAAAATATGAGGCCCAGGCCGGTGACCCAGGTTCCCATCTTGTCTTCTCTAATACCTTGCTGGGTGACCTCAGCCTGCTCCCTGTCTTCTCTGGACATCAATATCCTCATCTAAGAGCTCTGAGGGGTTTCAGCTGTCTTGAAAGTCTGGTCCAGCTCAAAAATGCACTGATTCCCTGAAATATCCATTATCAAAATGAACTGCTGAATGTGGATTTTGAAGATGCTTCTTCTGGGAGCCTTTTAGACTTCCTATTTCATAATGTGTCCAAAAAAAAAAGAAATAAGAGAGTCCTTTTGAGGTTCTACAGAACAAACCATAGAGGAAGGAAATATCTAAATACAGGACAAGTGTAGAGTGGCAATATGCTAATGAAATACAAGGAAGGATTGAGCAAGCAATAAATTTACCCAAGAAACTTTTTGCTGATTGAGAACACAGCTAGCAACCACTATGGCTGGAGCAAAAATAAATAAATTTTATATATATATAATTTAAAATTTTTTTGCTGAAGCAAAAAAAAAATTACATATATTATACATTTAAAAATAAATGAAGCTTTAAGTTTGGGGGTTTTCTGTTTTTTGTGGTTTTTGTTTTAGCATAAACTTTTGATACAAGAAATCTTCAAATACAAGGCTTTTTTAACTTCAGACACTGCTTCCCTGAATTTCCTTACATGGACAGGGAGAAGACAGCCCCCACAGGCACTGTACCTTAATAATGAGAATCCCATGTGGAAACCCTTAATATTTACAAAGTTCTTTTAGACATTGGCCAGTGGAAGCCCCTCAAACAATTCCATTGGGCAGAGGGTGCTATACTCATTCTACAGATGCGGTTAACTGAGGGTAGAGAAGCCTGAAGAGCAAGTCCAGCCCTGTGGCCCGGCCCTGGAGCCAGTCTCCTGACATCTACTCCCAGGTTCTCTGCAGGAGGTCACATTGCCTTCTGGCCCCCAGGAGAGCCTGTGCAGAACCTGCTGGGGAAACTGCGAGGAGAGACCCTTGGGTGCCGAGGGTCACGCAGCCCCCAGGCCCCAGCCCCCTTCTCCTACAGCCTGCTAGGCGGCATTGCTGCCCCAGGGTGATGCTTCTGCTCTCTCCTGTATTCGCGCTGGAGAAGTTTTCCCTGAAACCAGGTTCCATCCCCAGCCAATAACTCATTTCCTCAGAGATGGTGTCTGTATAAAACAAGCAAGATGGTCATTTGCAGAAACGCACAGCAAGGCAGCCCTAGACCGCTTCCCCTGCGGGTTCAAACCCCAACAGGCTCCAGAGGCTAAGAGGACGTGCCCGCTGGCTCAGCTCCCATGGCACGGGCTGGGTGCTCCGCTATTTCACTTCTCTCCCTCAGTTCCCCATCTGTGAAATGGGAATGCCCCTTCAGCTGCTCTGCCTCAGCCCCTATGGAAATGCCAGGAAGGGGAAAGGTCGGTCACCAAAACGCCAGGGACAGCATTATCTGAAAAGTGAAGCCAGAAAAGAGGGTGAGGGTGGGGTGGGGAGGGGGAGCCAGCGCCCACAAAGCACGAATTAAACACCCATGAAATCAAGCACGACGCCAAGAGGGCCGGCTGCCTTGAGAAAAGCCAGCGTGCGGCCACCTTTTCCCCGGCCTGGGAACTTTCCCCAGGAACAGGGCCCTCGGCCCGGAGTCCCGCGCCTCGCCCAGGGCCCCACTGCCCAGCGCCTGGCCCTGCCCTGTCGCCCCCGCCGCCCCTCGGGCCCCTGCAGGCCGGGTCGGAGGTCTGTCGGCAAAGGCTCAGCCAGGCCGCCCGGCTCTGCGTCCCCAGACCTCCGCAAACACGCCCCCTCCGGCCGCCTCCGGCTAGGAAGCCGGGCCCGTGCCCGCCAGATGTGCCCAGCGCCGGGAAGAGCCGGGCCAGGGACGGCCTGGAGCCCGCGCGGAGGCTTTCCCCGGGAGGCTCGGGCACCGCGGCACCCGGATCCCGCCTCTCTCCCCCGATCCTGGGCAGCCGGAAAAGGGATCGATCGCCGGCGTGCGAGGCCGGCCGGGGTCCCCGCAAGTCGCCTTCCGGGGATCCGGGGATCCGGACCCCCGCCCCCTTCCCCGGAACCCCCCGGGGGGGTACGCTCGGGCAGGTGCAGTCAATGCCAGTCCCGCCCCAGCCTCCTGCCCCCCGCCCGAGCCCACCCGGCGCTTACCTGGCCCAGGCGCAGCAGCAGCAGCAGCAGCGGCAGCGCCCAGCGCAGCCCGGGCGAGCGCGGAGGCAGCCGCGCCTCCCGCGCCGCCGGCTTCATGCCCCGCGCGCCCTGGAACGTGCCCCGGACGCGCGAATCGGGCCCCGCCGTGCGCCCGAGCCCGGGCACCGTCGTCGCCGCCTCCTGCCGTCTCCTTCGCCTCCTCCTCCGCCAGCCGGTCCGCCTCGTCCCCGCTCCGCCCGCCCCGGGCTTCCCCGGAGACATGGCAGCGGCGGCGGCGGCCGCGGCCACACGCCGGAGCCTAGCGCGGCTGCCGCGGGGGGGCCGCGTCCCTGAGCGCGCAGGGGCTTCGCGGGGCGGAGCGAGCGGCGCCCACCCCCAGCGCGCGGCTACCCGGTCCCGGCTCCCGCGGCTGCTCCCGCTGCCTCCTCCGCGCGTCATGCGGCTGGGGCTGCTGCAGGGAGCCGCGGCGAGCGCTCGGCCCCCTCCCTTCCCCTCCCCCTCTGAATATTCATCGCTTCCTCCCGCCCCGGCCGGCCCGGCGGCTGCGGAGCTCCGCAGCCCCTCGCCGCCGCCCGCCGCTGCCCCCGCCCCCTCCGAGCCGGCCGCGGATCCCCTCCCGCGGGCAGAGGAAGCGCTCCCGCCTCGCCCGCCCCTCCGCCCAGCCCTCCCACATTCCTGGGACTTGGAGCCCGGGACCAGGCTCCGTGGCTCTAGCGCCTCGAGCCGGCACCCCTCAGGACGGGCTCCCCAGCCTCACACCAGGTCCACGGCGCCGGGTTCGGGTGGGCAGAGGTTGACCGAGACCCCTACTGAGAGCGCAGCCAAGCCTGATTGTAGACAGCAACCCGGCGAAGGCGCGTTTGACCTGGCCCTGGGTGGGCTTGGGGGTGCGTGAACCCCGAAATTGTAGAAGGCACGCTGTACATTGTGTTCTGTCCCCCAGCCCCCGAGCGCCGGCCAGGGAGGCAGAGAGCCCAGTACAAGCCAGTCCAGGGATTAGAACCCCAGCTGTGGCATATGGTGGACGGGGCTCTGCTGGTAGTACCAGCCCTGTGAACTCTGGAGACGCATTTCTCCTCTCTGGCCGACCCCACCCACCCTCCTCTCCTCCCGTGTGAAATAAAGATCGTACTAGGACGTGTGGAGAGAGAGGTCCACTGCATTCGCGATTAAACGAGACAGTAGTTAGTAAAGTCCTAAACACCTAGCCTGACACATCGTGGGACTCCACATACATTAGCTCTTCTGGAAGCTTTCATCACGTTGTTAAAGAGGTCAATGAACTGACAGGAGTTAAAGATCACAGCAGATATTACTCCTGTGCCCATGCACAGAGGAAGACACTAGGATCAGGGAGGCTATGCCACTTGCCCAGGAGAAGCCGCAAGAGAAAGGGCCAAACCAGAGAGTGCTAAGGAGGAAGAGGTTAATTCCAACCAGGAGAGAGGTGACACCTGAGCTGGGCTTTGAAGGATGTGTTGAGTTTCACCAGGCCAGTAGAGGGGAGAAGTGTCTCAGGAGGTGGGGCCAACTTGGCAGAAACGAGGCAGCAGATGCTTCGAGCTTGGCCTTCGGAGAAACAGGAATGGGAGGCTGGGGGATTCATACTGGGGGAGACTTCAAAGGCCAGGATAATGAGTCTAGGCTGGATTCTGTGTGCAGCAAGATGCAGACCACGAGGTGTCCAACACTACCTCCAGACACCCGTTGGGCCTCAGGTTACCATCTACAAGATGGGAATACACATTCACTTACAGGGTCTAAGTGGTTCCCACCAGACAACACACCCAGACAAGCACTGAGGATAAAGAAACTTTGCCAGGCCGCACGATGGCTCACGCCTGTAATCCCAGCACTTCCGGAGGCCAAGGTGACTAGATCACTTAAGCTCAAGAGTTCGAAACCAGCCTGGGCAACGGGGTGAAACCCAGTTTCTACAAAAATTAGCCGGGTGTGGTGGCACACAGCTGTAGACTAAGCTACCTGGGAGGCCGATACAAGGATGGCTTGAACCTAGGCTGCAGTAAACCAAGATGGCAACACTGCACTCCAACCTGGGGAATAACGTGAAAACCTGTCTCAAAAAAAAAAAAAAAAAAAAGAAGAGGCTGGGCGTGGTGGCTCACACCACACCTGTAACCCCAGCACTTCAGGAGGCCGGGGCAGGCAGATCACTTGAGGTCAGGAGTGCGAGACCAGCTTGGCCAACATGGTGAAAACCCATCTCTACTAAAAATACAAAAGTTAGCTGGGCGTGATGGCGTGCCTGTAATCTCAGCTACTCCAGAGGCTGAGGGCAGGAGAATCGCTTGAACCCGGGAGACGGAGGTTGCAGTGAGCCAAGATTGCACCACTGCACTCCAGCCTGGGTGACAGAGTGAGACTCCATCTCAAAAAAAAGAAAAGAAAAAGAAAAAAGAAACCTTACCTATGGACTTACACACCTTGCCACCCTTCATTTAAACACTATGTAATTATCATAATTCACAAGGATTTTTGTTCCTCTGTGCCTCCTCCCCTCTTGAGGCAGAGACATAAAAGGTGTTCATGTCCATGATACCCAGAGGGAAGGAAAGCTTGATTTAAGATGCTACCAGGGGGCTGGGCACAGTGGCTCACGCCTATAATCCCAGCACTTTGGGAGGCTAAGGTGGGCGGATCACCTGAGGTCGGGAGTTCAAGACCACCTGACCAACATGGAAAAACCCTGTCTCTACTAAAAATACAAAATGAGCTGGGTGTAGTGGCGCATGCCTGTAATCCCAGCTACTCGGGAGGCTGAGGCAGGGGAATCGTTTGAACCCAGGAGGCAGAGGTTGCAGTGAGCAGAGATCGCGCCATGGCACTCCAGCCTGGGCAACAAGAGTGAAACTCTATCTCAAAAAAAAAAAAAAAAGATGCTACTGGGTAGCCAAGGATGATTGCCAATTATAAAAAAGAAAAAGAAGATGATAGTAGGTCTGCAGGCTGCCTCGGATCCTCACAGACCCTACAGACCCTACTAACCCTGAAGACCGACCCAGGTCTCCACAGATTCATGGCTTGGGTCAGCAAACAGCTCTGTGAACTCCTGCACGCCCTTCAGTTTTCTCCTGGGTAAAATGTATGCCCAGCTTAAGTATTGGTTGGAACTGGATTTCGCCACTGCACAGTGATGAAACAAAATAAACAGCCTTTTCAGGAAAGGGAGTGAAGACCTGAATAATAAACTACCTCTTCAGCCATAAACAGATCACACTGGATTAATGACCTCTGAGAGAAATGAAATTAATCCTGGGTAGGTGTTACATCAACTCCTTGAGGACAGGGGTTGGGACCTCCTCACCTTGGTAGCCCTGCAACGTCCCACTCAGTGTCTTGCCTGTAGCAGGGATTGAATATTCGTGCAGATGCATGGCCACAAAAATGTATCCAGGGGTAACATGATGTGAAAGTTTATTTTTCGGCTGGGCGCGGTGGCTCACGCCTGTAATCCCAGCACTTTGGGAGGCCGAGGTGGGCAGATCACAAGGTCAGGAGATGGAGACCATCCTAGCTAACACAGTGAAATCCCGTCTACTAAAAGTAGAAAAAATTAGCCAGGCGCAGTGGCAGGTACCTGCAGTCCCAGCTACTCGGGAGGCTGAGGCAGGAGAATGGCATGAACCTGGGAGGCGGAGGTTGCAGTAAGCCGAGATCGCACCACTGCACTCCAGCCTGGGCAACAGAGCAAGACTCCATCTCAATAAAAAAAAAAAAAAAAAAGAAAGAAAGAAAGTTTATTTTTCCACGAAGATAAGTTGGGGAAGGATCATTCCCTTTGCAATGGATTTGAGACTATATTCCAGTCTATAGGTTTCTCCATCACATGTCACTTCACCTAGAAATTCCAAGATGCCCCAACACTGAGTTGGGTGCACTTCCTCCTCCATCCACCATAGCTCCCTGTGCTTAACCTTATCTAACCACAATTTTGTAATTGCCTGTTTATTTGACCACCTTCCTCGCTGGACTCTAAGACCCTTGAAGATGGGGTCTGCATCTTGTTTATCATTGTATCCTCAGCAAATAACAGTCACTCAGATAATATTGATTTAAATTAAATAGCAAACTAAGGTATTCTGTATATGCCTGTTCTCTCACGCACAAAACAAATTCCATCTGCAAACAACTTTTCAGGAATAAATTCTACTATGCAAAGTTCAGGACACATTCGCCTTGAGAATATACAATATTTGACCTTCTAATCATGTCTCCTTCAAACAAACCTAAAGCTTTACTGAACAGAGGGCTAGATAAATAGAGGACCAAAAGGCTAATAAACCAAGAACCTGGAGTGGAGGGCTCCTGGATGCATTCCAAAACTTCCTCATAGAAGCCACCCAGTGCCAGCTCACACCTATAATCCCAGCACTTTGGGAGGCCAAGGTGGGCAGATCATGAGGTCAGGAGTCTGAGACCAGCCTGACCAACATGGTGAAACCCTGTCTCTACTAAAAAATACAAAAATTAGTTGGGGGTGGCGGCACACGCCTATAATCCCAGCTACTCAGGAGGCTGAGGCAGAAGAATAACTTGAACCCAGGAGGCGGAGGTTGCAGTGAACTGAGATCACGCCATTGCACTCCAGCCTAGGTGACAGAGCAAGACTCTGTCTCAAAAAAAGAAAAAGAAAAAGAAACTCAATGGCTTGTTATAATATAGATTCCCATGCCTTTCCATAGACTGTAGAGGGTGAAGCCTGGGAATCTGTATTTTTTTTTTTTTTTTAGGCAAAGTCTTGTTCTGTCACCCAGGCTGGAGTACAGTGGCCCGATCTCGGCTCACTGCAACCTCTACCTCCCAGGTTCAAGTGATTCTGCTGCCCTAGTAGCCAGGATTACAGGTGCCCGCCACCATGCCTGGCTAATTTTTGTATTTTTAGTAGAGATGGGGTTTCTCCATGTTGTCCAGGCTGGTATTGAACTCCTGACCTCAAGTGATCTGTGCCCACCTCGGCCTCCCAAACTGCTGGGATAACAGGCGTGAGCCACCACACCTGGCCAGGGAATCTGTATTTTTAACTAGCCGTTGGAAAATTCTTACTGTCAGGCATGATTACAAAACATTGTTTATCTGCTGGGTGCCTGTAGTCCCAGCAACTCAGGAGGCTGAAGCAGGAGGATCACCTTAGCCCAGGAGTTCCAGGCTATAGTATGCCACGGTCATTGCCTATGAATAGCCACTGCACTCCAGTCTGGCAAACCCAGCAAGACCCTGTTCTCTAAAAGGAAAAATTTTACAGCTGGGCATGGTGGCTCATGCCTGTAATCCCAGCACTTTAGGAGGCCGAGGCAGGCGGATCACTTGAGCTCAGGAGTTTGAGACCAGCCTGGGCAATATGGCTAAACCCCATCTACAAAACAATACAAAAATTAGCCAGGCATAATGGTGGATCCCTGTGGTCTCAGCTACTTGGGGGGCTAAGGTGGGAGGATCACTTGAGCCCGGGAGGCAGAGGTTGCAATGAGCCGAGATTGCACCACTGCAGTCCAGCCTGGGTGACAGAGTGAGACCCTATCTCAAAAAAAGGAAAGAAGGCAGGGCACGGTGGCTCATGCCTGTAATCCCAGCGCTTTGGGAGGCCGAGGCAGGTGCAGATCACCTGAGGTGAGGAGTTCGAGACCAGCCTGGCCAACATGGCAAAACCCTGTCTCTACCGAAAATACAAAAACACACTGGGCGTAGTGGTGCATGCCGGTAATCCCAGCTACTCAGGAGGCTAAGGCAGGAGAATCACTTGAACCCAGGAGGCAGAAGTTGCAGTGAGCCAAGATCGTGCCATTGCACCCCAGCCTTGGCTACAGAGTGAGACTCCATCTCAAAAATAAATAAATAAATAAATAAATACAGACCACTTATCAGGTACCCACTGGATGCCAGCACTCATCCAGGTACTTTACATCCATTATTTCTACTCCTTACAACAATGCTGTATAATAGGCATCATCATCAGTATTTTACAAATAAGGAAACTGAGTCTCAGGCTTACTTACTTACACAAGGTCACACAGTTTCAGACTGGCAAAAACCAGGATCTAAAACTATATCTTTCTTGCCACTATGCCATGATGTTCCTCCCCTTGACATTTGTAGACAAGTTAACATAAAGTGATCTGTGTTGGCTCTTATTTCTTATATTATTACTCTCTTGGGCCTCCGTTACCCCAATTTTAGAATGGGAAGGGATAGAGTACAAGACTTTCTTCTTCATCCCCCAAGAACAGGGAATAGGAGAGGCAACTATGTTTAACAAGTCCACTAACCCACCAGGAGGCAGCTCTGCTGAGCACCAGCCTAGAACCAGGTCACCAGCCCCGCAGGGATCCCATTCAGCCTGGCAACCCTCAGTGTATTTTAAAAGCCACCATGAGCAAACCATTCTCCAAAGCCCTCCTAAGCGGAATGGAATGTTTCTTGGGAGTCTGATTAGCTAATGTTGCAGGCATGGCTGCCCTGAGACCTTTCTGCCTCACAGACTGAACTGAATCAGAATGGAAAGGAAGACTTTTAGAAAATTCTTTAAAAAAAAAAAAAGTAGCACTTCATCTTTATAATAGTAACAGGATGTTTCCTGTGGACTAATAACTGGGCTGTGGTTAGAACTCCATGTTTGTCCACCAGACCTCAGTTCCTCTCTAAACACTGTCTTAGTCACCTGCCCATGCACAGAGCTCGGGAGTGCCTTGGCAGTCCTGTTCTTGTTTCTCATTTCAAGCATTTGCAACATTAAGCATTTTCCCAATTCTTTTCTAGTGTGTGCGTGCCTGCGTGTGTGTGTGTGTGTGTGTGTGTGTGTGTGTGTGTGTTGAGATAAGAAACAAAGTTTGACTTCCAAAGAGATAGTTGCATGCCAAACCCCAAAAGCAAGAGACTAGAATGCAACCCAGTCAGAACCCAACAATCATATTTTAACCATAAATTTCCCCAGATTTTCAATGCAGGGGAATAAAACCCTGTAACGTCTGGGAGAGCAGAAACAGGGCTATTGCTGTCAAGGGTCCCCACCCTGTCCCCATGTCAGAAACCCACTGGCCTCTGTGCCCCAGCCCACCTCCTGAGCTGTTAGGATCTGAGTCAAACCCCCAGTGAGCCCAGTACCTGCATGTCTGGCAGGACAGACCCAGGACACAGGGTTTCAGGATATCTGAAAACACAGGGAGTGTGTGACAAGGAGAGTCGAGGCCTAGAGGGCAAGGAGCTTTTGTCCAGGGCTTGAGAACAACTTCTATACAAAGCCTAGAAGTGAGCTGGGCATGGTGGCTCACGCCTGTAATCCCAACACTTTGGGAGTCTGAGGCAGATGGGTCACCTGAGGTCAGGAGTTCGAGACTAGCCTGGCCAACATGGTGAGACCCTCGTCTCTAGTAAAAATACTAAATTAGCCAGGCATGGTGGTGCATCCCTGTAATCCTAGCTACTCAGGAGGCAAGGCTGGAGAATCACTTGAATCCAGGAGGCGGAGGTTGCAGTGAGTTGAGATTACACCATTGCACTCCAGCCTGGGCTACAAGAGTGAAACTCCATTTCAAAAAAAATCAAAGCCCAGAAGTGGCAAGCAGTGGGCAGGAGGCAGTCAAGCCTGCAGCAGAACCATCACCTCAAACAAAGAAAGGACTGAGAGGTACAAAGACAAGAAGGGCGCAAGGCCAGAGGCCCACGGCTTCTCTGCATCTGGGTCCTCCAGGCTTGTTAGAAATAAATTATTTTTTTCCAGACTTGAAAAGAATGTTCTTTTTTTTTTCAGGCTGAAAAAAATTCTTAATCACATTGTGCTGGCTGCATAGAACACCTCGGTCTCTAAATTAACTTGGACCATTTGTGTCATGTGGAAAAGTACCTGCAATCTAAATAAGCAAATGAAAATTATATATGGTAGCCAGGCACGGTGGCTCACACCTGTAATCCCAGCACTTTGGGAGATCGAGGCGGGCAGATCACTTGAGGTCAGGAGTTCAAGACCAGCCTTGCCAACATGGTGAAAACCCATCTCTACTAAAAATACCAAAAAAAAAAATTAGCCGGGCGTGGTGGTACATGCCTGTAATCTCAGCTACTTAGGAGGCTGGGACAGGAGAATCGCTTGAACCCCAGGAGGCAGAGGGTGCGGTGAGCCGACATCGCGCCATTGCACTCCAGCCCAGGCGACAGAGCGAGATTCCTTCTCAGAAAAATTTGAAAATAAATAAATAAATAAAAATTAAAAATAGCCGGGTGCAGTGGCTCATGCCTGTAATCCCAGCACTTTGGGAGGCCGAGGCGGGCAGATCACAAGGTCAGGAGATCGAGACCATCCTGGCTAACATGGTGAAACCCCGTCTCTACTAAAAATACAAAAAAATTAGCCAGGCATGGTGGCGGGCACCTGTAGTCCCAGCTACTCCGGAGGCTGAGGCAGGAGAATGGTGTGAACCCGGGAGGCAGAGCTTGCAGTGAGCCAAGATCGCGTCACTGCACTCCAGCCTGGGCGACAGAGCGAGACTCCGTCTCAAAAAAAAAAAAATTAAAAATAAACTCATTCTTTTTTTTTTTTTTGGGACAGAGTCTCGCTCTGTCACCCAGGCTGGAGTGCAATGGCATGATCTCAGCTTACCGCAACCTCCACCTCCCGGGTTCAAGCGATTCTGCTGCCTCAGCCTCCCAAGTAGCTGGGCTTACAGGCATGTGCCACCACGCCCGGCTAATTTTGTACTTTTAATAGAGACAGGGTTTCTCCATGTTGGTCAGGCTGGTCTCGAACTCCCGACTTCAGGTGATCTGCCTACCTCGGCCTCCCAAAGTGCTGGGATTACAGGCATGAGCCACCGCACCTGGCCCATGATTTTTGACCTCAAAGAGCTGTAAAAAGAAAAGGAAATAACACATACGAAGTTCTTGGCACATTTTCCAGGAGACCCGAGTGGTAAAGACAGTAACTGATGGAAAGGAGATTGGAAGTCAGAGCCCTGAGACTTCATTAAGCAGGTATCAGAGCACAGACAAGTTACTCCTCCTGGGCTTAGTTTCTTCTTTTATAAAATGTGGGTTAGATTGGCGTACCAGTCAGAATGGGCTAGGTTAGGCTAGAGTCACAAACAACCCTTCCAAATCTCATGACTTAAGACAACAAAACTGTATGTCTTTTTCTCGCTGCAAGTCCATCACAGGTCAGCACAGGGCTGTGCTCCATGCCATCCTCACTTCAGGGCCTGTCTGCTAGAGCAGACACCGAAACACTGCCAGTTGCCATGGCAAAGGGAAAGAGACCTTGAAAGGGTCTGGAACCAGCAATTAACTGTCCAGTCCTGGGAGTGACATGCATCTCTTGTTCACAGCTCATTAGCCAGAACAAGTCACTTGGCCCCACCTAACACACAAGCTGGGAAGTATAATCCTATCATATGTCAGAAAGCAGGGTGAGAAATGGCTGCTGAACAGCATTAATAACCACCACAATCAGAGAGTCTCTAAAATGTTGCTATTAAGAATGTAATCACCAGGCGCGGGTGGCTCAAGCCTGTAATCCCAGCACTTTGGGAGGCTGAGGCGGGCCGATCACGAGGTCAGGAGATTGAGACCATCCTGGCTAACACGGTGAAACCCTGTCTCTACTAAAAATAAAAAAAAAATTAGCCGGGCGTGGTGGCACGAGCCTGTAGTCCCAGCTACTCAGGAGGGTGAGACAGGAGAATCGCTTGAACCAGGGAGGTGGAGGTTGCCGAGATCGCGCCACTGCACTCCAGCTTGGGCAACAGAGCAAGACTCAGTCTCAGAAAAAAAAAAAAAGAATGTAATCTACAGGCCAGGCACAGTGGCTCATGCCTGTAATCCCAACACTTTGGGAGGCTGAGGTGGGTGGATCACTTGAGCTCAGGAGTTCAAGACCAGCCTGGCCAACATGGTGAAACCCTGTCTCCACCCCCATGCATGGCAGTGCACGCCCGTAATCCCAGCTTCTCAAGAGGCTAAGGCACAAGAATGGCTTGAACCCAGGAGGCAGAGGTTGCAGTGAGCCGAGATCGCGCCACTGCTCTCTAGTCTGGGCAACAGAGTGAGACTCCATCTCAAAATAAAAACAACAACAACAACAAAAATAATAACAAAAATGGAGTCCACAGACAGCAGCATGGCCACCACCTGGGAGCTGGTTGAAAATGCAGAATTTCTGGCCCTACACCAAACCTGCTGGATCAGAATCTACATTTTTTTTTTTTTGAGACAGTCTCACTCTGTTGCCCAGGGTGGAATGCAGTGGCATGATCTCGGCTCACTGCAACCTCCGCCTCCCGGGTTCAAGAGATTCTCCTGCCTCAGCCTCCTGAGTAGCTGAGATTACAGGTGCTTGCCACCGCGCCTGGCTAATTTTTGGATTTTTAGTAGAGACGGGGTTTCACCATCTTGGGCAGGCTGGTCTTGAACTCCTGACCTTGTGATCCACCTGCCTTGGCCTCCCAAAGTGCTGGGATTACAGGCGTGAGCCACTGCACCTGGCCAGAATCTACATTTTAACGATCTAGATTCCTAGGAACATTAAGGTTTGAGAAGCACTAGCCTAGTCTGTTGGGTGGCAGGGCAGCATGCTGCCTACGAGCTTGGAGCTCGGCCTTGATTGGTGAAACATGCTTATGCCTGGGCCACCCTCAGGGGACTCAGTTAGAGTCTGGAGGGAGAGCTCAGGAATCTGTAGTAAGAGGCACACAGGTAATTCACATGCAGTTAGCTTCCTCCAACCCCACCTTGAGAAAATAGCCTCAATTTTTTCTGAATTGTTTTTTGTTCCTTTTTATTTATTTTAATTTTAACTAATTAATTTATTTATTAGAGACAGGGTCTCACTCTGTCACCCAGGCTGGAGTGCACTGGTGCAATCATAGTTCACTACAGCCTCAACCTCCCAGGCCCAAGCAATCTTATCACTTCAGCCTCCCAAGTAGCTGGAACTATAGTGTTCACCACCACGCCTCGCTAAGTCTATTTCTTAATTTTTTGTAGAGACAGGGTCTCATTATGTTGCCCAGGCTGGCCTGGAAATCCTGGGCTTAAGTGATCCTCCTGCCTCAGCCTCCCAAGTAGCTGGGACTACAGGTACATGCCACCACACCTGGCTAAGTTTATTTCTTAATTTTTTGTAGAGACTCGGTCTCGCTTTGTTGCCCAGGCTAGTCTCAAATCCCTGGGCTCAAGTGATCCTCCAGCCTTGGCCACTCAAAGTGCTGGGATTATAGGCATGAGCCACCATGCCCCATCTGGTTTTTTATTTTTCTATGATGCAAAAAGAATGTTAAAAGGCCTAGACTACCACATCTAAGCAGAAGAGCGTAGAGAGTTTCCCTTTACTTGCTTGGAAACCATAACCCAAGATAAGGAGAGGGCAAAAACCATTACGGGCAGCTAACTATGTACGCGGGTCTGGGCAAGCTATCACATACACTTTATCTCATTTAATCCTTACCACCACTCTGTACCACAGGCACTAGCATGATCTCCATTTTATGGCTACGGAAACCATGCGCAGTTTAAGAAACTTGCTCAACGACACACAGGAGGCCAAGCCCAAGCTTGTGTTAACCGGTACATGATCTACTTTTCAGGACAGACATCCCTAGCCTAAGGAGGGCGTTCTGAAGAATTCCTCTGCCCTGGGCAGTCTCCTACATGGTCCTTTAACTTCCAGCTTCTTGGAAAGGGCAGCATGTTACAGACACCCCTGACCTCACTGAATGCACATCATAAATGAACCATTTCAAGACAAGAACATAGACATAGAAATTCTTCATCTCCCTTGATTCTTTTTTTGTTTTGTTTTGTTTTGTTTTTGTTTTTGTTTTTGAGACGGAGTCTCGCTCTGTCGCCCAGGCTGGAGTGCAGTGGCGCGATCTCGGATCACTGCAAGCTCCGCCTCCCGGGTTCACACCATTCTCCTGCCTCAGCCTCCCGAGTAGCTGGGACTACAGGCGTCCGCCACCACGCCCGGCTAATTTTTTTTGTATTTTCAGTAGAGACGGGGTTTCACCGTGTTAGCCAGGATGGTCTCAATCTCCTGACGTCGTGATCCACCCACCTCAGCCTCCCGAAGTGCTGGGATTACAGGCGTGAGTCACCATGCCCGACCTCTTTTTTTATTTTTTATTTTTGGAGATGGAGTCTCATGCTGACACGATCTCGGCTCACTGCACCTTCCACCTCCTGGGTTCAAGTGATTCTCCTGCCTCAGCCTCCCAAGTAGCTGGGACTACAGGCACCCTCCACCACACCCAGTTAATTTTTATATTTTTAGTAGAGACGAGGTTTCACCATGTTGGTGAGGCTCAAACTCCTGACCTCAGCCTATCTGCCTGCCTTGGCCTCCCAAAGTGCTGGGATTACAGGTGTGAGCCACCATGCCCCGGTAACATTTTCATCAGGCATTTTTTTCTTAGCCTTGCATCCACTCTACTAAAAGCTGCTGCCGCTGCTCTTGAAGTTTATTGCTCCGAGGTTCAGGGAGTTGTAACATGTAACACATGACAAAGAACCTTGGAGAAATCCAGTCCAACCTGCTCATTCTACAGATGAACAAATTGAGGCTCAGAGAGGTTAAGTAACTTGCAAATGGTAACAGCTGATCTAGAAATCAGCAGCACTTTAGCCATGAGGCTTCTGTCCTGTCATCTTCCTTGACATGGCTCGTTCTCCTTTGTGTGACTGTCAGGGAAGAAAATGAGATCTTCCTCATTCTGGGCCCCCACCCTTCTGAATTGACCTCCATTAATTTCTGGGCTGTTAAGAAATGTCGGCCAGGCTCTGTGGCTCATGCCTGTAGTCCCGGCGCTTTGGGAGGCTGAGGTGGGTGGGTGGGTGGATCGCATGAGCTCAGGAGTTCAAGACTAGCCTGGGCAACAAGGCAAAATGCCCATGTCTACAAAAAATACAAAAATTAGCCAGGCATGGTGGCATGTGCCTGTAGTCCCAGCTACCTAGGAGACTGAGATGGGAGGATGGCTTGAAGCCAGGAGGTAGAAGTTGCAGTGAGCAGAGATCACACGACTGCACTCCAGCCTGGGTGACAGAGCCAGACCTTGTCTCAAAAAGAAAAAGAAAAAAGAAAAAGAAGAAACAAAGAAATGTCAATATGCTTGAATGCTTGATTTAGCCAAGTCTTGAAGTTTGTAGTCACCAAAGATGTAGAGAATGTTAAGCATTTTTTGCCTTGGGCTTCTGGACCCTGGGGAATCAGCCTGGGCTTAGCTCATCCTGGGCCTGGTTCTAACCTGGCCATCGTCCAATCATGATCCTGGTGTAGATGAGGCTACAGCAGGCGTCCCAGGTGTCCTGGCTTTCCTGGCAATGTTAGACTTGCCTTAATCTGGTCCCCACTGACACAATGACAACCTGGAGGATCACTTTTTTTATTTTGAGACGGAGTTTTGCTCTTGTTGCCCAGGCTGGAGTACAGTGGCGTGATCTCCGTTTACTGTAACCTCCGCCTCCTGGGTTCAAGCAATTCTCCCGCCTTAGCCTCCTGAGTAGCTGGAATTACAGGCACCTGTCACCATGTCTGGCGAATTTTTTGTATTTTTAGTAGAGACGGGGTTTCATCATGTTGGCCAGGCTGGTCTTGAACTCCTGACCTCAGGTGATCCACCTGCCTCGGCCTCCCAAAGTGCTGGGAGTACAGGCGTGAGCCACTGCGCCTAGCCTGGAGGATCATTTTAATTTTTTTTTTTTTTTTTTTTTTTTTTTAACGGGGCGGTGGGGTTTGAGACAGAGTCTTGCTCTGGAGTGCAGTGGCACTATTTTGGCTCACTGCAACCTCCATCTCCTGGTTCAAGCAATTCTCTAACCTCAGCCTCCCAAGTAGCTGGGACTACAGGTGTGTGCCACCATGCCTGACTAATGTTTGTATTTTTAGCAGAGACGGAGGTCTCACCATATTGCCCATGCTGGTCTCGAACTCCTGAGCTCAAGCAATCCACCCATCTTGGCCTCACAAAGTTCTGGGATTACAGGCATAAGCCACCACGCCCCACCCAACCTGGAGGATCATTATGCCTGGGGTAAAACATCTACATTGCAGAATTATAAACCCAAACAAAGGAGAGCAGTGAAGGGATCCTGCCTTACTCCCCAACTCACCCTGGAGTTTGTTATCTGGGAGGATCCCTGGCTCCCTGCTTCCCGGCCTTAGGGCCTTTAGCACCAGCCAGAGGTAGATATGCTTCCTGCACGCCTGGGCCATATCCAGGTGTTAGCCAACCAACTCAACTTTTGGCTGTCAGCTGGAAGAGAGTTTAGAAGTCATGCATTCAACCCCTGATTTACTGATGATTAAAAAAGGCCCAGAGAGGCCGGGCCCAGTGGATCACGCCTGTAATTCCAGCACTTTGGAAGGCCGAGGTAGTCAGATCATTAGGTCAGGAGTTCAAGACTAGCCTGACCAACATGGTGAAACTCCATCTCTACTAAAAATATAAAAATTAGCCGGGCGTGGTGGCATGTGTCTGTAATCCCAGTGACTCAGGAGCCTGAGGCAGGAGAATGACTTGAACCTGGGAGGCGGAGGTTGTAGTGAGCCGAGATCGCACCACTGCACTCCAGCCTGGGGGACAGAGTGAGACTCCGTCTCAAAAAAAATAAATAAAATTAAAAATAAAATAAAGGCCCAGAGAAGGATAACAACTTGGGTAAGGCCACAGGAAAATTTACAGGAAAAGTCAGAATGAGGACAGGGATGGGATGTGGAATATAGTAGTCCCCCCTCATCCATGGTTTCACTTTTCATGGTTTCAGTTACCCACAGTCACCCTCAAACAGGAATGATGTAGGAATAAATTTAGGAATAATTTAGGAATAAACTATTCCTGAGCTTTAAATTGTGCACTGTTTTGAGCAGTGTGAAGAAATCTCTCGCCATACCGCTCTGTCCTGCCTGAGTTGAGCATATACACGCTGTATACGCTACCACTACCTAACGTCAGTCATCCACATCCTGTGTTCCTGACATCCAACCATGGACATTGTCATGGCTCAGTGCTCCAGGATCACCCGAAGCAAATGATCCTCCTTCTGGCTCTCAGAGGGTCAAGAGTAGCCGAACGCTGCAACACAATGCCTGCCTCATTTTCTTCGCTTCATCTCATCACACAGGCAGCTCATCATCTCCCTTGATCACAAGGAGGGTGAGTACAGTACAATAAGATATTTTGAGGGCCAGGCACGGTGGCTCACGCCTGTAATCCCAGCACTTTGGAAGGCCGAGACAGGCGCATCACTTGAGGTCAGGAGTTCGAGACCAGACTGGCCAACATGGCAAAACCCCATCTCTACTAAAACTACAAAAATTTACCAGGTGTGGTGGTATGCGCCTGTAATCCCAGCTACTTGGGAGGATGGCAGGAGAATTGCTGGAACCAGGGAGGCAGAGGTTGCAGTGAGCTGAGGTCACGCCATTGCACTCCAGCCTGGGTGACAAAAGGAAGACTCCGTCTCAAAGAAAAAAAAGATTATTTTGAGAGAGATAGACCACACTCACGTAACTTTTATTACAGCTTATTGTTATAATTGCACTATTTTATTATTAGTTAATGCTGTTAATCTCTTACTGTGCCTAATTTATAACTAAAATTTTATCATAAGTATGGATGTATTGAAAAAATATAGTGTAGGCTGGGCGCAGTGGCTCATGCCTATAATCCCATCACCTTGGGAGGCTAAGGTGGGAGGATTGCTTGAGCCCGGGAGTTTGAAACCAGCCTGGGCAACATGGCAAAACCCTGTCTCTACAAAAAATTAGCTGGGTGTGGTGGCACACACCTGTAGTCCCAGCTACTTGGGAGGCTGAGGTGGGAGGATCACCTGAACCCAGGAGGTTGAGGCTGCAGTGGGACGAGCAGTGATCGAGACACTGCACTGCAACCTGGGTGACAGAGCAAGACCCTGTCTCAAAACAAGCAAAAAAAAAACCATAGTGTATATGGGGTTTGGTACTATCCACTGCTTCGGGTATCCATTGAGGGTCTTTGAACATGTCCCCCATGGATAAGCAGGGGCTGCTGTCTATGTAGGTATAAACATGTATGCACACACACAAACACACACAATTTTATACCATGTTAAAGTTTACAAAGTTCTTTCACATATGATCAGGAGTAATACTCAAACTATTTTAGCCAGTCGGGCACAGGTTCTGATGAATCAGGATGAGCATCAGCTCGCAGCCCTACAGATATTAATACATTTGGCATTTCACCAACCCTGAGAAATGGGCATTGTTTCTATTCCCACCTGATACTGTTTGAATATTTGTCCCTGCCAAATCTCATGTTCGAAATGTAATCCCCAGTGTTGGAGGTGAGCCTGGTAGCAGCTGGTTGGATCATGAGGGTGGATTTCTCATGAATGGTTTAGCACCATCTTTGAGGGCTTTCCTCACGATAGTGAATAATTTCTCGGGAGATCCGGTTGTTTAAAAGTGTGTAGTGCTGGGCACGGTGGCTCACGCCTGTAATCCCAGCACTTTGGGAGGCCAAGGTGGGCAGATCATTTGAGGTCAGGAGTTTGAGACCAGCCTGGCCAACATGGTGAAACCCCATCTCTACTAAAAACACAAAAATTAGCTGGGCATGGTAGTGGGTGCCTATAATCCCAGCTACTTGGGAGGCTGAGGCAGGAGAATTGCTTGAACCCAGGAGATGGAGGTTGCAGTGAGCTGAGATCGTGCCACTGCACTCCAGCCTGGGTGACGGAGTGAGACTCTGTCTCAAAAAAAAAAAAAAAAATTAGCCGGGTGTGGTGGCGTGAGTCTGTAGTCCCAGCTACTTGGGAGGCTGAGGCAGGATAATCGCTTGAACCCGGGAGGCGGAGGTTGCAGTGAGCCCAGATCACACCACTGCACTCCAGCCTGGGCAACAGAGCGAGACTGTCTCAAAAAAAAAAAAAAAAGGTGTGTAGCGCCCTCTCCCTGTCTCTTGCTCCCACTCTTGTCATATGAGATGCTGGCTCCCCATTTGCTTTCCATCATGACTGTAAGCAGCCCAAGGCCTCCCCAGAAGCCAAGCAGATGCTGGGCACTATGCTTCCTGAATAGACAGCAGAGCCCTCAGCCAATTAAATATAATTTTTTTAAATGACCCCATCTCAGGTAATCCTTTATAGCAGTGCAAGAATGACCTAACGCAACATCTTAACAGACACAGAAGTGGAGGCTCAGAAAGATTAATATTTAGGCTGGGAGCAGTGGCTCATGCCTGTAATCCCAGCACTTTGGGAGGCCGAGACGGGCAGATCACCTGAGGTCAGGAGTTCAAGACCAGCTTGGCCAACATGGTAAAACCCTGCCTCTACCAAAAAATACAAAAATTATCCGGGTGTGGTGGTGCATGCCTGTAATCCCAGCTACTCGGGAGGCTGAGGCACAAGAATTGCTTGAACCCAGGAAGCGGAGGCTGCAGTGAGCCAAGATCATGCCGTTGTACTCCAGCCTGGGAGACAGAATGAGACTCGTCTCAAAAAAAAAAAAAAAAAAAAAAGATTAATATTTAGCCCTATTCACCACCTTAAACAAGATTTGTGTTGCTTGTGTGCAGGTTGCAGAAGTAGCTTAAGCAAAGAAGGGCTTTATTATGAGGGCACTGGAGTGTCTCATAGACTTCCCGTACCCAGGGCAGGGACACAGCAGGGACTCCCCAAGGCCTGGCACCAAGAACTGGAAAACCACCAGGAGCCCAGACCAGCTGTTTCTCTTTCTGTCTGCACATCTGCTTCTTGGTTCTCTCTAGCAGGCCACCCTTCTCTGCATCTCCGTGACCTTCTCATCAGTTTCCCTGACCTCTATTTCATGTTCTTATAGTGACTCCTAGTCCATTTCAAATCCCAATTCCCAAGCCAGGCGTGGTGGCTCACACCTGTAATCCCAGCACTTTGGGAGGCCAAGGCGGGTGGATCACTTGAGGTCAGGAGTTCAAGACCAGCCTTGCCAACATGGTGAAACCTGGTCTCTACTAAAAATACAACAAAATTAGCTGGGTGTGGTGGCGGCTGCCTGTAATCCCAGCTACTTAGGAGGCTGAAGCAGGAGAATCACTTGAACCTGGGAAGTAGAGGTTGCAGTGAGCTGAGATCATGCCGCTGCACTCCAGCCTGGGCAACAGAGCAACACTCTGTCTCAAAAAAACAAAACAAAACAAAACAAAAACAAAAACCAAATCCTAATTCTCAAAGGGAATCTGATTGGCCCAGCTTGGATCCCATGTCCACCCCTGGTCCCATCAATGTGGCTAAAGGGACAGGGTCATATGGTGTAAAAATGGCTATCACCTGGTGTAGTGATGCACACCTGCAGTCCCTGCTACTCAGAAGGCTGAGGTGGGAGGACTGCTTGAGGCCAGGAATTCGATACCGGACCAGGCAACATAGTAAGACCCTGTCTCTTAAAAAAAAAGGTTGTGGGGCGGGGGGAGGTGCCTACTTCCTTTAAGCTGGAGCTACAGGAAAAAAATGAAATAAAAATGTTAAAAGGCTACCAAGGTCAGGCGCGATAGCTCACGCCTGTAATCCCAGCACTTTGGGAGGCCGAGGCAGGTGGATCACGAGGTCAGGAGTTCGAGACCAACCTGACCAACATGCTGAAATCCCATCTCTACTAAAAATGCAAAAATTAGCCAGGCATGGTGGCATGCACCTGTAATTCCCAGCTACTCAGGAAGCTGAGGCAGGAGAATGGCTTGAACCCGGGAGGCAGAGGTTGCAGTGAGCCAGGATCACGCCACTGCACTACAGCCTGGGTGACAGAGCAAGATTCCATCTCAAAAACAAAAAAAAGGCTACCAAAGAGCACCCCACTGGAAAGCAGATGCACAGTTGGAGGTAGCATTGAGCTGAGCAGATGCCCCAAAGTTTATCTACTATGGTCACACAGGGCATGCAGAATCAGGGCTCCAACCCAGTGTCCAGACTCTCAGAACAGAATGCTCTTTCCATAGGACCACTGATCCCCCTGTTCCCACCATCCAAATGCATTCCTGCTCACTCCACATTAATCCTTAGATGCAAGGGATATTCCTGTAGGCCTAGAAGGACCTGGGCCAAGGGTTAAGATTAAATTTCAGCCGTGGCTATTCCTCCTATGCAGATCAAGGAAGATTCCCTGATTGGTTCCTGAGAGTATTGATGAAATTGGACAGGAAAGCAGAGGAAAGATAAAAACCTGCCTTCAGCCATGAAGCCCCAGACTCCAGCCTGCTTCTTGCCCTCTGGTTGTCTAAGGCCTCCACTTGGGGACCATTGAGTCGGTGGTTGATCCTGTGGGAAGCACTGCGTGGTGCCATGGTAAATGGCAGGAAGATTTGCAGGGAACCTCAAAACCAAAGGCCTGCTCAGAGCAGGCGGGAAGCTGGAGTCAAGGAGCCAGAGATGGGCAGCGCCAAAGGCTGCCACACTGAAAGGCCGGGGCTGACACTGAAAGACAAGGTATGTAGCCAATGAGAGAACCCAGAAGGAGGGGGAGAGGGAGTGAGCAGGAAATAGATGTGGACACACTGCTGGACACCTCCCTCCAGAGGCTGTCTGGAGCTGGCTCTTAAGGACAGTGGTGGGAGGGAGCACAGGAGGCTCACACATTGCAGGTGGAAATGGAAACCAATCCAGTCTCTCTTGAGGCCGTTTGGCAGTATGTATTAAAAGCTAGTGTGGTCGGGCACAGTGGCTCACACCTGTAATTCCAGCACTTTGGGAGGCCAAGGCGGGTGGATTGCTCAAGCCCAGGAGTTCAAAACCAGCTTGAGTAACATAGCAAAACCTCATCTCTACTACCAAAAGAAAAAGTAGCCAGGTGTGGTGACGCACACCTGTAGTCCCAGCTACTCTGGAGGCTGAGGTGGGAGGATCGCTTGAGCCTGGGAGGTGGAGATTAAAGTGAGCTGAGATAGCACCACTACACTGCAGCCTGGGCAACAGAGCCAGACTCTGTCTCAAAAAAAAAAAAAAGATGAGTTGGGCACAGTGGCTTACGCCTGTAATCTCACCATTTTGGGAGGCCAAGGCAGAAGGACTGCTTGAACCCAGGAGTTCGAGACCAGCCTGGGCAACATAATGAGACCCTGTCTCTACAAAAAAATACAAAAATTAGTCACCTGTAGTGGTATGCGTCTATACTCCCAGCTACTTGGGGGGCTGAGGTGGGAGAATCACCTGAACCCAGGGAGATCAAGGCTGCAGTGAGCTATGATCACACCACTGCACTGCACTTCAGCCTGAGCAACAGAGTCAGATTCTGTCTCAAAAAAAAAAAAAAAAAAAAGATGGAGGCTGGGTGCAGTGGCTTATGTCTGTAATCCCAGCAGTTTGACATGCCAAGGAAGGAGGATCACTTGAGGCCAGGAGTTCAAGACCAGCCTGGACAACATAACAAGACCCCATCTCTACAAAAGAGTTTTTTGTTTTGGTTTTGTTTTTTGTTTTTTGGTTTTTTTGTTTTTTTTGAGACAGAGTTTCACTCTTGTTGTCCAGGCTGGAGTGCAATGGCACAATCTCGCCTCACCACAACCTCCACGCCTACAGGGTTCAAGCAATTCTCCTGCCTCAGCCTCCCGAGTAGCTGGAATTACAGGCATAAGCCACCAGACCCAGCTAATTTTGTATTTTTAGTAAAGATGAGGTTTCTCCATGTTGGTCAGGCTGGTCTTGAACTCCCAACCTCAGGTGATCCGCACGCCTCAGTCTCCCAAAGTGCTGGGATTACAGACTTGAGCCACCGCGCCCGACCCAAAAGAGTTTTTGAAATTAGTAGGGCATGCTGGCATGCACATGTAGTCCTAGCCGCTCAAGAGGCTGAGCTGGGAGGATCACTTGAGATGAGGAGTTTGAGCCTGCAAACCTATGATTGCACCACAGCACTCCAGCCTGAGTGACAGAGCCAGACCCTCTCTCAAAAAGAAAAAAAAATGATGAAATAGATTTATACCTATTCCTCTGAAAGAATATTCTCAATATTTTCTTGGGTAAAAAATGCAGGATAAAAATAATACCATTTTAGCTGGGTGTGGTAGCTCATGCCTGTAATCCCAGCACTTTGGGAGGCTGAGGCGGGTGAATCACCTGAAGTTGGGAGTTCGAGAACAGCCTGACCAACATGGAGAAACCCTGTCTCTACTAAAAATACAAAATTAGCCAGACATGGTGGCACATGCCTGTAATCCCAGCTACTCAGGGGGATTACGTAGGAGAATCACTTGAACTCAGGAGGCAGAGGTTGTGGAGAGCCAAGATCGCACCATTACACTCCAGCCTAGGCAACAAGAGTGAGACTCCGTCTCAAAAATAATAATAATAATATTTTAATAAAATAAAAAATAAAAACATTTTAATATATGCACAGAGAAATGTTAATAATGTGCCAAAATGGTAATAGAAGATGAAATTTTAGGTCATTTTAATACTTTTTCATTTAGTTTATTTCCATTTTCTAATTTTTTTACAATTACTTTGTATTATTTGTATAATTAAAAACCTCGTCTCTACTAAAAATACAAAATTAGCTGGGCACGGTGGCTCATGCCTGCAATCTCAGCAATTTGGGAGGCCAAGGTGGGTGCATCATCTGAGGTCAGGAGTTCGAGACCAGCCTGGCCAACATGGCGAAACCCCATCTCTACTAAAAATACAAAAATGAGCTGGTCGTGGTGGCGGGTGCCTGTAATCCCAGCTACTCAGGAGGCTGAGGCAGGAGAATCACTTGAACCCGGGAGGCAGAGGTTGTGGTGAGCTGAGATTGCGCCATGCACTCCAGCCTGGGTGACAGAGTGAGACTCCATCTCAAAAATAATAAGAAGAAGATAAAAGAAATTAATATATGAAATCATTTCTCATTGAGAAAGAGAGAAGTGGGCGAGGCACAGTGGTTCACAGCTATAATCCTAGAACTCTGGGAAGCAGAGGTGAGAGGATTGCTTGAGCCCAAAAGTTCAAGACCAGCCTGAACAACATAGCAAGACCTCATCTCTGAAAACAAACAAAAAAAAACCCATGAAAACTAGCCGAACATCATGGTGCATGCCTGTAGTCCCAGCTACTCGGGAGGCTGATGTAGGAGGATCACTTGAGCCCAAGAGTTTGATGCTGCAGTGAACCATAATCATGCCACTGCACTCCAGCCTGGGTGACAGAGCAAGACTCTGTCTCTCTCTCTCTCTCTTTTTTTTTTTTAATATTTTGTCTTAAGACTCTTTCTCAAATTAAAAGAGAGAGAGAGCGAGAGGAGAAGTGGGACCAAGAGGAGGATGGGTACAGGTGATCAATCAAGGAATGATTTCTGAGCACCAGTTGTGTATGGCGCCACCTGATTCAGCAACTCCCAAGGAGTCAACAGTGTGATAGCAGCAAGTCACCAGGATGGTAGGAGATAGCTACAGGCTACTGCTGAGACTATGGGGGCACCTGGACCACCAGCAGCCTTTTACTTCCTGCCTAACTGGGCCTGTGACCAGAGATAGATTAAGACAAGGCAGGCTAGGGCTGTGGACAACAGAAGCTGAAGAAACAGAGATGCAGCCAGAACCAGGGAGAACTAAAAGGCCAGCAATGATGGATGAGAGCCAACTACATCAGTGAGAATTTAATTTAGCAGAAAAAATAAAAATAAAGCACTCGACTTCATACTAGGCACTTTGATAGGTGCTAGGGATAGAGTTAACCAAAACTAGCAAGGTCGGCTGGGTACAATGGTTCATGCCTGTGATCCCAACGTTTTGGGGGATAGTTTGACCTCAAGGGTTCAAGACCAGCTTGGGCAACATGGCAAGACCTCCTCTCTACTAAAAATTAAAAAAAAAAAAAAAATAGGCCGGGCACGGTGGGTCACGCCTGTAATCCCAGTACTTTGGGAGGCCGAGGCGGGCGGATCACGAGGTCAGGAGATCCAGAGCACCCTGGCTAACATGGTGAAACCCCAGCTGTACTAAAAATACAAAAAAAAAATTAGCCGGGCATGGTGGTGGGGCACCTGTAGTCCCAGCTACTTGGGAGGCTGAAGCAGGAGAATGGTGTGAACCTGGGAGGCGGAGCTTGCAGTGAGCCGAGATCGCGCCACTGCACTTCAGCCTGGGTGACAGAGCGAGACTCCATCTCAAAAAAAAAAAAAAAAAAAAAATAGCCACCAGGTGCAGTGGCTCACGCCTGTAATCCTAGCACTTTGGGAGGCCGAGGAGGGTGGGTCACGAGGTCAGGAGATCGAGACCATCCTGGCTAACATGGTGAAACCCTGTCTCTACTAAAAATACAAAAAATTAGCCAGGAGCGGTGGCGGGCGCCTGTAGTCCCAGCTACTCGGGAGGCTGAGGCAGGAGAATGGCGTGAACCCAGGAGGCAGAGCTTGCAGTGAGTTGAGATAGCGCCACTGCACTCCAGCCTGGGAGACAGAGCGAGACTCCATCTCAAAAAAAAAAAAAATTAGCTGGGTGTGGTGGTGCTTGCCTGTAATCCCAGCTACTCAGGAGGCTGAGGCAGGAGAATCACTTGAACCTGGGAGGCGGAGGTTGCAGGGAGCCGAGATCGCATCATTGCCCTCCAGCCTGAACGATAGAGCGAGACTCCCTCTAAAAAAAAAAAAAAAAAAAAATTAGCCAAGTGTTGTGACACGTTCCTGTAGTCCCAGCTACTCGGGAGGCTGAGGTAGGAGGATTACTTGAACCCTGGAGGTTGAGGTTGCAGTGAGCTATGATGGCACCACTGCACTTCAGCCTGGGTGACAGAGGAAAAACCTGCCTCAAAAAAACAAACAAAACTAGCAAGGTCCCTGTTTTCACGGAGTTACAGTCAGGTTGGGGGCAGGCAGAGAAAATATATCAATCAATAAATAAACATATGTAACAATAAAAATTTCAGATAGTGATAAGTGCTATCCATTTTTAAGCTTCATCCAAATATCCTCATTGTCTTACCTCAAAAAGCAAATGTCATAAGGAAGAATAATATCATAAACATCCAGCCGGGCATGGTGGTTCATGCCTGTAATCCTAAGCACTTTGGGAGGCTGAGGCGGGCAGACCACTTGAAGCTAGGAGTTCAAGTCCAGCCTGGGCAACATAGTGAGACCCCCTCCCCGCCGCCCGCCATCTCTATAAAAAATTTGGCCAGGCACAGTGGCTCACACCTGTAATCCCAGCACTTTGGGAAGCTAAGGCGGGCAGATCACTTGAGGCCAGGAGTTCAAGATCAGCCATGGCCAGCATGGCAAAACCCTGTCTCTACTAAAAATACAAAAGTTAGCCAGGTGTGGTGGTGCAGGCCTGTAATCCCAGCTATTTGGGAGGCAGAGGCTCAAGAATCACTTGAACCCGGGAGGCAGAGATTGCAGTGAGCTGAGATCATGCCACTGTGCTCCAGCTTGGGTGACACTACCTATATACATATGTATATATGTAATATAGATACATATTATATATATTATATATGTATTATATGGTATATATTACATATATATAACATATATGTAAATATACAATTATATATAACCTTTTATGTATTATATATAATTAACTCTTTGATGTTTATATATAACTATATATATATAATTTTTTATATATTTATTTATTTATTGAAACAGGGTCTGGCTCTGTTGCCCAGGCTTAAGTGCAGTGGCACATTCTCAGCTCACTGCAACCTCTGCCTCCCAGGCTCAAGGCATCCTCTTACCTCAGCCTCCCAAGTAGCTGGAACTACAGGTACATGCCACCACACCCATCTAATTTTTGTATTTTTTATGGAGGCGGGTTTCACTGTGTTGCCTTGACTGGTCTCAAACTCCTGAGCTCAAGTGATCGGTCCACCTCAGCCTCCCAAAGTGGTGGGATAACAGGCGTAAGTCACTGCACCCACCCCCAAAATATTTTTTTACTGCTGTATTTTTTTTTCAAACTAGGATCCAATCATCGTCTACACATTGTGTTTGGTTGTTTTTACTTCTAAGTATTTTTTATCTATATCTCATCTACATCTATATCTACATGTATATCTATAGATATAAGTCCATTGTTCAAATGACTGTTCCCAAATGTCATGTACCCAGAAAAAGGACACATCCTAGCCAGACCCACTCAAGTGAAACCCAGGCTATTTGTGGGTACCAAATGCTGTAGTTTGGTCCTCCCCTATCCACTGGTAAGAGACGACTGATTATGGGTAAAATCCATGACCTTGGAGAAAACCAAAGGAAACCCTATATGTGGATCAGCCTCATAGGAAAAGGACTATAGATATGTAGTTTCTCTCTCCCTCCATCTTTCTTGTATAATTCAAAGAGGCAAATGGGTGTAATGAGAAGAACATAGGCAGATAAGACTTTAACTCTAGCTCCATGACTGTAAAGCTATATGACCTTGGGCAAGTCTTTCACCTCTTTGAGTTTCAGTTTCTTTATCTGTAAAGTGAGGACAATGCCCACTTGAAGTGTTATTGTGAGGGCAAAATGAATTAATTTATACAGAATGCCCATCACAGTCCTTTAATTCTCTATAAAGCTTAGAGCAGATATTGCTACCTGATTACCAAATCCATTTCCTTTTCTTCCTGGTGACCCAGCTAGACTACATTTCCCAGACTCCCTTGCAGATAGATGCTGCCCTGTGCTCAAGCTCTAGCAGTGAAATGTGAGCAAAAGTGTGCTTTGCAAGCTATTTCCAGGCTTAGCCCATAAAACCTTTTATGCTTATGGGCCCAGGGCAACCCTTCAAATGACCTGGTGAAACTGACAGAATCTCTGTGTCTGGATCCCTGAACGGCAACGTGGAGTACAGCTCTTGTTGTCAATAAGAGACATCTGATTTGGACTCTACATGAGCAAGAAACAAACCTTTATAGCATTAACTGATGAGGTTTTAGCTGTTACAGCAGTTAGAATTGCTTTAACCAACATAAAGTTCAATGTGACAGATGAAGTCACTACTAAAAAGGAAAACCTGCAGGGCGCGGTAGCTCACACCTGTAATCTCAGCACTTTGGGAGGCCCAGGCAGGCAGATCACTTGAGGTCAGGAGTTTGAAACCAGCCTGGCCAACATGGTGAAACACCGTCTCTACTAAAAATACAAAAATCAGCCGGTCATGGTAGCACACGTCTGTGGTCCCAGCTACCAGGGAGGCTGAGGTAGTAGAATCCTTTGAACCTGGGTGGCGGAGGTTGCAGTGAATAGAGATCATGCCACTGCACTCCAGCCTGTATGACAGAGCAAGACTCTGTCTCATAAATAAATAAATAGGAAAAACCTAATAGGTTTTATTTAAACCATGGTGGCTTTGGGAAAACCATATAGGGAACCATACAACTGTTAGGGGGGACATTCACATTTTAATATTAAATTTCATCAATTTGCAACACCTTTTTTTTCACATTTTTACACCGATGTGTAAATTGATGTGCAAGTGATGGCATCTCAAATTGTTGATGAATTGCTGACAGCCAGGTCATAGTCACTGCCCACACGTGCACAGGGCTGGTCACAACTCTTCCTCTTGCCAACCTTTCCCTTAAGCTGTGTGCACTGTTAGCACTATAGGTATTGAGTTTAATCACTACTTACAATGTCTTCAAAAACATTCCACACTGATTCAGCACTGAAATGAAAAATTATTATATACTAAAAAGGGTAAGGAAACAAGCAGCTTGATAGTCGATAAAAATCTATGTCTAAATAAGACTTAAAAGAGCTCTTTTAATATGCATAAAATGAAATTTTTAAGTGATGGGAAAGCTTTGTGTCACGGTTTTCCTATTTCTTAGAAACGCATCAGTAAGGGTGTAGGTTACAATTGATGGTGCCTTAGATTTGGTGAAATTGCCAATAATGTAGACATGTCAGTGATTTTAACCCAGGAAGGAATCCAGTGTAAATAATAATAACAAAAAAAATTCACATATATTGAGAGCCAAATATACACAAAATTCATGCTTTACTCACATCTTATTATTTATTCATCATAATAAGCCCATGAGATGGTTACTCTTTTTTTTTTTTTTTTTTTTGAGACACGGTCTTGCTCTGTCACCCAAACTGGAGGGCAGTGGCATGATCTCCGCTCACTGCAACCTCTGCCTCCCAGGTTCAAGAGATTCTCCTGCCTCAGCTGGAGTAGCTGGGATTACAGGCATGTGCCACCATGCTTGGGTAATTTTTGTATTTTTAGTAGAGACAGGGTTTCACCATTGGTCAGGCTGGTCTTGAACTCCTGACCTCGTGATCTGAGATTTGGGAGGCCTTGGCCTCCCAAAATGCTGGGATTACAGGTGTGAGCCATGGTGCCCAGCCCGATGTTTACTCTTATATATGATTGCAAATTGTCCTAAGTGCTACGAGAGTGAATAACAGGGAAGGAAAACATAATTAAGATTAGGAGGAGAGGCCTCCCTAAGGAAGTGACGAGACTCGAAAGTTAACAGTAGGCAGCATTTATTGAGCACTTACTATGGACCAGATACGATTCTAAGTTTATCATATTGACTCACTCAATCCTCCCCAAAACCCTAAGAAGTTTATTATCAGCTCCACTTTACACAAGGGAAAGTCAAGACAGGAGTAGAGAAGTTACATAACTTGCTCAAAATAACTCAGGTTACACATTACGGAAGATAAGCCTAGAATTGGAACCATGGCAGTCCAGCTCCAAAATCCGTGCATTTTACCACTTCACCATCATCTCTCAGTAGAGATAGATGAACAGTATCACATGAGTGAGGCATCCCCCCGCTTTATCAGTGGGAGTGTCAGTAAATGATCTGGCTACAAGCAAAGACTCCAGAGACCAACATTCAAAGTCAGGCTCTGCAACTGCTCAGCAAGGTATTTTAATCTTTCTATGCCTCGGTTTCCCCATTTGTTGTGATTAAATGAGGATTAATGAGTTGATACACATATAGAACTTAGCTCAGAACCAGAAGATAAATGTTAGGTGGTCTTATCATCTTCATACAATGCTCATCACAACCCAAAGGAAACAGACCCAGAGAGGTTTAGGAATTTGTCAAAAATCACATATTTCAAGAAAGGAATCAGGATTTGAACCTAAGTCTGTTCACCCAGAAGCCCTTTCTTTATGCATTACTCATGAAGCTTTCCATTAAAAATGAGTCAATGGAGCTGGGTGCAGTGGCTCATGCCTGCAATCCCAGCACTTTGGGAGGCCAAGATGAGAGGATCTCTTGAACCCAGGAGTTCGAGACCAGTCTGGGCAACTTGGTGAGACCGCCACCCCCCACCCCCCACCCCCCTGCCATCTCTATGAAAAAATAATTAATTAATTAATTTTAAAAGGAGTCAATGGTTTAGGTCTTCATTCCTAAAGATTTCCATTTAGAAAGGAGATCCTAAATCCCAATGTGACACCTCATTTTAACATCCCGAGTCTTAATCAACAGTAAGGCTCTCTCATTGCAAATCTAGTTTTCAATTGTTTTGAGGCCATTTTCTCTTTGAGAAGCCCAAGGGAAGAGAGAAACTCACCAGTTTCTTTCTTTTCTACCCTTCATATAAGGTATTTCACATTTCCCAACCTACGTTGAGAAGGCAGGGACATTTTAGAGTCAGGCACAAAGTAGGTGCTCAAGGCTGGGTGTGGTGGCTCTCACCTGTAATCCCAGCACTTTGGGAGGCTGAGGCGGGCAGATCACATGACATTAGGAGTTCAAGACCAGCCTGACCAACATGGAGAAACCCTGTCTCTACTCAAAATACAAAATTAGCCAGGAGTGGTGGCACATGCCTGTAATCTCAGCTACTCGGGAGGCTGAGGCAGGAGAATCACTTGAACCCAGGAGGCAGAGGTTGCAGTGAACTGAGATCACACCACTGCACTCCAGCCTGGGCAACAAGAGCAAAACTCCATCTCAAAAAAAAAAGAAAAAAAAAACATGCGCAACAAAAATGTGTTGCATGAATGAAGAAACAAGTGAGAAATCTCTAATGTACTTCACAGATCAGATGAACTCCACGCCGCTCTGCCCCTGCCTACTCTGCTTGCTTTTCTTTGTTTTTTTGCTTTTTGTTTTTTGTTTTTGAGACGGAGTTTCACTCTTGCTGCCCAGGCTGGAGTGCAGTGGCCCGATCTCGGCTCATTGCAACCTCCGTCTCCCAGGTTCAAGCGATTCTCCTGCCTCAGCCTCCCGAGTAGCTAGGATTACAGGCGCCCACCACCACGCCCAGCTAATTTTGTATTTTGAGTAGAGACAGGGTTTCTCCATGTTGGTCAGGCTGGTCTCGAACTCCCGACCTCAGGTGATCCATCGACCTCGGCCTCCCAAAGTGCTGGGATTACATGCGTGAGCCGCCGCACCCAGCCTGCTTGCTTTTCTTTGACTCCCATGTCTTAACCCCAGTGTTTCTCAAACAAGAGTGTTGCAATGGCATTCTGAGGACATTGTGGAGTTGAAGTGGCCTTGGTATGTGGTGACATCCTAGGTTTCTTCAATCCTCATTCCCTTGAGACACTTTTTGACCAAGAGGCTAGAGTAGAGTTATCTTCGGGGGCGGAACTGCTGAGGATGAGAATAGGCAGGGGGATGGACGCGCACCTGCAGCCCTCACACATTGTAACACTCGGTCAAAGTCACCAGGTGTCACAGGCAGAGGAAGGCTGAAGCCCTACTAGACATTCACTGTAAAGACAGGAAACCTGGCCGGGTGCGGTGGCTCACATCTGTAATCCCAACACTTTGGGAGACCAAGGTGGGCAGATCACTTGAGGTCAGAAGTTCAAGACCAGCCTGGCCAACATGGTGAAACCCCATCTCTACTAAATATACAAAAATTAGCTGGGCATGGTGGTGCATGCCTGTAATCCCAGCTACTCAGGAGGCTGAGGCAGGAGAATCCCTTGAACCCAGGAGGCAGAGGTTGTAGTGAGCCAAGATCATGCCATTGCACTCCATCCTGGGTGACAGCGTGAGACTCCATTTCAAAAAAAAAAAGACAGGAAACCTGAGCCTAGGGAGTATAGGTCAGACTCCTTTGGTTGCAAATAATGGAAATCCATCTCAAATAATCCTGAGGGAAAAAGGAAGGCATTGCATTGCTCACATCACTTGGAATTTCAGGGATGATGCTGGTTTTAGATATGGATGGATCTAGACATTCAAATAAGGCCTCAACTTTTCTCCCCCTCTGGCCTGTTGTTTTTCTCTCTGTGTTTGCCCGTAGCAGCCCCTCAGCAAGCAGGCTTTTAGCAAATGACTGCTGCTGACAACCCTCAGATCATACCCTTCCAGTTGCACAGAGTTCTAGCCCTTATGTTTAAGTTTGGGGCAGAGAGGCAGGGTGGTCCCAAGGGAGGAAGTAGGAAATGTTTCCTCTTGTCAAAAAATCAAAAGCTTTCTCAGAAGCCCCAGAGTAGACCTCCCCTTAGGTCTTATTGGTAAAGCTGCAAGGGGGGCTGGGGAAGTGGGAAACAGAGCGTCATTATTGGCTTAGGCATGTAAGAATCTACCACCCAGGGCTGGCCACGAAACTGAAACTGGTGTTTCTTTTTCTTTTTCCTTTTTTTTTTTTTTTTTGAGTCAGAGTCTTTCTCTGTCGCCTAGGGTGGAGTGCAGTGGCACCATCTCGGCTGACTGCAACCTCCACCTCCCGGGTTCAAGCAATTCTCCTGCCTCAGCCTCCCAAGTAGCTGGCACTACAGGTGCATGCCACCACACACGGCTAATTTTTTTGTATTTTTATTAAAGACAGGGTTTCACCATATTGGCCAGGCAGGTCTTGAACTCCTGACCTTGCGATCTGCCCGCCTTGGCCTCCTAAAGTGTTGGGATTACAGGCGTGAGTCACCGCGCCCGGCTTTTTTTTTTTTTTTTTTTTTTTTTTTTAAGACAGAGTTTCGCTTTTGTTGCCCAGGCTGAAGTGCAATGGTGTGATCTCGGCTCACTGTAACCTCTACCTTGTGGGTTCAAGCGATTCTCCTGTCTGAGCCTCCTGAGTAGCTGGGTTTACAGGCACCCACCACCACACCCAGTTAATTTTTTGTATTTTTAGTAGAGACGGGGTTTCACTATGTTGGCCAGGCTGGTCTCAAACTCCTGACCTCAGGCAATCCACCTGCCTTGGCCTCCCACAGTTCTGGGATTACAGGCATGAGCCACCACGTCCAGCCTCTTTTTCTTTCTTTCTTTCTTTCTTTCTTTTTTTTTTTGAGATGGGTCTTGCTCTGTCACCCAGGCTGGAGTGTAGTGGCACAATCTCAGCTTACTGCAGCCTCATCCGCCCAGGCTCAAGCAATCCTCCTACCTCAGCTTCCCAAGGAGCTGGGACTACAGGCGCGCACCACCACACCCAGCTAATTTTTGTATTTTTTGTAGAGATGGTGTATCACTACATTACCCAGCTGGTCTCAAACTCCTGAACTCAAGCAATCCTCCTGCCTTGGCCTCCCAGAGTGCTAGGATTATAGGCATGAGCCACTGTGCCCAGCAAAACTGGTATTTCCTGAGCCAGGAAGGAGGGAGACTGCATTGGGTAGGTCACTAATGGTGTCTACCACAAGAAAATATTGTGAGGCAACCTCACCAGATCTTGTTTTTGTTTTTGTTTTTTTGAGACTGAGTCTCGCTTTGTCGCCCAGACAGGAGTGCACTGGCCCGATCTCAGCTCACTGCAACATCCGCAGGTTGAATCATCCCAAGTTCAAGTGATTCTTCTGCCTCAGCCTCCCAAGTAGCTGGGATTACAGGCGCGCACCATCATGCCCGGCTAATTTTTTGTATTTTTAGTAGAGATGGGGTTTCACCATGCTGACCAGGCTGGTCTCAAACTCCTGAGCTCAAGTGATCCGTCCCCCTTGGCCTCCCAAAGTGCTAGGATTACAGGAGTAAGCCATGGCACCTGGCCACCAGATCTTGTAACAAGGATGAGGAGAAGTTTTACAGAAGTGGAAATGCTAGCTAGCCAGAAACAACTAATGTGCACATTAGAGTTGGGGAACAAGGAGTGAAAGTCAGGAAAAGTGAGTTGAATCAGGGTAGGTGGGCATGGCTCGAAAGGAGAGGATGGTCCAGCTGTGGAAAACACCTGTTGGAACATTTCCGGGAACATACATTTCTTATCTAGAGGATATTCCAGAGCAGGAGCACAACAAATACAGAAAATTCTGGGTGAGCAAGTGACAGGCTCCTCATCACACAAAGAGCCTGAGTTTTTTCTACTGTTTTTGTTCAATCCTCACTCTTTGTTCTCCAAGGTGGCGCTAAACCAAATGAACAAAGATGCAGCTCTGGCCAGGCTCGGTGGCTCACATCTGTAATCCCAGCACTTTGGGAGGCCAAGGCGGGCAGATCACCTGAGGTCAGGAGTTGGAGACCAGCCTGACCAACATGGTGAAACCCCGTTCTCTACTTAAAATACCAAAAATTAACCAGGTGTGGTGGTGAGCGCCTGTAACCTCATCTACTCCAGAGGCTGAGGTAGGAGAATTGCTTGAACCCGGGAGGTGGAGGTTGCAGTGAACCAAGATCGTGCCATCGCATTCCAGCCTGGGCAACAAGAGCAAAACTCCGTCTCAAAAAAAAGAAAAAGAAAAAAAGATGCAACTCAGAAGCACCAAGGAAAGACATGTTCAAAAGTCCTCAGTGGCTCCCTACCAGCCATGAACTCCAGTCCAAATTCTGACTCTGGCCCTACTGTCCTCTCCAGCCTTATCTCTCACTGTAACTCCTCCTCCACCCACTTACAGCAGCTCCTTGCAGCTCCCTAAATCCAGCCCAGACTTTCCTGACTCCAGGATTTTGTCCCTGCTGTCCTCTGTGCCCTTTCCTAGCTGTGATGTCTCTGTGCCTCCGTTTTCTTATCTATAAAATAGGAAGTTCCTCCAAGTTATTGTGAGGTTTACAAAAATGAAATAAAACATGTTACGTGCTTAGAATACTGCCTGGCACACTTTAAATACTCACTATATGTTAACTATTATTATTATTCATGAATCACTGGTTGTTTGTTTGTTTGTTTTCTGAGATGGAGTTTCACTCTTGTTGCCCAGCCTGGAGTGCAATGGAGCGATCTCGGCTCACTGCAACCTCCGCCTCCCAGGTTCAAGTGATTCTCCTGCCTCAGCCTCCCGAGTAGCTGGGATTACAGGCGCCCAACACCAAGTCTGGCTAATTTTTTGTATTTTTATTAGAGACAGGGTTTTATGATGTGGGCCAGGCTGGTCTCAAACTCCTGACCTCAGGTGATCCACCTGCCTCGGCCTCCCAAAGTGCTAGGATTACAGGTGTGAGCCACCGCTCCCAGCCTGTTTGTTGTTTTTAGAGACAGTCTCTCTCTGTCACCCAGGCTGGAGTGCAGTGGCACAATCAAAGCTCACTGCAGCATCTACCTCCGGGGCTCAAGTGATCCTCCTGCCTCAGCCTCCCAAGTAGCTGGGACTACAGGCACACACCACCATGCCTGGCTGACTCTTGGTTTGAAGTATTAACCAACTTGGTGCATGGCACTTGGCATCCACATCACAGTCCTTACCCATTTCTTCTTTGCTGTATCTGTGAATGTGTCTGGAGTGAGCATCACCAGGCCCAGGATAATGCGTGTGGCTCCCTTGGCATCTTGCTCAACTTTGTCTTGAGCGTGCCAAGCACACAGCTGTTTGACCTGAGATGGAAGCCAGCCAGCCTGTCAAGGGGCAGAACCTGTCCATCGAGGACACCTTGGAGAATGAAGTGCTAGGCTGGGCAGAAAGTTCCCTCTTGCTGGCTGAAGGGTCACATTAGGAAATGGAGCGCACCCACAATTTCACAACGAAGCTGTTAGGAAAGTCAGACAAATTCATCCACCGATGGTGTGCGGTTAAGACCTGGCGCCAGACATTTCCCCCAAAAAGGCAGGAACCTGCCACTGCGAAGAGATGAGGATTGAGCCTCCCTCCTGGGCCCAGGAGTAGTGACTCAGCAGGAAGCCAGCCAAGGCCTGAGTCACTCCCTCCCCTACAACCACACCCGGGGTTTTCCTTAAGGGCTTGGAAAGTTCACTGGGAGCTGGAGGTATAAATCTTTGGTACCTGGGTCTACCCAGGCTAATGAAATCATTTATTTAATGATTTAATAGCTTAGTGTTTAAGAGCACAAACTCTGCCTTCCTCAGCAGCTACCTCTGCCTCTTATGCAACCTGGAGCAAGTTTCTTATCATCTCTGGTCACAATTTGCCCATCTGTAAATGGGAACAATAATAGTATCTCCCTCCTAGGAGTGAGAAAACTTAGAATAGTATGTGGCATGTCCATGGGGTTCCTCTAACACACCTGGTCTCACTTTAAGGCCTTTGCATTTGTTGTTTTCTTTTCCCTCCCTTCTCTCTCTCTCTTTTTTTAAGGCACAATCTCACTTTGTCACCCAGGATAGAGTGCAGTGGTGCCATCTCGGCTCACTGCAACCTCTGCTTCCCAGGTTCAAGCAATTCTGCCTCAGCCTCCCAGTAGCTGGGATTACAGGCATACACCACCATGCCTGGCTAATTTTTGTATTTTTGGTAGAGACGGGGTTTCGCCATGTTGGCCAGGCTGGTCTCAAACTCCTGACCTCAGGTGATCCACCCACCTCGACCTCCCAAAGTTCTGGGCTGCAGGTGTGAGCCACCGCGCCTAGCCGCCACATTTGTTGTTTTCTATGCTTAGAATGCTTTTGCCTCAGACAGCCACATGGCCAGCTCTCGCACCTAATTCAGGTATTTACTAAATATTAATCTTCCCAGTGAAGCCTACAATGGCCAACCCTTCTAACTGCTCCTCCTCCAATACTCTTTAACCCCTTTCCCACTTTTCCTCCTTAGCACTTATCACCATCTAGCATGTATCTTCTCTATTGATCTCTCCCCAACCACAATGGATTTTAAGTTCCATTGTTGTCTGTTTTCTTCATTGCTGTATTCCCAAGACCTAGAAAAGTGCCAGCACATAGCAGTTCTCAATATACATATAGGGGGCCAGGCAGGGTGGCTCACTGCCTGTTATTCCAGCACTTTGGGGCTGAGGAGGGAAAATCGCTTCAGCTCAGGAGTTGAAGACCCACCTGGGCAACGTAGTGAGACCCTGTCTCTACAAAATAAAAAAATACAAAAATTAGCCAGGCGTAGGGGTGTCTGCCTATAGTCCCAGCTACTCGGGAGGCTGAGGCATGAGGATTGCTCGAGCTCAGGAGGTCGAGGCTACAGTAAGCCTTGATCATAATGACTATACTCCAGCCTAGGCCACAGAGCGAGAGACCCAGTCTCAAAAAAAAAAAAAAAAAAAAAAAAGACTGGGTTCAGTGGCTTACATCTTTAATCCTACCACTTCAGAAGACTAAGGCAGGAGAACCACTTGAGCTCAGGAGTTTGAGACCTGCCTGGGCAAGATAGTGAAAATCTGTCTCTACTAAAAAAAAAAAAGGCCGGGAGCAGTGGCTCACGCCTGTAATGCCAACACTTTGGGAGGCCGAGGCGGGCGGATCACCTGAGGTCAGGAGTTGGAGACCAGCCTGACCAACATGGTGAAACCCCGTCTCTACTAAAAATACAAAAATTAGTCGGGCGTGATGGCACATACCAGTAGTCCCAGCTATTCAGGAGGCTGAAGCAGGAGAATCACTTGAACTCAGGAGGTAGAGGTTGCCGTGAGCTAAAATTGTGCCACTGCACTCCAGCCTGGGTGGGCAACAAAGCAAGACTCCGTCTCCAAAAATGAAAAACTTAAAAAAAAAAACCCTCAGCCTGGCCAACATGGTGAAACCCTGTCTCTACCAAACAATCCAAAAATTAGCCAGGTGTGGTGGCATGCGCCTATAGTCCCAGCTACTTGGGAGGCCGAGGCAAGAGAATTGCTTGAACCCAGGAGGCAGAGGTTGCAGTGAGCCAAGACTGCGCCACTGCACTCCAGCCTGACCGACAGAGTAAGACTCTGTCTCACAAAAAAAAAAAATTAGTCAAGTATGGTTGCACACGCTTGTAGTTCCTGCTATCCTGCTATTCGGGAGTCCGAGGTGGGAGAATCACTTGAGCCCCAGCAAAACAAAACAACCAACCAACTATATGTGTGTGTGTGTTTGTGTGTGTGTGTGTGTACATACACCTATGTGGAATGAATGGAAATGAATGTCAACTTATTCACCATTTTTTTTTAGGCAGATGGCCAATAAATACTGTATGTGAATCAACAGACAGTGGTGAGAACCAAGGAAGTTTTCAACCCCCACCTAAAGGCATTTAAATTCAAATTTAAAAGAGAACTTAATTTAGATTCAAAAGATAACCAGCCAACCACCTCTCTAGGCTGCATTCCCTGGTTCCAGTCTGTAACTGTAAATTTCTCTTATCTCCCACTTGATCTTTCTGATTTTAAAATATCCAAATATTAATATGATTCAGAGCCCTTTATTCTTCTGAAAATGTTTTTCCTCCATGAGGGCACTACCATGACATCAAGACCCCAGGTGGCTTCACAGGTTCAACAGTCAGTTCCAATCCTTACTAGCTGCTCTATTCTGGGCTAATGTGCTGCCCTTTTAATTCCTCCAAGATTCAGCTGGGGGTAACTCACCAGTGCCTTCCCAAAGCCTAGCAGAGCTCCTGACACAAGGGAATGAGTGAGGGAGTGAATGAAAACGTGATGGCTCAGAGGAGGCAGTCACAAGGGCCCACGGTATCTTCTTAGTCTCCATTATTGAATCTTAGTCTCCATTATTTAATCTCCAGTAACCTCCTAGGGAGGAACCACTGTCCAGTTGGAATCTCCCTCCAGGAATACTATTTCTCCCTGACTCCCCAAGGGTGAAGGTCTGCTAAAAAGACACCCAATTCACATCACTAAAAAGAACTCCTAGCGCAGTCCGCTGCAACTGCGAGATTGGGGTGACCCCACCCTCGTCCTCAAAGACAATGGGCGGGGATTTGCCCTGAGTTCTCAGAAAGGCCCTCCTGGTGACTTTTCCAAACAAAGCCAGGCAGCTCCAAAAGTAGGGAGGCTTCAGTCCTAGACACGGAAATCGCCGGGACTCCTCCCACCCTCCCCACCTCCGCCACGTGGCATTTTCTCATTAAAAGAGAAGGAATTAAGTCCCCGTGTCACACCCCGCCCCCCCCCCCACACACACACATAGATGGAGAAATGGAGCCTACATGGCTTTAAATTAGAATTTTCACCAGCTGTGTGGCCTTGGAGTTCTCTGAGCCTGTGTCTTTTCAGCTGTGAAAAAGCAAGAATAATGGAGTGACCTAATTGGTTGCTGGGAAAACTAAATGCAAACCACGCCTTCTCCTGACTTGGCCCACCCCCACCCTTAGCCTGTCCCCCTCCCTCTCTCTGTCTTCCCCCCACCCCCTCCCACCTATAATAATTGCCATTATTAGCCGAGCGGGTGGCTCACGCCTGTAAGCCCAGCACTTTGGGAGGCCGAGGCGGGTGGATCACCTGAGGTCGGGAGTTCGAGACCAGCCTGACCAACATGGAGAAACCCCGTCTCTACTAAAAATATAAAATTAGCCGGGCATGGTGGCGCATGCCTGTAATCCCAGCTACTCGGGAGGCTGAGGCAGGAGAATCGCTTGAACCCGGGAGGCGGAGGTTGCAGTGAGTGGAGATCACGCCATTGCACTCCAGCCTGGGCAACGATAGCGAAACTCCGACTCTAAAAGAAAATAGTAATACTAATAATAATTGCCATTATTATTGTTATTAGGGTTACTCCAGTGAATGTGAAACCAAGACAGCCAGCCCCACGCCAGCTCTCAGTACCCACCGCCACCCTGCCTCTTAAAGCAAAGAACTTGGAAAAGCAAATTCACTGTAACAGATGCGTGTCTGTGCAGCTTCACTGAGATTTCAGCAGACCCCGTGTGTGTGTGTGTGTGTGTGTGTGTGTGTGTGTGTGTGTGTGTGTGTGTTAAACAGGTCTCACTGTGTTGTCCAGGCTGGAGTACAGTGACGTGATCTCAACTCACTGCAACCTCCGCCTCCCAGGTTCAAGTGAGTCTCCTGCCTCAGCCTCCCAAGTAGCTGGGATTACAGGTGCCCGCCACCACGACTGGCTAATTTTTGTATTTTTAGTAGAGACAGGGTTTCACCATGTTGGCCCAGGCTGGTCTCAAATTCCTGAACTCAAGTGATCCGCCCGTCTCAGCCTCTCAAAATGCTGGGATTACAGGCTTGAGCCACCGCGTTCGGCCATAATTATCCTTTTTTAAAAAAGTAATTTTGTTTTGTTGAGCCCAGATCTTTCTCTATCACCCAGGCTGGAGTGCAGTGGCATGATCACGGCTCACTGCAGCCTCAATCTTCCCAGCTCAAGTGACCTCAGCCTACAGGTGTGCTCGCGCCATCACACTCAGCTAATTTTTTTCTTTTTTGTGGAGATGAAGTGTCACTATGTTGCCCAGGCTGGTCTCAAACTCCTGGGCTCAAGCAATTTTCCCTCCTCAGCCTCCCAAAGTGCTGGGATTACAGGCATGAACCACCTTGCCTGGCCATAATCATCATTTTTATAGAAACCTTACATGATCACAGCTCATTGACGAAGGAGTGAATATTTTTAGGCAATTTCTGCCAGAAACAACGGTGTGAAGACATCACAGGAATCACCTGACAGTCCTGCAACCTTGAACACATCACTCATCCTTCTGCTGACCCCAGTGGTAGGTTTCACAATCTGTTTGCTCCTCTGTCCCTCCCACTAACTAACCTGCCAGCACCAAGGGCTGAGATGAGTTTTGCTCCTGCATGCAGTTCCTGATCCTCGGTGTCTAGCACCCAACGGTGCTGAATAAATACCGCTTGGCTGTAAGTGTGAACAAAGGCCATCTAGAGAGGTTTTCTCTTGCCTCTCCATCCCTCCCCATCTGGGGATGGGGAGGAGTAGGGCAGAGCTTCCCACTTTCTTCTTGTTCCCCTCCTGCCCATGGGGTCTTGAGAACTGGGCATCTGGCCCTCTGTAGCCTGACAGTTCTTCCTCTTTCTCTTTGTCATTGACAATACAGTCTTTGACCACTAAACATGAAGTGGCTCCGAGGGTAGTGAATCTAGGACAGAGGGATCTGGAGGTCCAGAGGCTGCTTTAGAATACAAGCTTTGCTGCTAACCTGCTGTGCGATCTCAGGCAAGCAACCACATCTCTAACCTGCAAAGACAGAAAACCAACATTCATTGTATGCTTATAAGGTGTTTAGGCAGGCATTCACACGTTATCTCATTTGCATTGTGAAATGAAGGAGTTGGACTATACAATTTCTAAATTGCCTTTTGGGAAAGGTTTCAGTAGTGGCTTTCAAGCCACTCCTGCTCTCCATCTGCGGAAGAGGCTGTGATGCCACAGAGAGAGTACAGGATATGGTGCCAGGCCAACTGGCCCGGCATTTGAATCTCTGATCTATCTTTGACCAGCTGTGCCGACGTGGGGCAAGTCACATGCGCACACTGAGCCTCAGTTACCTCATCTCCAAAATGGGGACAAAAATACCCCCTTGCAGGGCTGCCTGGAGGATAAAATGGGACGGTGTATGGAGGAGGCCAGCACTGCACTTGGCATATAGTAGGAATGGACCAATGTCAGTCCCTGCCCTTTCCCAAAGAAGACTTGAAGATGAGTCGTAGTGCAAATTATTTCTGCTACCCCCTGAAGTCTTTAGCTTGGGTTTGGTTTTCAAGAAGGAAGCAGAAAGTTAACATCTGATGGTCTAGAAGAGTGCTGATAGGGAAGATTTCATTTCTGTAGCCTCTGCTCCAAGCCAGTGTCGACGGTCATCACCCCGAATCCTAGCAAAGTCAGTCTTCCCTCAGGACTCTGCTACCCAAGAACAAGTATAGTTCTTTAAAAAGTGTCCCCCTTCACTGTGCTAAGGTGCAGCCCAGAATCTGCGTCACTTTTTCTGAGAGTCCCTCCTGGATCCCCCTATTTACAATTCCAGTCCCTCCCCTGCCTCTGGCAAGTCCCTGCTCCTCTTTCCTGCTTGATTTTTCTCCATAGCACCTATCATCACAGAACACAAACACAGACACAGACACAGACACACACACACACATTTCACTAGCATGAAAGCACTGTTAGGATAGGGCTTGTGAATGCTGGATTCACTGTAGCATTTCCAGTGCTGAGAACAAGACCTGCATTCGTAGGCACTAAAATTTGTTGAAAGAATGAATCAGGCCGGGCGCAGTGGCTCACGCCTGTAATCCCAGCACTTTGGGAGGCCGAGGCGGGCGGATCACCTGAGGTTGGGAGTTCGAGACCAGCCTGATCAACATGGAGAAACCCCATCTCTACTAAAAATACAAAAATTAGCCGGGCGTGGTGGCACATGCCTGTAGTCCCAGCTATTCGGGAGGCCGAGGCAGGAGAATCGCTTGAACCTGGGAGGTGGAGGTTGTGGTGAGCGGAGATTGGGCAATTGCGCTCCAGCCTGGGCAACAAGAGCGAAACTCCGTCTCAAAAAAAAAAGAAAAGAAAAGAATGAATCTGGGCCTGAGCTAAAGCCAAGCTCGCAGCTATGGCCAAATAATAATAAAATATCAAGTGAGCCCCTCATTTTATGGTTTTGATTGAGATGAGGTGTCATAATATTTATAAAGGCCTCTCATAATATTTATTTGATCCTGCTGGGTGGGATGGCAGGTAATCTAGCTACTTGGGAGGCTGAGGCAGATGGAGCACTTGAGCCCAGGAGTTCGAGGCTGCAGTGAGCTATAATCACATGACTGCACTCCAACCTGGGTGACAGAGCAAGACCCTGTGTCTAAAAAAAAAAATTAAAATAAAATAATAATATTAATTTAGCCCTGTGCAGAAGGATTTGACTCTGTATTTTCGAAATGAAGAAACCTAACTCAGAGAGAAGAAATATCTCTGGAAAACAGAAGAAACACTTTTGGCCTCTTGACCTTGGGCAAGTCACTTCCCTTCTCTAATCTCATTTTTCCTTATCTGTAAAATGAAAAGACTTGGACTGGGTCTCTTCTGGAGCTAAGACTTTAAATTCTTAAATCCTATGACCTGATTGTTAACCCCCCTTTTTTTTTTTTTGAGACAAATGATCGCTCTGTCACCCAGGCTGGAGTGCAGTGGCGCCATCTCAGCTCACTACAACCTCCGCCTCCTGGATTCAAGCAATTCTCCTGCCTTAGCCTCCTGAGTAGCTGGGACTATAAGAGTGTGCCACCAAGCCTGGCCAATTTTTGTATTTTTTGTACAGACAGGGTTTCACCATGTTGGCCAGGCTGGTCTCGAACTCCTGACCTCAAATGATCTGTCCCGCCTTGACCTCCCAAAGTGCTGGGATTATAGGCATGAGTCACCACGCCCAGCCTGTTAACCTTTTAAAGACTGACTCAAATGATATTACCCACAAACCGTAATTTCAGAATAAGGACAAGCTGATACCTTGGTACCACCCCATCTCATTTCAATTCAGACCCCACCACCACTGGGACACATTCCAGCTGGTCTACTCAGACACTCAAACACTCAAACAAAAACACACAGTAAGTTCTGTGCAAGCAAGAGTCGTTATCATTATTGTTGTTATATGGTCAAAGCAGGCAATTTATTTAGTTTAAAAATAAATCATTCTTCACTTGCCTGGATTTTTTTTTTTTTTTTTTTTTTTTTGAGACAGGGTTTCACTCTGTCACCCAGGCTGGAGTGCAATAGCATGATCTCAGCTCACTGCAACCTCCGCTTCCCAGGCTCAAGTGATCCCCCAACTTCAGCCACCCGAGTAGCTGGGACAACAGGCATGCCACCATGCCCAACTAATTTTTGTATTTTTTTGTAGAGATGGGGTTTTCTCATGTTGCCCATGCTGGTCTCAAACTCCTGGCCTCGAGCAGTCCTCCTGCCTCAGCCTCCCAAAGTGCTGGGATTACAGACATGAGCCACCACACCCGGCCTATGGATTTCCAGTAGTCTCCTAACTCTCCTAACTGCCTACCCCTAGGCACTCCTCTAATCCATCCTACACACTAGTATTAAGCAAACCTTGCTTTCAGGAAATCAACAACTTTCAGCAGCTCTCTACTGCCCACAGAAAACAGTTAGAGGCTTTCAGCTACCATCTGAGGCCCACCTCACCTCAATCTCGCCCTAATCCTTTCAAATATGTCTCCCTGACCCACTCACTTCTTTGTTTCACCAGAACTCTTTGTTCCAATCAATTCAGCCCATCCCTCCATTCACTCAATAACTGTTTATTATATCCCTACTTTTTTTTTTTGAGACGGAATCTCACTGTGCCTCCCAGGCTGGAGTGCAATGGTGTACTCTGGCT